>NC_000002.12:101429011-101732042 GCF_000001405.40 Homo sapiens
CATCTCCACTGTGAAGGAACAGAAAACAGAGAAGTAATTTTAGCAAGACACCTGTCTCTGAGCAGAAGCACGAAGTTTCTTTTGCAGCAAGGTTATTTGTTTAGGGGTATAACTTTTATTGAAAAACCCTCTGCCATGTTTCTATCCACGAATGGTAATTATCACAAGCTTGGGCTTTAAAAAATTCATTTCTGTAACTGGGACAACCACGCATTTATTTTTAAAGGTTTCTTTCCTTCAGAAGCAAGAATATGATATCGTCATGGGTAGAATTCGCTCCTGTGGGAAAAGAAAAATCATCATGAACGTGAATTCTTATTACTTTTTTATTTTGGTGCATTTTAAATGATTGATACAGAAATGATAATATCCTCTAAATTGATGGATGTAGAAGAACACCTTTACAGAGCAAAGAAACTGGTAATTAATAATAGAGATGTAAATTTCATTTCACCATGCCTCTTGGATTCATATAAGATAATGGAGAAATTTATACATAATGGAGAACAGACTGGGTCCTATCTATGCAGTACGGTGCATTTTTTCTTTAATCATGGGCATTCGAGAAGCTGTGAGCCCAGTTCACTTGCACCAGGGAATGTCCATTCTCAAGATGCCAGAGGTGGTGGTGTCTCCTCCCACGTCCCCGTCACTCAGCTCCAGAGTTATGGCTGAGCCAAGGGCAGACATGACTTTGATGGGTCCGTCCACTCCAAGTCAGCACACATCCTCATGCCTGATGGTTTCAGCTCTACCTGAACATAAAAAAGAGAAGAGGAAGCCAGCAGCCTCTTGCTGTGCTTCTGGAAGCCGGGCAATTGTCATCCAGGTAAGGAGGACCTGGGAGGAGGTGGGAGTCAGAGGGGAGGTAGAGGAAAATGGCTTTCCTTCCAAATAGGATGGTTCTACGTCCTCCCCAGCCTCTTGAAAGCCCCAGGGGCTCTCTTCTGAAGGTTTGGGTCAGTCCATTCTCCAAACCAAGTCATAGAAAACTGGGCAGAATGCTTGATACCCATCTGATAAATGTTTCCACATAATGTTATATTTCAAAACAGGGCACATAGATTCAGGGTCTGGACACGAACCCACTAGAAAGGCACTCTTCATCTTTTAATAAGAGTTGTTATCAAAATAGAAATTTTACCTCAGACTTTCCAGTGGCTGCAGGACACAGCATCTGTTCAACCTGAAAGGGTATATGGATAAGCCCTGCACATGCACATAGGGTGATGGGCAATGCTAGAGGAGCCAAAGGCAAATAATTTGGAGTGTCTTAGGAATTCCATTTGTCATGTGTTATGGACTGAGTTGCCTTCTCCTCAAATTCCTACATTGAAGCCCTAGCCCTCTATGTGACAGTATTTGTAAATAAGATCCTTAAGGAGATAATTAAGGTTAAATGAGATCATAAGAATAGGGCCTTAATCCAATCCAGGACTGGTGTCCTTATAAGAAGACCAGAGAACTTGCTCTCTTTCTCTCTCTCTCCATGTGAACAAAGAAAAGAACATGTGAAGACACAGCGAGAAGGCGGCTGACTGCAAGCCAGGAAGACAGCCCTCACCAGAAACCAAATTTTGGGGTACCTTGATCTTGGACTTCCAGCTTCCAGAACTGTGAGAAAATAAATTTCTGTTGCTTAAGCCACCCAGTCGGTGGTATTTTGTTATGACAGCCCATGAGAATGCATCATATCTCAATGATATCTTGGGTAGGTGTGACAATTATGCAGTTTCTTCAGGTAAAATTTATAAACAGCCCATTGCCACAGATTTTGGGACATTACAGCAACAAAAACAACAAATAATAAATCAAACTTAGAATAAAGACTAGAATGAAATAAGACAGAAGAAAATATCAGAAGTGAAATTTCACTAAATAAAGGGCTCACAGAAAAGAAATTTAATCAGCAAAATATGGTCATCACTCTTTAGAGATGTCTAAAAATTAGTTGTGAGACTTTCTTCAACTAAATTGGAGGAAGGGCAATTTCTCCCCAATTCCACATTGTGTCAGCATGCTACTCCTAATATGTTTTCTTTGGAAAATGAATGCAAGACCACAATATGAATACACTGAGCTCCATCCATCCATTCATTCATCCATCCATCCATCCAACCAACCATCCATCCATCCAACCATCATCAATCCATCTCTCATTCATTCATCAGTGCCTACTGAATGTCAGGCATTGTGCCAGGCCTTGGTGGATATAGCTGTGATCCAGGGAGACAAGGTCTGTTTTCACAGAGGTTATAGCCTATTGGGGAGGAAAAATGTCACACAAATCATCACTAATCACAAAGATGTTGGGTGAGGGTTATGACAGCTGAAGTGTCGGGTGCTAGGAAAACGTACATCAGGGGGCCATCCTATTCTCTTGTTAGTCCAACAGTGCACATCTCTGTCAATTGGCAGCTTGATGAGCTCAGGAGAGCTGCATTGGTGATCAGTTTACCCTGATCTGGTTGGTGTTCATCACATCACCATATAAGGATAGCTTATTAAACAATTTTGAATGGTGACATTGATCCTCATGGGGCATTCCTATAGGTACTCAGAAACAGATATTTCAAAGCTAGAATGTCTGGTTTCAGACTTAAAGGAACGACAAGGAAAACTCTCAACTTTATCACTCATCCCTCTCCCTCCACCCTGACTCTGGGAGCTTTGGACTAATGAGTAATGCTCATTACGACTGAGTAATGTTCTCAATTATTTTGAGTTCCTAAATGGTACTCCCAAGTTTCTGCCTCTGTTCAATGCAGAATATGGGCTTAATTCAGCAGCAATCGAAAAGAAGGTGGCATCACCCTCCTCATCTTTATAGGGAAGCCTGAAGGGACGTGCCTGCCATCACCCTCCTCATCTTTATAGGGAAGCCTGAAGGGACGTGCCTGCCATGTAGGGGCCTGTGTATAGCAGGAATCCTCACTGGGAGAGCTATGTTACCTTTTAGCATTTAATTGGGAGACTTTATGTATTAACCTAATGGGGAGAAAGAGAAAATATTTCAACCTTATGGAGAGATGGGGTCATCTATGAAAAAGTCCCCATCTCTACCTGGCCGGACAAAGACATGCATTTGTTCAAACGAATGGCAAGGCTGTCTCTTTCCACCTCTGGAATGCCCTAATTTAAGAGACTGGCTTACAACACGGGTCAACATGTAGGTTTAATGAGACCATATTTATTTTCTAAAATCACCTAGTTTCTGAGGCCTCTGCAAACAAAGAACCACAAAAATATTCAGGTGACAGGGGATTAGGAGGCAATAACATAGTTGGGCTACAAGGCAGGTGAGCAGAGTTGCTGGAGACCAGCAAGTGGGGATTCATGAGGGTCCACGTTCAGGTCACCAGCACCCTGAGTGTCTGGCAGATTCAGAGGAGTGAACACCGCAGGCATTGCCGGGCTTTCGTCTGGCAGGCAAGGCTGGACTAGGCTAGAGAGGAAGGTTGTGGTAGACCAGCGCTCCACCAGGGTGCAGTTCCCAATATGGGGCCACTACCCAAGAGCAGGTGCAGGGAGCGTGAGGCCGGAGCAGGCCTGGAGGTGGCCGTTTCAGACAGAAGCCCTGAGTGCCCACCGGGACAGCTTTGTGTCTTTGGGCTCACTGCCCCCTGCGTCATTTCCAGAGTGTGGCTCTGAGTCAGGCCTTTGGGACATTTATCAGGCTGTGATCAAAAGCACAGTCATTGCTAAAATACAGCGCCAAGGAAACCACACACAACATCCAGAGCTGGCCTTGTTGTGAAGGAAGGGCTTCCAGTCCAAAAGGCGTCTTCTCCACTTGCTCTCCGAGGCCTGTGATGCTTTAGCAATGCCAAATCACCGAGTTAGAGAAAAACAACAGAGCACAAGGCAGATCATGACACAGGAGTGACTCCCAGGCGAGTCCGTCCTCAGGTCATTTGCATTCCTTGGGAGCTGCCCCCTTTAGTGACTGCTCCTCAGGGCCCAAGCCAACCCTTACCTAGGATGTTAGGATTTAATAACCACTGGAGGGAAGGGCGGGGTCAGCTGGGGATGGAGGGAGAAGAGCCCAGATGGGGAAGACCGGGGAGGGAGGAGGGCTGAGAATTCCCGCAGCACAGTGGAACCGGCCTCCTTGTTCAGCTCTGCAGCTAGCTGGCTATATTGCTTTAAGCAAGTCACATGAAGCGACAGGGCCTCAATTTTGCACCCTGTAAAGGGAAGGATTGGGATTTGGTGACCGCCCCCCAAGACCTTTTCCAGCTCTCACTGGAACACGGGGACTCAGAGGTCCCCCAGGTCTTACACAATGGTCTGAGGGTTCCTTCTGGGCTTCATGCAGGGACAATGGAGGAGGGCCTGGTTTCTTCTGGGCACTGGCAAATTGCCCACTTCACTCAGTACAGTGAAGACACAGACTGAGAACCATGATTTACTTTAATTTTTATGATCAATTTGTCTAAAAAAAGTCAGGCATAGAGAGGACTGAGACACAATTATATAGCACATAACTCATCTTGTTTCTTTAATTTTTCCCATAAAATCTTTCAAATGTAGTGTTAGCTTAATATGCTTTTTGGCATTAACTTTTTTTAGTCTAACTACAATTTGCATTTACATTCTCAGGTTTTGACATCATCTGTCATTACTCCAGACTTTCATTGACATCATTTTGGCATCATAAATTGCCCTCGCAAATCACTCTAACCAGTGGTGAAACAACTTGAAGCAATTACAAAGGTAAGAGGATAAAAATGTAATAAAACCTAATTCATGTACCATACTTGTTCCGTGTCAGATTTCAGAGCAAAGGCACTTCATCTTCCAATCATTAAAGGTTCTCATCGTAACTCTTCCTCAAAGCACATGAAGTAATTATTTTGGTTTTGATTAAGAGAAGATATCTTTGACTTGATGAATATTTTTACATATGTTAAAATAGTAAATATATATATTCACATTGAGACATATGTCATTATAATTTTGAAAAACTAATATAATTTTGATTATACCAATAATATTAATCATTAAAATACACTCAGCACTTACTCATCCTAAATGTGTTACTTGTTTTACCCTAGTTCTCATGAACACCTGTTAGTAAGGTAGATAAGAATTATCCCCAACTTGCAGATGAAGAAGGACAAACAGAATTCACAGAGCTGGAGACCTCGCTCTGACTTCAGAGTAGAATATTACCTATTCTATGATTCTGTCTTTTAAGATGGAATCACATGTGTGACAAAAAAAAATGTACACAAGAAGCAAAAAGTAAGATATCAATTTTTTGAAACTGAAAATTAACAAGAACAATCTTTCTTTAAAATCTGGTCTTCTGTGTGTTGTGGTTTAGCTGTTTTCTGCATTGGGGCCATTACTGTTATATTACTTAACTGTATCCTGACCCATTCGATTTTATGAACAGCTTAACTGCAAAATGATGACCGAGGGGGAGACCTGTGGAAGTGTGGGAAGTATAAGACATCCACGATCACCTTCTTGAGGCAAAACTCAGCCACTGGGGGTCAAGCTTCACTGGCAGACAGCAAATAGCAATGCAACAGACGTTGCATTGCACGGGCGTCTGTCTGTTGGAGATGGGCAAGTGAGCGATAAAATGATAACAGTTCCCGATGTGAGAGGTATTCTGAGCGGTACCTCCTTTTAAAACCTTTCCCAAGCAAGGAAGGGTGCAGTCCAGGCTGTTATTCTCCACACATGTATTTTAAGCTGCCAGACAGCAACCAAGGTAATACATATTTTTTAGCATTAGCAAGTTCCAACCAGCCTTGAAAACCATAGGGTGGACAAGGCCAAAAAGCGGGTTGCAACTTGGACACCTTATTAGTACCTGAGAGGGAGGTCCTCTGGGGCTCATCGGAGGCCTTGTTGGGGGGCCCTGGCCCCAGGAAGACTCAGCCCCGACTCTCAGCCCCTCCAGGGGCCTTGGCTGCACACACAGAAGGAAAACAGCTTCCTGCTTGGGGCTGGAGAGACCCCTCTGAAAGAACCACTGGTGTCTGACATCACCAGGCTGTGGTACCACCGCCGCCGGCTCCCTGTGAACCCGCTCGCCGCCAGCGCGGTGCAGCCTGGAAGACGAACCTCTCCCTCTTCTGCTCCGCCGTCTGCACAGCCGCTGTGGACCCGAGGCCCTGCATTCCCCAGGCTCAGGCCCGCCAGGCAGCCCCCTGAGCTCATGGCTGGCAAAAGAACAAAGGCGTGGAAGAACAAAGGCACGGCGTGTTGAAGGCACAGTTTTAGAGGCTTTTTAAAGGCCTTTAATAAAGCCGAGCTGAAAAAGCTGACACGGTGAGAGAGGAAAGTGTGTGTGTTTCGGGAGGGATGAGGGCGAGGCTTAGTTTCCACATATCCCCAAGGGAAACCTGAGCCTCCCAATGGCTGATTGCAGACTTTACATGACATAGAATGGGGATTCATGTTTGGAAAATGACAACAAATTTATCCTTGAAACAAAACCCAGGGATTTTGCCTAAGAGGTAGAGAATAAAGGTTAATTACAAAGAGCTGTTTCTCCAGATGTGATATAATGCACGCACATATACACACGTACTCACACATACACACACACATTCTCCACTCCCCTGTTCCCCTAGACAATAATAAAATATTTTATACTTTGGCTTGGATTCTTCCCTGAATTTCTGAGTCAGCAATTATACCCAGGTCCAAGCCTCAATCTGGTTGCCAACTAAACGGGATTGGAATCTGGGGAGGCCATTCTGCCCTGATAGGGGAGCAGGAAGGGAGGGGGAATGTGCTGGACTTTGTGAGGTGGTCTTGTTCATATGGCACACATTGCACATTTATGGTCATTTTCATTTAAAAAAATAGCCTCAAGCTGTTCATTTGTTTTAAAAATCAAACCTTGGTCTCTCCTTGGTGAGGACGGATGCTGCCTCTGCATTTTTCAGCACGATTCACCACAATTCCCATCCCACCCCAGTGAAAACGAACGCCCCCACCCGCTGCTCAGCCACCTCTCCAGGTGTCCAGTTAAGTGGGCCACCAGCGCCCTGGTTCCCGGCTCTGTCACGACCCCCCTGCTGCATCTGTGGGCACCCTCTTCTCCCCTCCCCAGCAGACGGGTGTGGAGGGAGGAGCGGGATGTGCAGGTTCAGGGACCTGGGAATCAGAATTTCTAAATTTACAGGGCTTAGGGGGCAATATAGAAGCAATAGGGAGGAGATAAGGGCTTATCTTGAGACTACATTTATTTTAATTAGATTCTATGCTTCTTTGGAGTACTTGGTGGTAGTGAGAGAAGTCGCCCCTTTGCTACAATCCTGGTTCATGGCCAAATCTCTCTACGACAATGCTCTTATTGGTGTTTCCATTCCTTTCCTTAACACGAGGTCCAGAAAGAAGAGATAAAGACAATTGAGATGCCCTTGAACAGCCTGTGCACAGCTCAGTGACTCTGAGAACTGATTTGGGAGAGCTTGTATGTTCTACTCTAAGATGGTCCTAGCAAGGCGTGCTCTTTTTAACCACCCTCACCCCCAACCAAAATGAAATTCCAGTTCCTCCCTTAGGCAAATACTAGTAGGAGAGTTTTTGTAAATCACTCCTCAATTGCTGCACACATAGAGAAATGGCTGCTTCACCCAGGCATAAAACATTGGGGAAAGACCAACATACTCATCATAGGTTTGCTAGAGAGCTCGCTTCTGGGTTTTAAACACAATAGAGATGGCATTCGTAAAAGTCGTGTGTGAGAACGCACCCTGAGCACACACAGCTGCACACCATGGGGACTGACCACCTCCAGGGGGGCAGCGCTCTGGTCCTCTGTTGGCCGCTGACCTCCTTCTGCTAAGGAGCCCTGCTCTGGTTCTGTTAAAGGCAACGATGCCTGTGCGTCCAGAGGAAAAGCAACTGTGTGCACAGATGAAAATGCCAGGAGAGTGCTTTGAAAGAAAGGAAGGAGTCGCACTCCAACCATGAGAAGAGAGAATGGGTGTCAGCGGAAGAAACCCTGAGACCTCGGACCCTCCAAGAAATGGGCAGGAAAGGGCTGTGGGATACTTCATGGGGCCTGTCATGATGTCTTTTCCTGAATTATAGGATTCTCCTTGATTTATTATTTTTAATTGAAATTCTTATGAAGATAATTGTAGATTTACATGCAGTTGTAAGAAATAATTCAGGCTGGGTGCAGTGGCTCACGCCTGTAATCTCAGCACTTTGGGAGGCTGAGGCAGGAGCATCACTTAAGCCCAGGAGTTGCCCAGCCTGGGCAACACAATAAGACCCGTCTCTTACAAAAAAAATAAAAATAATTAGCCAAGTGCAGTGACTCCCAACTGTCGCCAGCTACTTGGGAGACTGAGGCAGGAGGATCCCTTGAGGCCAGGAGTTCAAGACCAGTGTGGACAACACAACAAGACCCTGTCTCTACAAAAAAACAAAACAAAAAAATAGCCAGGTATGATGGTGCCTGCCTGTGATCTCAGCTACTCAGGAGGCTGAGGCGGGAGGATCATTTGAGCCTAGGCGGTCAAGGCTGCAGTGAGCCATGATCATGCCACGTGACCACACTCCAGCCTGGGCAACAGGTGTTTCAAAAAAAAGAAAAGAAAAAAAGGAAAAAAAAGAGAAAGGAAGAGAAAAGAAAAGAAAGAAGGAAGGAAGGAAAGAAATAATTCAGAGAGATCTCTTTTACACCCTGTTTAGTTTCCCCCGATGGTTACATTTTACAAAAACTGTGGTATAATATCACAACCCAGATACTGACGTTGATACACTCTGCTGATCTTAAATTTCCCAAGTTTTACTTAAATTCCCCAAGTTTTACTTAAATTCATTTGTGTGTATATTTATTTCTACACAATCGTATCACCTGTGCAGGTTCATGTATCCACCACCACAAACAACCACATTCATCTCTTGCTTCCCCCATCCCTACGTCATTTCAAAATATTTTATAAATGGACTCATATGCTATATAACTTTTTGGGATTGGAGTTTTTTCCACTCAGCAAAATTCCCTGGAGATTCATTCAAGTTGTGTGTCAATAGTTTGTTCCTCTTTTTTTTTAATTTTAATTTTTGTGGGTACATAGTAGGTGTATATATTTATGGAGTTCATAAGATATTTTGATATAGGCAATGTGTAATAATCACATTGGGATAAATGGGGTATCGACCACTTCAAGCATTTATCATTTGTGTTACAAACAATACCATTATACTTTTATTTTTTTAATATACAATTAAATTATTATTGACTATCATCAGCTGTTGTGCTAGTGAATATTAGATCTTATTCATTATGTATGTTGTTGCAAATGACAGGATCTCATTCTATTTTACAGCTGAATAGTACTCCACTGTGTATATGTACCACATTTTCTTTATCCATTCATCAGTTGATAGACACTTAGATTGCTTCCAAATAATAGTTTATACCTCTTTATTGTTGAGTAGTGTTCCACAGTATGGATGGATCATAGTTTATTTACAGTCACCTAATGAAGGACATCTAGGCTGATTCCAGTTTTGGGCTATTACACTTAAACTTGCTATGAATGTTTGTGTGCAAGTTTCTGTGTGGATATAAGTTCTCATGCCTCTGGAATAAATGCCCAAGGTGCAGTTGCTGGTTTGGGTGGTAAATTGTATGTTTGGTTTAATAAGAAACTGCCAAACTGTATTTCAGAGTGGCTAGACCATTTTACCTTCCCATTGTGTGAGTGACCTAGCTTCTCTACATCCTTGCTGGCATTGGGTGCTGTCACTACTTTTTATTTTAGTCAATCTGGTAGGTGTGTAGTGACATCTCATTGTGGTTTTATGTTTTATTTATTTCTTTCTTTTTGAGACGGAGTTTCGCTCTTGTTGCCCAGGCTGGAGTGCAATGGCGTAATCTTGGCTCACTGCAACTTCTGCCTCCTGGGTTCAAGCGATTCTCCTGGCTCAGCCTCCAGAGTAGCTGGGATTACAGGCGCCCGCCACCATGCCAGGCTAATTTTTTATATTTTTAGTAGAGACAGGGTTTCACTATGTTGGTCAGGCTGGTCTTGAACTCCTGACCTCAGGTGATCCACCTGCCTCAGTCTCCCAAAGTGCTGGGATTACAGGTGTGAGCCACCACGCCCGGCCTCATTGTGGTTTTAATTTGTATTTCCACAGTGACTAATGGACTGAGTGTCCCTTCATGTGCTTATTTACAATTGCTTTATCGTATGTTTATGTCTTTTGCCCATTTTCTAATTGGATTGTTTGTTTCTTTTACTGTTGACTTTTGAGCCTTCTTTCTATATTCTAGATACTAGTCCTTGGTCAGTTATGTGGTTTGCAAATGTTTTCTTCCCATTTGTAGCTTGTCTTTCCCTCCTCTTCACATGGGCTTTCTAAGAGCAAAAGTTTTGATTTTGATGTGGTCCAACTTTACATTTTCTTTTTATGGATCATACTTCTGGTGTCTGGTCTGAGACCTTTTGTGTGCAAGTCCCAGTGATTTTGTCCAAGGTTTTTAAAGTTTAATATTATGTTTTAAATTTAAGTCTACGATCCATTTTGAGTTAATTTTCATATACATTATGAGTTAATTTTCATATACATTATGAAGATTAGATTGAAGTTCATTTTTTTTTTTTTGCCTGTGGGTTTCTAATTGTTCCAGCACCAGTTGTTGAAAAGCAGCCCCTTTCATGGAATTAATTTTGTACCTTTGTCAAAAATCAGTGGAACATATTTAAGTAGATTTTTTTTTTTTTGAGATGGAGTTTCACTTTTGTCACCCAGGCTGGAGTTCAATGGCACAATCTTGGCTTACTGCAACCTCCACCTCCTGGGTTCAAGCGATTCTCCTGTCGGCCTCCCGACATGCTAGAATGACAGGTGTGAGCCACCGCGCATAGCCGAGCGGATCTATTTCTGTATCCTCCACTCAGTTCCAGTGATCGGTGTGTCCATGCCGTCACCAGTACCACCCCATCCTGATTGCTGTGGCTATACAGTGAGCCTTAATATAAGGGAGAGTGTTCTCCTCCCATTTTATTCCTTTTCATCAAGTTTGTTTGAGCAATTTGCTTTTCCATATAACTTTTTAGAAGACGCTTGTCTATGTCTACAAGAAAATCTTGCTGAGATTTTAAAAAAAAACTCATTGAGAGATAATTCATATACCATACAATTCACCCGTTTAAAGAGTCCAAGTCAATGTTTTTTTTAAAGCATATCCACAGGGTTATGCAGCTGTGCAGAAAAGAGATAACACTGCAGGCCTGAGACTGCTCTCGTAGAAAGCTCTGCTGCCAAGTTTGGCCCTCGGCTAGGGTCTGGGAACTTGGCTCTTGGAGTGTTCCCAGTCAACCGTTAGCTGATAAGAGTGGCTCCCTGTGCCTAGACTGTACAAACAATATGGTTTATGCTGAACACCTGCTTTCCTTTTAGGAGTCTATAATGTTGGCATGTGCTAGACATAGGGTGCTTATGTGACCAGCTTTCAATAAAAACTTTAGGTGCCGAGTCGCTAACGGGCTTCCCTGGGAAGAAACCTCAAACACATGTTGCTGCATTTCATTGCTGGGGGAGGAGTGAACTTTGTATGATCCCTCATGGGGGAGGGGAGAGCACACAGGAAGCCTCACAAGGGTTCCACCAGACTCTGCCTCTTTTTCCATCATGATCCTGGGTATCTTTACTGTGTCACTGTCATAAATCTTAGCCATGCGTACAATTAAATGCTAAGTCCTGTGAGTCCTTCTACTGGATCTCTGCAAGTGGAGGTGGTCTTGGAGATCCCTAGCGCAGTGGTGAGATTTGCTAGAATAACCTGAATTCACTGAAGTACGGCTCCAGCGTTACTCGAGAAAAAGAAAGGGCAGTTTGATTGTTCAGTGTGCATACATTTAGGATGGTTATGTCTTCCTGGGGGATTGATCCTTTTATCCTTATATAAGGTCCTTGTTATGGTTTGAATATTTGTCCCCTCTGAAACCCATGTTGAAATTTTTTTTTTTTTTTTTTGAGACAGAGTCTTGCTCTGTCGCCCAGGCTGGAGTGCAGTGGCACGATCTTGGCTCACTGCAAGCTCTGCCTCCCAGGTTCATGCCATTCTCCTGCCTCAGCCTTCCGAGTAGCCGGGACTACAGGCGCCCGCCACCACGGCCGGCTAATTTTGTTTTTGTATTTTTAGTACAGACGGGGTTTCACCGTGTTAGCCAGGATGGTCTTGATCTTCTGACCTCATGATCCGCCTGCCTCGGCCTCCCAAAGTGCTGGGATTACAGGCGTGAGCCACTGCGCCCAGCCCTTGTGTTGAAATTTAATCCTCAATGTGGCAGTATTGAGAGGTGAGGCCTTTAAGAGGTAGGTGATTTGGTCTTGAGGGCCCTGCCCTTAAGAATTCATGGATTCATGGATTAATGGGTTATCATGGGAATGAGACTGGTGGCTTTGTAAAAGAGGAAGAGACCTGAGCCAGCACACTCAGCCCCCTTGCCATGTGATGTCTTGGGCCACCTCGGGACTCTGTAGAGGGTCCCTGTCAGCAAGAAGGCCCTCACTGGATGTGGCCCCTTGAACTTAGACTTCTCAGCCTTCATAACTGTAAGAAATAAATTCATTTTCCTCATAAATTACCTAGTTTCAGGTATCCTGTTATAAGCAACAGAAAATGGACTAAGTCAGTCCCTTTTTGTCCCTAGTAATTTTCTTTGCTCTGAAGTCTGCTTTATTAGATATGAACATAGCCACTCCTGCTATCTGTGGATTAATGTTTGCATGTTACATCTTTTCCATCCATTTACTTTCAACCTGCCTATGTCACTGAATTTGAAGTGAGTTTCTTGGCAAAAGTACATACTTGAGTCATTTTTTTCTTTTTAAATTCACTCTGCCAGTCTTGTCTTTTGGCTGATTATATAAGATAATTTACATTTAAGGGAATTCTTGGTATGTTAGCACTTAAGTCTGCCATTTTATTACTTGTTTTCTATTTGTTTCCTTTGGTTCTTCTTCTTCTATTTCTCTTTTCTTGCCTTTCTGAGGATTAAACAACGTTGAGGACTCTATCTTGATTTAATTGTAGTATTTTTGAGTACATCTCTTGGTATAGTTCTCATAGTGGTCACATGAGTATTACAATAGACACACGTGACTTACCACAGTCTGTTGGTGGTGATGTTTCACTACTTTGAGTGAGGTGTGGAAATCTTTTTTCCATTTAGGCCTCTTTACCTTCCCCACTTTTAAATATCATTGTCTCAAGTACCAGATGGAGGCCTGATTTTTGTTTCATCAAACATGATTCATAGAACTTGTGATGCAAAGGACAGTGTATTGTATGTATCCCATATTTCTGCTCTTCCCATTGTTTTTTCTCTTCTGATACTCCAACATTCCTTCTATTATCATTTCCTTTCTCTTTGAAAAACTTTCTTTAGCTGATCTCTAAGGGTGAGTCAGCTAGTGGCAAATTTTTTTGGTTTTTCTTTGCCTGGGAATATTTTTATTTCCCTTTCATTCCTGAAAATAAATTTGCTGGATGTAGAAATTGTGGTTGACAGTTCTTATCTCAGCCCTTGAAACCTTTTGTGCCACTTCCTTCTGGCTTTCTTGGTGGTTTCAATGATAAATGTGTTGCCATTCAAATCACTGTTATAGGTAATGTGTTATTTTTCTGCCTGCTTCCAGGGTTTTATTTTTCCTTTGTTTTTTGTTTTCAAAAGCTTAATTTTCAGAGCCTTTGTGGTGTTGTTTCAGCCTGCTTGGTTTTTCTGGTGCCTCTGGGCCTCCCACTGGTTCCTGCTGGTGCTACCTGAGGAGGGAGAAGGGTTTCCCCAGGCTAGACCTTGGGACTTCTCTCCATGAGGGAGGTGCTCCTCCTACTGATGCTCCTGGCGGCCTCTGGGGAGCGGAAGAGTGTCAGTCAGGCTGCAGAACAAAGAGGCTTCCTGGACCAAGAGGCTTGTTGAAGCTGGGTCTCTCTAGGCAGATCGGCTCACACCCTCAGTATCTCTTGGTAGAAAAGGGGTGTCTCAGACCCAGGAAGGAAGGAGAGTATTTTCTCTATTAACCACCCCCAAAATTATTTTGCCTGATATTATTAGAGCAACTCAAGGAAGGAAGAATGAATCTACCTGGGTTGCCTTCTTTTCCTACGTCAGGCTTGGGAAACATTGAGTCTGGGTTTCAGGGTGCAGGGCGGGGGATGCAAGATGCTCTGCTGCGGTGCTGATTGTACAGTCCTGGGTCCCAAACCAGCTCACTCTCTTATCACCACCTTTCGGAGTTTTCCTTTGGTTGCCTCTTGCATTATTTCCAGGGTTTACAGTTGTGCTTAGTGTGGAGGGGCATGGAGAAATAGGTTCATCTTGTCCCAACCAGAAGTCTCCACCATCGTATTTTGACTGATCATATTTTGAAGTATTAGGCACAATCATATAATCAGGCATTCCACTCACTAGTAATATTGGTTCCTAATGTATATATGGTTTGTTTTCAAAAAGTATCTGTGGTAGCTTGTATTACAAATCATGTACAGGGAACAAGGTGGTGTAGATTCACCTTCCTTTCCTGCCTCTAATACAACTACATATTTGGAAATTATTCTACAGACAAGGATAGAAGAGCTCTGAAAGCGGGAAAGAAGAAGGTAGACTGGGTAGAGACGACAGGAGTAGAGAAATGACAATGTGGTGGGTTCCCTGGGTTTTCTTTTTGTCTTCCACACACCCCTGGACTGAGCACTGGAGAAATGTGCAACACAGTCTGTTACGTCAATAGGTGTAGGCATAAAATCCAAAGAAAAGCCTGCACTCTGGCCAAAGGACTAGGAAAGGGAAGGGAAGTCCAGTGGAGACCTAGTAGGGGGCTGCAACCCTCTTTCCACAACCAGGGCATGCACTGGTGACCCATCTGCCCACAGTAGCAGCTTCAGAGTTCTGGTAGACTGACCTCCACGCTCCATACACCCACACCCAGAGCACTGGCAGTCCGGATCAGGATCAGCCTGCCTGCCAGTGCTCTGGGTATGTGTATGTAGCGTCACTACTCTCCACCTGCATGCACAGTAGTGAAGCCGTGGGTCAATTCAATGCCCATTCCATGTGTGGAGCACTGAAATGGCAGGTCATGCTCCCCACATGACAACATTGGCAGAGCCTGATGCCTCCCTCCTTACACCAAGGGGCATAAGGAGACCCAGGCCCAGACACTCTGGCTCTCCCCACTCTCCACAGAAAGTGGTCCATGGAAGTGGGTTGAGCCCCTGCAGGTGGCACCACTAGGGATTAATCAGAAATCTCAGCAGTGCCAGAAGAATGAAGCAGACAAGAATAGCATGCAAAGGCTCAGGAAACTGAGCTGGCATTGGACCCACAGCCCATAAAAGTAGGCCAGAACCTACACACTAAACCTAAACAGGGCAACTGCCTTCTGTCTAAAACAGAAGATTTAAATAGGATCAAGAGTCTCCTAACATAACCAAAATTCCCAGGATACAATGGAAACTCACCCATAATCCCAAAGACCAGGTAAGTCACCATTTGAATGAGAAAAGACAATCAACTGATGCCAAGACTGAGGCGAATCAGATGTTGAATTATCTGACAAGGATTTTCAAGCAGTCATTATAAAAATGCTCCAACAAATAATTGTGAATTCTCTTGAAACAAATGAAAAAATTGAAAACCTCAGCAAAGTCATATAAGTCATACAAAAGAATCAAGTGGAAATTATGCAACTGAAAAATACAATAACTAGAGTAAAAATAATATATGAATACCATGAAAAAATCATGCAGACTTGATAAAATAAATACATCAAAGTACAGATCAATATGCTTAGAAGCCCTACTGAATGTTTACTGTGTGCCAGATGCTGCACTAAGCATTTTCCCTGTATTAATTAATGTAATCTCACAACAGTCCCATGAAGTAGATACTGTTATCCTTAATTAATGGATGAGGAAACTGAGACACAGAGAGATTGAGTGACCTGCCTAAGATCACACAGCTTACTAGTGGTAGAGCCAGGCAGTCTGTTCCAGTATCTGCTCTTATCCACATGTAGTATTGCATAGTGTGCTGCTGCTTCTTGGGAGAATTAAAGTTATTTAAGTCATTCATCTCAATGGGCTGTTTCTTCCAGGGCTGCCACAAAAGCCTCTCCCTAGTCTCTCTAACCTCTACCTCACCTCTGTGTTCAGGTTCCTCTCCTCCCACCCTCCTGCTCACCCACTGAAGTCCACCCTCAGACTTTCTTGCTCCTTGAACTAATCTCTGCCTCAGGCCTTTTGCACAGCCCTTTCCTCTGCCTGGAATGCTTGTTCCAGATCTTCACTTGGCTCCTTGACTGGCACTCTGTTCAAATGGTGTTGTCTCAGGGAGGCCTCTCCATGACTCCATTGTATTGTCTTCAGGCCACATCTCGCGATTGTTCCTTTTTTTTTGAGACAGGGTCTTGCTCTGTAGCCCAGGCTGGAGTGCAGTGGCGTGATCATAGCTCACTGCAGCCTTGACCTCCCGGGCTCAGGTTACTCTCCCACCTCAGCTTCCTGAATAGCTGGGACCGCAAGTGCACCACCATGCCCAGCTAATAGTTATATATAAATATATATTAAATATAAAATTTTTAATTTTATATTTTTTGAAGAGATGAGGGTCTTGCTTTATTGCCCAGGCTGGTCTCGAACTCCTGAACTCAAACAATCTGCCCATGTTGGCCTCCCAAAGTGCTGGGATTACAGGCAGGAGCCACTATGCCTGGTCTATTGTCCTTTTTTATTCTTTTTTCCTAACTAAGCTAATAAAAGGAGAGACCTTGTTTATCTTATTCACTGCTATATCACCAGTAGCTAGAACAGGCCTGACTTATTGTAGGAACTCAAATGAATGAACAAATAAGTAAATGGCAGATGAGTTATAGAGTTTTCATTACCTGAAAACCAGAGAGATAAACTTATTTATTTTGAGACCTAATTTTTAAGAGGAATTTGTCACACAGGTCCTTATATAATAAAATAGACACTTTTCATCAGTACAGCTCATTAACAACAGTGTACCATTTCTTACACTTGTGCTTTCTAAAATACACTTTTGTATGTTCTGAACGTGGCATTGGCAGTGAAGTTATCCTTAAATCTTAATGCTTTAAAAAAAAAATTTCTTAGTTGGCCAAGACTTTAAAGTTGATCTATTACTTTTGTTTGTTTTTGTTTTTTGTTATTCTTTTTGAGATGGTGTCTCACTCTGTCACCCAGGCTGGAGTGCAGTGGCGTGATCTCAGCTCATTGCAGCCTCCACCTCCCAGGTTCAAGCGATTCTGCTGCCTCAGCCTCCC
Source organism: Homo sapiens (assembly GCF_000001405.40). Classification (NCBI taxonomy): domain Eukaryota; kingdom Metazoa; phylum Chordata; class Mammalia; order Primates; family Hominidae; genus Homo; species Homo sapiens. Next base: position 101,446,301 of record NC_000002.12, read on the forward strand.
AAGTAGCTGGGACTACAGGCACGTGCCACCACACCTGGCTAATTTTTGTATTTGTGGTAGAGATGGGGCTTCAGTATGTTGGCCAGGCTGGTCTCGATCTCCTGACCTCGTGATCCACTCGCCTTGGTCTCCCAAAGTGCTGGGATTACAGGCCTGAGCCACCGCTCCCAGCCAAGTTGATCAATTATTAAGTATATGCTGAGCATAGAGTACATGAAAAGCACCTGTTGCTGGCCTTATCTCATGACCAGCCGATGTCACTCTTGCCTTTATCTTTGTCCTCTAGCAGTCCTCCTCTTCCTCACCGATGATAAAGCCTATCTTCCTTCCCCCACAAAGGACACTCCTAGCCCCTCTCTCTGTGACATCGGAAACAAACAGAGTCCCCGGGACGCTAATGGTCTCTCCCCTCTGAGTGCCGAGTGCCTGCCTAGTTACTTGTTTTCCTGGAGCATGCAGGGCTCTCCAAATTGTCTGTTAGTTAACTGACTGCTAGGTGCCAGGGGGTGGGGGTGGGGGGGCACACAATGGAATGCAGGATCTACACCCAGCCTTTCAGGAGCCTACAGATCAGCAAGTGAGAGAACAAATTCGCACCAGGGACATTCTAACAGTCACTAAAATAAATCTCTCATTATAGCTATTCCTTTTCCTAGCTTCTCTATTTTTGCCAATGTAACTTTTCCATCCCCGTGACTAAGAGATGAATAAGAGATGTAAGAGGAAGAGCTGGTTTGGCGCAGAGCACAGTGACTTTATTTGAGGTTGAGTTTGAGGTTTAGGTGGGACAGGCTTGACTGAATCATCTCTGCTCCCTTCTACTACACTGACTCAACCAACTGCCAGATCCTGAAGACCCTGCCTCTAAGAGGTCTCTCAGACCTGCCTCCTGTCTGATTCCAGTGCAAATCTGAACAACGGCAGCAGCCCTGGGGCCATCTCCAGGCTCATCACCCTCTCCTTTCCCAACTATTCTTAAACCGCAAGGCTGAATTTTCAGTTCTCCAATAGCTATTTCAGTGCCCACTCTGGGAATATGTCCTTGTTCCTGCAGCTGTAACAAAATACCTTAGACTGGGTACTTTATAAACAAAAGAAGTTTATTTCTCACAGTTCTGGAGAATGAGAAGTCCAAGATCATGGTGCGGGCAGATTTGGTGTCTGGTAAAAGTTTGCTCTTTGCTGCTTCTTCTTCTTTTTTAACATACTAATTGTATACATTTATGGGGTACATGTGATATTGTGATACATGCATCAGGGTGTTTAGCATATCCGTTACCTTAAACACTTATTATTTCTTTGTGTTGGGAACATTTCAAATCTTCTAGATATTTTGAAATACATAATATATCACATAATATATCATTAACTATAGTCACCCTACTGGGCTATCAAATACTAGAACTTATTCTTTCTGTCTAACCATATGTTGATATCCATTAATCATTAACCCATCTTTCATTCCTCCCTATTCTCTCCAGCCTCTGGTAACCACTATTCTACTCTTGCCTCCACAAGATAAACTTATTTTAGCTCTCTCCTATGAGTGAGAACACGCAATATTTGTCTTTCGTGTCTGGCTTATTTAACTTAACATAACAACCTCCAGTTCTTGCTCTTGGCTTCTAAGATGGTACCTTGTTGCTACATCCTCACATGGCAGAAGGCAGAAGGATGACAGAGATGAACACTGTGCCCTCACATGGCAGAAGAGACGAAAGGGCCAGCTAGCTCTCTGAAGCCTCTTTTATAAGGTTATTAATCCCATTCATGAGGGTGGAGGCTTCATGGCCTAATCATCTTGGAAAGGCCCCACCTCTTAAGATTGTTGCATTGGGGATCAGGTTCAGTGTGAATTTTGGAAGGACACAAACATTCAAACCACAGCAGGACAGAAACAAACAAAGCTCCATGGTTTCTGCCCTTGTGGATATTCCACCCTATTTCTCAAAGGAAGCCTCCAAAGGACTTGTGGACACCCTCCACTGCCCAGCCTGGTAATCTAGGCCCCCTGAACTTTCCCTCCAGATTCATATTCTTCTACTAGAGCTCCATGCATGCCTGTACAGGACGAAGCCCATGCCTTCATGTACTTTTATCTTTGCTCCCCTAAGCCTGGATGTCCTCTGCACTCCTGCCTCCTTCTCCGACACCACCTGTCAAAATTCTAATCTGTTCTTCATTGCTTCACTCAAAGCCCAACGCCCTTGTAGGCCCTTCATGATCCCCTACCCAAAATGTGTGCTGCACATCTTTGAGTTCTTATGGTACCTTTTGTACATTTCTGACACTCGTCATATTATATTTGAGGATCAAAGTAAATGGACATCTTAGCCTCCCTCTTCAGCTATCAGAGAAAAGGGTCCCTGTCTTACCCATACTGGAGGCTCCTCATCTCTCTACCACAGCAGCTGCCTCATACATAGGATGCTTTATACCAAAGGTGACCATATAATTCATTTTAATTTATTGTTCAAACTAGAACACCTTTGAGAGTGAAAGAAGCACAATTAATAATTATGCAGGGCTCCAAGTGAAATTGATATTGTCCTTGGCTATTTGGACATATGGTCATCTTTTTATGCCAAAGAAGGCTCAAAGAGCAGGAATGCTGGTTGTATGGATGGACAGTGGTCAGCATGAAGAAGTGGAAGAAAGAACTTTCCTGTAGCTGGCATTGTTGGGGATGGTCCCATGGGGCAGGTGGTCTCTGAGGTATGTCCAGAAGGTATGGATGGTATTCAGGAAGGTCCCATTAGACAGAGACAAGAAGAAATGGCACTATGGAAGGTTGGATGGTGGGAGCAAAGGTGGACTGCATTTGATATGTTCAGGGAAAAGTGAGTGTGGCTTAAATTATGGTTGATATTGGGGAGAAATAGGCAACACACGGTTGGAAAGTGGAGTCAGAAGAAACTTGGCTAACACCAGCCTAGGGTTGGCCTTTATCCAGGAGGTAAGAACAAGCACTCACGTGTTTCTGAGCAGGAAAGAGACAAAGCAAATGTAGAATTTTAGGAGGATTCATCTGGTAGCTGTGTTTAGAGCAGGGAGAGGCTGAGGAGGGGAAGGCCATATGGGATCACTGGAAATAATTTCAGTGTAAGATGACAAAGGATTAAAGGAGATATGGGTTACCAAAAAGAGTGAGTTCAGGAGAACTTAAAGAGAAAAGTTAACAAGGCTTTGTGACCCACGGGGGTCAGGGGTGGCTTTGGGGTGACACTTTGTATAGGTTCTATCTGTTGGTATCAAGATTGAACTAAGAAAATCAAGGGGCAGAGACAATCTGGAGGAAGAGGCTAAATTTAGATTTCCATATGTTGAGTGTGAGGTACCAGTGGGTCATCGAAGTGGAAATGTCCAGTAGAGAGCCAGGGAGGAATGCCTAGGAGGTGGGCAAGGTCAGGACCAGTGAGAAGGATTCAGGAGTCATCCACCTGCAGGAGGCCATAGGTGAAAGACAAAAAAGGATGAGATGTCTGGGGCCAAACAGTAGGAAGAGTAATGGCGATTATCAAGATGAGATCTCGGGGAGAGCCTAAGCTTAATGGAGAAGGGAAAGAGCAGGAGACCAAGGATTCAGGGCTGGTGGGGGTTGGATGACACAGTCCTGAGGGCTAAAGGAAGCTTTGAGAGAGGTGCCCAATTGTGTCAAATTTTGCAGAAAGGTTGAGAAGGATAGACTCAGCGAAAAATGGCTTTGGCAACTGGATGACACTCAAAATGAGAAATGTCTAAGGAAATGAACCAGAAATGGATTTCTCTGGCCAATGACATTGCCAGAGGCTGACAAAGGGACATTGGTTAAATGTTGATGTGATATGTGTGTTTCCTTAAGGAGGACTTAAAGACAGAACAACCAAAAAGTCAGTTAGATACAACTAAAATATGAATGGTTCTTTTATTTATTAATTTATTATTATTATTACTATTTTGAGACAGGGTCTCACTCTGTCACCCAGGCTGGAATGCAGTGACGCAATCACGGCTCACTGCAGCCTGGACCTTGTCAGGCTCAGGTGATCCTCCCACCTCAGCCTCTCGAGTAGCTGACACTACCGGTGCACAACACCATGCCTGGCTAACTTTTGTATTTTTTAGTAGAGATGGAGATTTGCCATGTTGCCCAGGCTGGTCTTGAACTACTGAACTCAACTCAAGCGGTTCTTGTGCCCCAGCCTCCCAAAGTGTTGGGATTACAGGCGTGAGCCACCACACTTGGCCTGAATGGTTCTAACATTCACCAGGCTTGTGACCCAAGACCAAAGTGCCAAAATGATAGCTACTAACCTGTGATACCTTTTTTCACCTATCAGGTAGCAATACTGGGCATAGAAGAAAGAGCTTTTCTTGATACAGATTCCATCATAATGATACCTGGAAAAATAAAGGTTGTCTTTAAATTTATGTCTAACTACTGACATGCTTTATGGAAGGCAGAGAATAGGCGAACTAATGAAGACTTGGAGTTCTTCTCCAGGTTTTAGCATTGGCTGCATTTCTCTGGAAAAGCTAATCCTTCAGTCTGACCAAGCTCTGTTATGTAGACAGGCAACTTCATACACTTTCACACATATCAGCCTTGAAATAGGCTTGTGGAGGCTCTCCTCTGCTTGCCTGATGCAGCACACACTAATCTTAGAGAGATGTGATAGGGAAAGCCTCCTGTTCCCTGCCCTGTGCCCTCAACCACTGCCCCCCGACCCCCCAGCACCCATTAACCTTTTTCAGGTGAAGGGAAAATGATACCAAGGCTCCCTCCACTGAAGTTGTCAGAAACCCAGGAGGGAAGCCAAGAGCCTTCTCTGCAGCCCACACCTTCCTCCGCTAAGCCCAGGGGACTATAGCAGCTTGTCCCGGCTTCAGACAAAATTTTTTCTAGTTAATTATTGCCCAATATTAGGTTTGGCAAACACTTCCACTGTCTTCAATTCCTTGGTGAGTGGCAGCCCCCTTTCCTAATTTGGCTTCAATGTCTTCTCGCTGATTTCCCCTCGCAATTTAAAACAAGCAACAAATAGCAATAATAATTGAGTGACAATTATGACACAAGGCACTCGATAATACTGGAATTTCTTTTCACGTTAGAAATACAACCTTGGGGCTGGGCGCGGTGGCTCACGCCTGTAATCTCAGCACTTTGGGAGGCTGAGACGGGTGGATCATCTGAGGTCAGGAGTTTGAGACCAGCCTGGCCAACATGATAAAATCCTGTATCTACTAAAAATACAAAAAATAAGCCGGGCGTGGTGGCAGGCGCCTGTAATCCCAGCTACTCGGGAGGCTGAGGCAGGAGAATCGCTTGAATCTGGGAGGCGGAGGTTGCAGTGAGCCATGATCACGCCATTGCACTCCAGCCTGGGCGACAAGGGTGAAACTCCGTCTCAAAAAAAAAAAAAAAAAGAAAAGTAATATAGCCTCGGGACCGCACCTCCGGAATATAATTCAAATATGCTAATTTTGTGAACACAGAAACTTTAGTTCAAAGGGTAATTAAAACAGCTCCAAGGCCGGACGTGGTGGCTCACGCCCGTAATCCCAGTGCTTTGGGAGGCCAAAGTGGGAGGATCATTTGAGCCCAGGAGTTTGAGACCCACCTGGGCAATTTAGGAAAACCTCGTCTCTAAAAAACATGAAAAACTAGCCAGGCCTGGTGGGACACACCTGCAGTCCTAGCTACTCAGGAGGCTGAAGTGGAAGGACTGCTTGAGCCCAGGGGCTTCAGGCTGCAGTGAGCAACGATTGCAGCATTGCACTCCAGCCTGGGCAACAGTTGCATTATTTGATGTGTGTTAATTATTTAAATATTTCAAGAATGAGACATTTACCTAACTGTAGAACAATAAAAATATATTGTAACCTTCATATTTTAACAAAATTCCGAAGAAAATAGAGGCCAGTGTTTGGTTCTAGCACCAACTCAATGATTTCAGGCACTGGGAATTAATGCGAATTGTGGACACTCTTTGGTAAGAGTTGTTATTTATAGTTTGTTTTGTTTTGCATTTTTTATCATTCATTTTGTGATTTTCCAAATCCTTGTTTTTAACATTTGAAATAAAACAAAAATTCTAAACCTACCTGGCACTTCCTCTAGTGCCCAGCCTCCGGGTGCCAAGGTCCGGAAAAACCAATCTCACAAGCTAAAAGAATAAGCCAGATTTAAAGTTGCAACTTGAAAACTTAGAAACAAACTTCCAATTTTTTATCTTACAATATTTAAATGATATTCCTTTTCCTCTTTTCTAATAAGCAAACAATAAAGAAAATAAATATAATAATAAAGTAATAAGGTAACAATAAAGAAAATAAATGTAAATGAAATTTTGGGGGAAAAAAATTAGACAGGTGTCAAAAAGAAAACATACCACTTGGAGGCCAGGCACGGTGGCTCCTGCCTGTAATGCCAACACTTTGGGAGGCTGAGGCAGGCCAATCACTTGAGGTCAGGAGTTCAAAACCAGCCTGGCCAACATGGTGAAACCCTGTCTCTACAACCTGGTCTCTACTACAAATACAAAGGCTGGGCATGGTGGCTCACGCCTGTAATCCCAGCACTTTGGGAGGCTGAGGCAGGCGAATCATGAGGTCAAGAGATTGAGACCATCCTGGCCAACATGGTGAAACCCCGTCTCTGCTAAAAATACAAAAATTAGCTGGGCGTGGTAACATGTGCCTGTAGTCCCAGCTACTCAGGAGGCTGAGGCAGGAAGCTACTAGGGAGGCTGAACCTGGGAGGTGGAGGTTGCAGTGAGCCGAGATCGCACCACTGCACTCCATCCTGGTGACAGAGCGAGACTCCATCTCAAAACAAACAAACAAACTTAGCCAGGCATGGTGGCACACACCTGTAGTCCCAGCTACTCTGGAGGCTGAGGCAGGAGAATCACTGGAACCAAGGAGGTGGAGGTTGCAGTGAGCCAAGATCATGCCACTGCACTCCAGCCTGGGTGACAGAGCAAGACTCTGTCTCAAAAAAAAATAAATAAATAAAAAGAGAGAAAAAAAGAAAACATATCACTTGGAGAAAATGCCATTTAAATCTCGATGTTGGCCAGGCATGGTGACTCATGCCTGTAATCCCAGCACTTTGGGAGGCCACGATGGACAGATCACCTGAGGTCAGGAGTTTGAGATCAGCCTGGTCAACATGGTGAAAACCCGTCTCTACTAAAAATACAAAAATTAGCCGGGCATGAACCCAGGAGGCAGAGGTTGCAGTGAGCTGAGAGTGCATCGCACTCTAGCCTAGGTGACAAGGGTGAAACTCGGTCTCAAAAACAAAACAAAACAAAAAACCCTCAATGTAATTTCTTCCAGTCTTTTTTTCAAAGCCCCAATATGTGTAAGCGTTCTCTGTGTTTCATATTTAATACCTGGCATCACACAACTTGCATGTCTACAGTTTTGCATTCTACTTTCTTCCCTCAACATTATGCCACGGATATTTCCCCTTGTCATAAAAAATTCTCTGGAAGCAGAGAATTATGAAACATAGTTATAATTGGGCTCACAGGTTGGCATCATAGTCCAACCTGTGAGAATGCTATAATTTTACCATTTTCCTCTTTTTCTAATGTGATAGTCATTTTCACTTTTTAAATTATTATTGTACTTTAAGTTCTAGGGTACATGTGCACAACATGCAGGTTTGTTACGTACGTATACATGTGCCATGTTGGTTTGCTGCACCCATCAACTTGTCATTTACATTAGGTATTTCTCCTAATGCTATCACTGCCCCAGCCCCCCACCCCCGACAGGCCCCGGTGTGTGATGTTCCCCTCCCTGTGTTCATGTGCTCTCATTGTTCAATTCCCACCTATGAGTGAGAACATGCAGTGTTTGGTTTTCTGTCCTTGTGATAGTTTGCTGAGAATGATGGTTTCCAGCATCATCCATGTCCCTGCAAAGGACATGAACTCATCTTTTTTATGGCTGCATAGTATTCCATGGTGTATATGTGTCACATTTTCCTAATCCAGTCTATCATTGATGGTCATATGGGTTGGTTTCAAGTCTTTGCTATTGTGAATAGTGCTATAATAAACATATGTGTGCATGTGTCTTTATAGTAGAATGATTTATAATCCTTTGGGTATATACCCAGTAATGGGATCGCTGGGTCAAATGGTATTTCTAGTTCTAGAACCTTGAGGAAGCACCACACTGTCTTCCACAATGGTTGAACTAATATACACTCCCACCAACAGTGTAAAAGCATTCCTATTTCTCCACATCCTCTCCAGCATCTGCTGTTTCCTGACTTTTTAATGATCGTTATTCTAACCAGCGTAAGATGATATCTCATTGTGGTTTTGATTTGCATTTCTCTGATAACCAGTGATGATGAGCATTTTTTCATGTGTCTGTTGGCTGCATAAATGTCTTCTTTTGAGAAGAGTCTGTTCATACCCTTTACCCACTTTTTGATGGGGTTGTTTGTTTTTTTCTTGTAAATTTGTTTAAGTTATTTGTAGATTCTGGATATTAGCCCTTTGTCAGATGGGTAGATTGTAAAAATTTTCTCCCATTCTGTAGATTGCTTGTTCACTCTGATGATAGTTTCTTTTGCTGTGCAGAAGCTCTTTAGTTTAATTAGATCCCATTTGTCAATTTTGGCTTTTGTTGCCATTGCTTTTGGTGTTTTAGTCATGAAGTCTTTGCCCATGCCTATGTCCTGAGTGGTATTGCCTAGGTTTTCTTTTTCTTTTTTCTTTTTTTTTTTGAGACAGAGTTTCACTCTTGTTGCCGTGGAGTGCAATGGCACAATCTCAGCTCATTGCTACCTCCGCCTCCCAGGTTCAAGCGATTCTGCTGCCTCAGCTTCCTGAGTAGCTGGGATTATAGGCACCCGCCACCACACTCAGCTAATTTTTTGTATTTTTTAGTAGAGACGGGGTTTCACTATGTTGGCCAGGCTGTTCTCGAACTCCTGACCTCAGACGATCCACCCACCTCAGCCTCCTAAAGTGCTGGGATTACAGGTGTGAGCCACCATGCCTGGCTTGCCTAGGTTTTCTTCTATGGTTTTTATCGTTTTAGGTCTTACATATAAGTCTTTAATCCATCTTGAGTTAATTTTTGTATAAGGTGTAAGGAAGGGATCCAGCTTCAGCTTTCTACATATGGTTAGCCAGTTTTCATAGCAACATTTATTAAATAGGGAATGCTTTCCCCATTGCTTGTTTTTGTCAGGTTTGTCAAAGATCAGATGGTTGTAGATGTGTGGTGTTATTTCTGAGGCCTCTGTTCTGGTCCATTGGTCTATATCTCTGTTTTGGTACCAGTACCATGCTGTTTTGGTTACTGTAGCCTTGTAGTATAGTTTGAAGTCAGGTAGTGTGATGCCTCCAGCTTTGTTCTTTTGGCCTAGGATTATCTTGGCTATGCAGGCTCCTTTATGGTTCCATATGAACTTTAAAGTAGTTTTTTCCAATTCTGTGAAGAAAGTCATTGGTAGCTTGATGGGGATGGCATTGAATCTATAAATTACCTTGGGCAGTATGGCCATTTTCACGATATTGATTCTTCCTATCTATGAGCATAGAACGTTCTTCCATTTGTTTGTGTCCTCTTTTATTTCCTAGAGCAGTGGTTTGTAGTTCTCCTTGAAGAGGTCCTTCACATCCCTTATAAGTTGTATTCCTAGGTATTTTATTCTCTTTGTAGCAATTGTGTATGGGAGTTCACTCATGATTTGGCTCTCTGTCTGTAATTGGTGTATAGGAATGCTTGTAATTTTTGTACATTGATTTTGTATCCTGAGACTTTGCTGAAGTTGCTTATCAGCTTAAGGAGATTTTGGGCTGAGAAGATGGGGTTTTCTAAATATACAATCATGTCATCTGCAAACAGGGATAATTTGACTTCCTCTTTTCCTAATTGAATACCCTTTATTTCTTTCTCTTGCCTGATTGTCCTAGCCAGAACTTCCAACACTATGTTGAATAGGAGTGGTGAGAGAGGGCATCCTTGTCTTGTGCCGCTTTTCAAAGGGAATGCTTCCACTTTTTGCCCATTCAGTATGATATTGGCTGTGGATTTGTCATAAATAGCTCTTCTTATTTTGAGATACGTTCCATCAATACCTAGTTTATTGAGAGTTTTTAGCATGAATGGCTGTTGAATTTTGCCAAAGGCCTTTTCTGCATCTATTGAGATAATCATGTGGTTTTGTCGTTGGTTCTGTTTATGTGATGGGTTACATTTATTGATTTGCGTATGTTGAACCAGCCTTGCAGCCCAGGGATGAAGCCGACTTGATCATAGTGGATAAGCTTTTTGATGTGCTACTGGATTCGGTTTGCCAGTATTTTATTGAGGATTTTCGTATCGATGTTCATCAGGGATATTGGTCTAAAATTCTCTTTTTTTTTGTTATGTCTCTGCCAGGCTTTGGTATCAGGATGATGATGGCCTCATAAAATGAGTTAGGGAAGATTCCCTTTTTCTATTGATTGGAATAGTTTCAGAAGGAATGGTACCAGCTCCTTTTTGTACCTCTGGTAGAATTTGGCTGTAGAATCCATCTGGTTCTGGACTTTTTTTGGTTGGTAGGCCAATAATTATTGCCTCAATTTCAGAACCTATTATTCAGAGATTCAACTTCTTCCTGGTTTAGTCTTGGGAGGGGGTATGTGTCCAGGAATTTATCCATTTCTTCTAGATTTTCTAGTTTATTTGCGTAGAGGTGTTTATACTATTCTCTGACGGTAGTTTGTATTTCTGTGGGATCGGTGATGATATCCCCTTTATCATTGTTTATTGCATCTATTTGATTCTTCTCTCCTTTCTTCTTTATTAGTCTTGCTAGCGGTCTATCAATTTTGTTGATCTTTTCAAAAAACCAGCTCTTGGATTCATTGATTTTTTTGAAGGGTTTTTTGTGTCTCTATCTCCTTCAGTTCTGCTCTGATCTTAGATATTTCTTGCCTTTTGCTAGCTTTTGAATTTGTTTACTCTTGCTTCTCTAGTTCTTTTAATTGTGATGTTAGGGTGTCGATTTTAGATCTTTCCTGCTTTCTCTTGTGGGCATTTAGTGCTATAAATTTCCCTCTACGCACACTTTAAATGTGTCCCAGAGATTCTGGTACATTGTGTCTTTGTTCTCATTGGTTTCAAAAAGAACATCTCTATTTCTGCCTTCATTTTTTTATTTATCCAGTAGTCATTCAGGAGCAGGTTGTTCAGTTTCCATGTAGCTGTGCAATTTTGAGTGAGTTTCTTATTCCTGAGTTCTAATTTGATTGCACTGTGGTCTGAGAGACAGTTTGTTATGATTTCTGTTCTTTTACATTTGCTGAGGAGTGCTTTACTTCCAATTATGTGATCAATTTTAGAATAAGTGTGATGTGGTGCTGAGAAGAATGTATATTCTGTTGATTTGGGCTGGAGAGTTCTGTAGATGTCTATTAGGTCTGCTTGGTGCAGAGCTGAGTTTAGGTCCCAGATATCCTTGTTAACCTTCTAGCTCATTGATCTGTCTAAAGTTGACAGTGGGGTGTTAAAAGTCTCCCATTATTAGTGTGTGGGAGTCTAAGTCTCTTTGTAGGTCTCTAAGGACTTGCTTTATGAATCTGGGTGCTCCTGTATTGGGTGCATATATATTTAAGACAGTTAGCTCTTCTTGTTGAATTGATCCCTTTACCATTATGTAATGGCCTTCTTTGTCTCTTTTGATCTTTGTTGGTTTAAAGTCTGTTTTCTCAGAGACAAGGATTGCAACCCCTGCTTTTTTTTCGCTTTGCATTTGCTTGGTAGATCTTCCTCCATCCCCTTATTTTGAGCCTACCTGTGTCTCTGCACATGAGATGGGTCTCCTGAATACAGCACACTGATGGGCCATGATTCTTTATCCAATTTGCCAGTCTGTGTCCTTTAATGGGGGCATTTAGTCCATTTACATTTAAGGTTAATATTGTTATGTGTGAATTTGATCCTGTCATTATGACGTTAGCTGGTTATTTTGCCCACTAATTGATGCAGTTTCTACATGGCATTGATGGTCTTTACAATTTGGCAAGTTTTTGCAGTGACTGGTATCGGCTGTTTGTTTCCAAGTTTATGCTTCCTTCAGGAGCTCTTGTAAGACAGGCCTCGTGGTGACAAAATCTCTCAGCATTTGCTTGTCTGTAAAGGATTTTATTTCTCCTTCACTTATGAAGCTGAGTTTGGCTGGATATGAAATTCTGGGTTGAAAATTCTTTCCTTTAAGAATGTTTAATATTGGCCCCCACTCTCTTCTGGCTTGTAGGGTTTCTCCCGAGAGATCTGCTGTTAGTCTGATGGGCTTCCCTTTGTGGGTAACTCGACCTTTCTCTCTGTCTGCCCTTAACACTTTTTCCTTCATTTCAACCTTGGTGAATCTGACAATTAAGTGTCTTGGGTTGCTCTTTTTGAGAAGTATCTTTGTGGTATTCTCTGTATTTCCTGAATTTGAATGTTGGCCTGCCTTGCTGGGTTGGAGAAGTTCTCCTGGATAATATCCTGAAGAGTGTTTTCTAACTTGGTTCCCCATTCTCTCCATCACTTTCAGGTACATCAATCAACACAGATTTTATCTTTTCACATAGTCCCATATTTCTTGGCGGCTTTGTTCATTTCTTGTTACTCTTTTTTCTCTAATCTTGTCTTTTCACTTTATTTCATTAATTTGATCTTCAATCATTGATATCCTTTCTTCCACTTGATCGAATTGGCTATTGAAGCTTGTGTATGCATCACAAAGTTCTCGTGCCACGGTTTTCAGCTCCATCAGGTCCCTTATGGCCTTCTCTACACTGTTTATTCTAGTTAGCCATTCGTCTAACCTTTTTTCAAGGTTTTTAGCTTCCTAGCAATGGGTTCAAACATCCTCCTTTAGCTTGGAGAAGTTTGTTATTACCGACCTTCTGAAGCCTATTTCTGTCAAATCGTCAAAGTCATTCTCCGTCCAGTTTTGTTCCGTTGCTGGCGAGGAGCTGCAATCCTTTGGAGGAGAAGAGGCACTCTGGTTTTCGGAATTTTCAGCTTTTCTGCTCTGGTTTCTCCCCATCTTTGTGATTTTATCTACCTTTGGTCTTTGATGTTGGTGACCTACAGATGGGGTTTTGGTGTGGATGTCCTTTTTGTTGATGTTCATGTTATTCCTTTCTGTTTGTTAGTTTTCCTTCTAACAGTCAGGCCCCTCAGCTGCAGGTCTGTTGGAGTTTGCTGGAGGTCCACTCCAGACCCCGTTTGCCAGGGTATCACCAGCAGAGGCTGCAGAACAGCAAATATCACAGAATAGCAAATATTGCTGCCTAATCCTTCCTCTGGAAGCTTTGTCCCAGAGGGGCACCCACCATATGAGGTGTCTGTTGGATGCAACTGGGAGGTGTCTCCCAGTCAGGCTACGTGGGGGTCAGGGATCCACTTAAGGAGGCAGTCTGTCCGTTCTCAGAGCTTGAATGCTGTGCTGGGAGAACCACGGCTTTCTTCAGAGCTGTCAGACAGGGACGTTTAAGTCTGCAGAAGTTGTCTGCTGCCTTTTGTTCAGCTATGCCCTGCCCACAGAGGTGGAGTCCATAGAGGCAGTAGGGCTTGTTGCACTGCAGTGGGCTGCATCCAGTTCGAGCTTCCCAGCTACTTTGTTTACGTACTCAAGCCTCAGCAATGGCCGATGCCCCGCCCCACCCCCCACCTGGCCGCATCCTCGCAGGTCGATCTCAGACTGCTGCTGCACTAGCAGGGAGCAAGGCTCCATGGGCATGGGACCCACTGAGCCAGGCACAGGAGGGAATCTCCTGGTCTGACAGTTGCTAAGACCTTGGGAGAAGTGCAGTATTTGGGCAGGAGTGAACTGTTTTTCCAGGTACAGTCTGTCATGGCTTCCCTTGGCTAGGAAAGGGATATCCCCCGACATCTTGAGCTTCCTGGTGAGGCGACACCCCACCCTGCTTCAGCTTGCCCTCGGTGGGCTGCACCCACTGTCCAACCAGTCCCAACAAGATGAACCAGGAACCTCAGTTGGATATGCAGAAATCACCTGTCTTTCTGCGTCGATCTCACTGAGAGCTGCAGATAGGAGCTGTTCCTATTCGGCCATCTTGGAAGCCAGACCCCATTTTCACTTTTTATTATCCATTTGTTTGCCTAATTTGTTTTCACTTTCTGGGTTTGATTAGTGAAATGCTATCTTGTTTATCAGCACTTTGTTAGAGAGCCATGACATTACACTTATGACCAATAGAAGTCTGGTCTAGTTTCCGAATCAGCGAGGTTCATGACAAGCGTGGCATCCATGACATGCATGTTGAGAGTGGAAATCCTGGATCATCAAGAAATTACAAAACACAGAGCAGGGAAGCCACGGTATTTGGAGCTGTCAAGTAATTACTTCTGTTCTTTCTCTACACCCTGTCCGTAATCATTCAGCCCTTGCTTCTGCTTGGTTTCATGTTGCATCCCTCTTTCTTTCTTTTTTTTTTTTTAATTAGCTCCCAAGCAGTGGGATTTGATGGAAATGTGAACCATTTTTCCTCTTTTCTGGCTCCAGGTTCTACCTCTTCCTGCAGGAAGTCCACACAAGCTGGGATGAGGGGGAGGCAAGACAAAAGAGCAGGGCAAGTTTGACACAATTAACACCTCGATCATGCCTCCAAATGCAGAGGGTCTTTCAGGGAAGGAGAATCAAAATGTACGGGAGAAAAATGACAGGAGACGACAGGCACGGTGGCTCACGCCTGTAATCCCAGCACTTTGGGAGGCCGAGGTGGGCAGATCACGAGGTCAGGAGATCGAGACCATCCTGGTTAACATGGTAAAATCCCATCTCTACTAAAATACAAAAAAAAATTGCCGGGCATGGTAGCGGGCACCTGTAGTCCCAGCTACTCCAGAGGCTGGAGAATGGCGTGAACCCAGGAGGTGGAGGTTGCAGTGAGCCGAGATCACGCCACTGCACCCCAGCCCGGGCGACAGAGTGAGACTCCATCTCAAAAAAAAAAAAAAAAAAAAGAAAGAAAAAGAAAAAGAAAAGAAAAATGACAGGAGACAAAAGGAAAAGTCAGCCAAATCTAAATGCAGTATTAGAGGCTAGAAATTCCTATTGTCAACAACAGATTCTGACAACTTCATCTCCTCTAACTTAAGAAAATCATTGAAAAGCCTTCCTATATGTTTAGTTGCAAAGCAAAATCCAGATGCACGTCTTAAGTACCTATAGAAATTATGAGAAAGTATGCAGCAGGCTCAGATTCTAGCCCTGAGAAATAATCTGGTGTTTGGGAAAGAAAAGCAGAAGTAAAGTGCCTGATTGTCCGGCAACATAATACTCTGTACATTTGATAATACTGAGTCACCCCAACCCCAGACTATCCTGTGATTTCATTTTAATATAGAGAGCAAATACAACACAGTTAAAATGAAAAAATCAACTGGGATAACTTGCAGAAAATATAATTAAGTTAAAAATTATACCCTGAATATAGAGAGAACTGAAACAAATCAATAGGAAATACGCCGCAATAGAAAATGGTCTGGTGGTAATATGTACACACACAACATACACATGACCAAAGCGCACGCAAAAGTCCTCACCTTATAACCCAATAAATGCAAGTAGAAACAGCTCATTCTAATTTTTACCCAGCAAGTTTTCTGGGGTAGGAATGTTATGAATTTGTCTAAGAATACCATGAATTATCATCAGGGATGGGAACTGACTGCAATTGTTTACAGTTGGTTGCAAAAAGCAATTCGGCAGGCCACATATGGGGATCTATCCTAAAAAAATGACCAGATATGGATGGGGACTTATGGTGTTTAAAATGAAGGAAAATTACAAACAACCTATATTTCCAATAAGGGATATGGTTAGGCTGGGCGCGGTGGCTCACACCTGTAATCCCAGCACTTTGGGAGGCGGAGACGCAGGTGCATTGCTTAAGCCCAGGGGTCCAAGACCAGCCTGGGCAACTTGGCAAAACCCTGTCTCTGCAAACAAAACAAAACAAAATTAACCAGGTGTGGTGGCACACGTGTAGTCCCAGCTACTTGGGAGACTGAAGTGGGAGGCTTGCTGGAGCCCAGGAGGCAGAGGTTGCAGTGAGCCGAGATCATGTCGCTGTATTCCAGCCTAAGTGACAGAGCAACACTCTGCCTCAAAAAAAGGGGGGATATGGTTAAATAAATTATGGTACAACTCCCAAAATATTTCACAGCTATTATACAAGATGCACTTGAAAATATCTTAATGTAAAAATGTTTATGATATTTGAGGCAAAAAGAATGATAAAAGTTAGTATTTCTTGGGTGCTTTCCACATCCCAGGACTGTTTTATTCTCTTTACATGTGTTTTCTCATTCATTTCTTAAAAGAACCTCATGAAATAGGTACTATTATTAATATTACTATTATTAATATCCTCACTTTATATATGATGAAGTGGAAACAAGATGGTTATCTTACCCAGGGTTACAATCTAAGAAGTTCCATTCCAGGCTTGATGCTGTTAAAAATTTTACCATGTTACCTGATGGCTATCTGTCTGTCTGCCTGTGTGTCTGTCTATCTACCTATTTATCTTTATCAGTTAGGGTCCCAATAGGAAACAGCACACTCAAGTGAAAATAACCGAAGAAGAGTTTCTCAAAAGGATTCTTTATAATAGATGTGGCCAGGAGGTAAGGAAGCAATAAGAGGCCATGCAGTACTCATGGCCCAAAGAGGAGACAAAAATCAAATCAGGAAGAAGAAAGTCTTCTGAAGGGTCCTCTTGTCTAATTATTATCTGTCCGTCCATCACCCATCCACACATCGATCTTTCAATCCATCTAGCCTTGCAGCCTCTGTATGACAGGATGAGGCAAAAAGACAGCAGATAACATGCCATAAAGTGAATTGTGAGATACATACCCTAGGGGACTTGTGTCTTCAGGCATTTAGCTGAAATGTGGTTATAGAATGCTACAGAAGCCCTTAACACTAATCCCCCACAACGAGGTAGAGAGGAGAGGACACATAAGGGGCTTTCCAGCTTTAAGACCACCCTCTTCCCTGGTGTGGGAGGGGTGTGGGCCCCCTCAGGCCTGAGTCACTCAAAGAGAGGCCTCAGACTCCTGGTGGGCAGTGAGGGCAGGGCTCTGGCAGGAGAGTGGAAGAGATGGGTGCAGCTGTGGGTTCAGCCGGCTCATCCACCCTCTGTGCAGGCTGAGAATGGCTGCGACCTCTCCATGAAAGAGCTGGCATGTGGGAGAGCCCAGACTCTGCCTTGCGAGGCCCCCTGGACAGGCGGTCAGCCACAGCAGCCCTGGGAGACAGCCTGCCGGGCAGGCAGCACGTGACCACTGAAAAGGGTGTTTCACCAAGCCTGGGGATGCACACTGGGACAGTCCCAAGGGGGCCCTGAACACCACCACCGGGAGACAGGGTCCGCCTGCCCCCAGAGCCTGCAGCCATGAAATAAGAACTATACAGCCACTTACCTCCTTCTCTCCCTCCCAGAGGGGTCAGGCCACACCTGGTGAGCTGTGGGAGGAGGCAGAGGGAGGGAAGAAGCCCAGGCCTAGTTCTCTGTGGCAAGATACCAAGCTGGAGGGGATGGGGAAACAGCTCTACTTTAAATCAAGTTCAGAGTTTTGATATTATCTGGGACTGGATACTCTAAGCATCAGACTGATGACAATGTTGGGTATTTACAGTGACAACAAGACTTGGTGTCATCCAAGAGTTTCCAGCAAGGTCATGCTGATTGCTCAAATGCTCACTCAGGAGCTGAGGAAGAACCAGCCACTGGACACCTTCAGACACAGAACAGGAAGATGAAGTCGCCATGTGGTTACTTCTCCAGCTCCTGCCGGTCCCATATGTGTGCATGAGTGAGTGTGCATGTCTGCAAATGAACTACACACACGGGCCTATATCTCTGGACAGGGAAGTGATAGCCGGCATTCATTTTCTTCTTTTTACACATTCTCCTCTAATTTCCACATTTCCTACAAAGGGGATGTAGTCCGTTTATAATCAGAAAAACATCAGCAAATGTTATTTCAAAAGAGGAAGTCAGCCTTCCGGAAATTCCCTAATCCATGTAAAATATCACTTGTACCAGGAATGAGTCTTACCCATCACATGCCCAGTACCGCCACAAAGAGCAAGAAACATTCCAACATCTGCACAGGAACTTGGTGAGAAACCGACTCTATTCCCAGGGGAGGAGGGAGGAAGTGAGAATTGCGGATTTTGTTGTTTCTCTTGTAAACATACGTTGGGATCATATCCTTTTCCCTTCCCCTCCCTTCTCCATTTAGTCACAAATTCAGCAGCACAGAGACCTTTCCCAATACCAGCTCAACTGATGTGGCCCGTTTTTCAGGCAAATTTCCAATGAGAGCTGAAAGTTAGTACCTTGGCACCTTGAGGAATTCTAAAGGAATCCGAGAGTATTGAGATAAAAAATGCCTCCTAGCTGCATGTAGTCACACACTGGAGTCTCTTTAACTTTTTTTTCTAATGCTTTGCAGTAGAATTACCATGAAGGTGAAACAGCCTTATAAAAAGATCTTTAAAAGTTCGTGGAAAAGAGTTTTTGCTATGTTAGAAAAGGAGGTAGGCATCCCATGGAGCTAAAACATGTCAAGCCAAAGTCACCCACTTCCCTCTGATAAGGGTGGTAGATGGCTGGATGGGAAAAGGCTGCAGGGCCAGGATACCCAGCACTCAGCTCAGCCTTGGATGATGTTTGCCAATATTTGGAGTGATGAAATGGCAAAATATGACCTGGATGATAGCAGCTGGGGGAATTCCCAGCTACTGGGAAAAGCTTAGAGTCACCTAGCAAGATGACTTGATAAAAGACACACTTTTCAAACATAGCCACTTCAGCAGGTTGGGAAGACTGGATGAACCACCTGTGATTCAAGAATATGGTGAGAAATAGAACTGCAGGTCAAAACTGAATAGGTGGCCGGGCACACTGGCTTACCCCTATAATCCCAGCACTTAGGGAGGCGGGCAGATCACGAGGTCGGGAGATCGAGACCATCCTGGCCAACATAGTGAAACCCAGTCTCTACTAAAATAAAATACAAAAAATTAGCTGGGCGTGGTGGTGCACGCCTGTAGTCCCAGATACTTGGGAGACTGAGGCACGGGAATCGCTTGAACTCGGGAGGCGGAGGTTGCAGTGAGCCAAGATCGTGCCACTGCACTTCAGCCTGGCGACAGGGCAAGACTCTGTCTCAAAAAAGCAAAAAACAAAAACAAACAAACAAAAAAACACAAAAAACTGAGGTAAAATACAATAGGAATAAGAGAATAACTACTCTTGGGTTCAAATAGTTAATTACATGATGATAACAGTATGATAACAACAACATTTTGTATTTATATAGAGTATTAATATTTTACACTTTACAAGACTGTTTTGGGAGGCTTACCTTAATTTCAACTCTTTAGAAAAAAATACTTAAGGTTGTTTCTGTTGACTACAAGCTTAAACTGAACAGATACAGAAAAATAAAAGCCAACAGTAGCCAAAAAAAGGTAAGCGCTCTTGACCTTTGAGCACATCTGAGGGACTGCGTTGCACCCTTGGGGCCACCTTTAAGGGAAACGTCAATAATTGAAGTCATAACGAAACAGGTGGGCAGGGAGGCAAAGGGAAGACAGGGAGAGGTGAACAGTTGTTTCAAATATGTGAGCAGCCTCCATATTAGAAGATTCTGTGATTATCAAAAGTGTAGAACTTCCACAAATGAACAGAAGTTTCAAAGACGAAGACTGTGTTTGGAAGAACGGATCTAATCATTTCAATGTTTTGTAAGTAAAATTGAAATCCACACGATTGCTGTGGGGAGGGTAATGGTTTGGCCACATCCCTTGATGTCACTCAGCCATGCACCCCCTGACACTGCAAGTTCACTCCTGGACATACAGATGCAAGAGGCAGGAGGCTCATTTGAACCTGGGAGGTGGAGGTTGCAGTGAGCCAAGATCACGCCATTGCTGTAGCCTGGGCAACAAGAGGGAAATTCTATCTCGGAAAAAAAAAAAAAAAAAGATCTTAACCTCCAGAGATCTTTTAAGAGCCAATGAGTTCTCTCAGCGCAACCAAATTGTGAGAAACATCAGTTGTCTGACATCACAAAGTGGCTCTCAGCTTGTGTGGTGCCAAAGCGGCTCTCAGAGCTTGGCACTTCTATGCAGGGAATACCATGCCAGCAAACCTGGCTCCCTGAGGAGTGCTTGGAGCTGCCATAATTACATTCCCTTAGGTGCTACCCATTCCTCATCCTTCCTGGCCCCTCACTATGAAGTGTGGACAAAGGGAAGTGGCTAACAGGATGGCTCTTCAATTAGCTGAAGGATGTTGACCAGCTGGTGGGAAGGAAGCCAAAGATACCCACTGAAAATCCATTAGACTCAAATACATTGCAACATTTCCTCCAATAACTTGCTTCCCTTTTTTGCACTCAGTGAATAGAGCGTTCTTAATCTTCAACAACTTACCTTCCCAAAGGTGGCCGGGTTGACTTGGTTCTCAGTGTTTTGCCCACAGGTCTCCACGTAAATCTCATACATGAGACAGCGAGGGACGCTGCACTCTTCGCAAATGCAGAAGTTGTCGACCAACCTGGAGGAGAGGAGGACAAGGAGGAGGAAATTGGCATTTGTTTTTCTAGAGCAAAATATTTTGACAAAATCAATGGTCAAGATGTGTATGAGGTTCCAATAAATGAAACATGTCTAATTTATTGGATGAATCCCTGCGAAGGCTCACAACTGGCATCACTATGTACCCGTTTGTCCTTAGGCCAGTGTTAAGTATATTGACTGTGGCTTTTAGAAGATCAGAAGCCCATAACGTGTTTCTGTTTTTGTTTGTTTCCTGGCAGGTTGGCATGCTAAAAAGAAGTTCAAATTAGGACTTCAGCAGACGCTGTTTCATAGACCTTTACAAAGGTTACAGCCAAGAGCTACATAACTACAAAGTGGAGAATTATTTATTCCACTTTATGAATAAGACACAAAACAATACCCAGGTAAGTCCTATCACCCCTGCAGGTGACCGCAGGGGCCAGCCTGGCTTCCCAGGGCCCGTTTTCACATCCTTCCCTCTCTGATCCCTGTTCCTCTGAAGCAGTTGCTTGCATGGTTCTTAAACCCCTGTGGTTTAGGGCAGGCCATTATGTTTGGATTCTTTGAATTGCAATGAGGTGTAAAATGCAAGACATCAAGAGACACCAAGAGAGGCAGAGTGCTTTTGCTCTGCTTTCTTCCCTATTGGTACAGAGCCAGAGCAGCACAGAGCGAATGCAGCAGTGCCTGTGAACGCACCTGCAGTGCCTGTGACCTCTGCTCAAAGTGGGACCTTCAACTACCCAAATGCTCCTGGTCTGGAGGCAGAGTGTATTCCTTACCAATGAGAGGCTCTGGCTGAGGTTCACAGACCAGCCCCGGCCCCTGGGGACAGCCAGGCGCCTATTCCAGCAGCAGTATGTGAGCGTGGAGGTGAGTGGTGAAGGTGGCCTGGGTCAGAAAGTGTCCGTAGTGACATCCAGCCACTACCTTCCTTTCCCGGTGGGACAGACCATCGTTCTTTAAAAAAAATATACAAAGCAAGCCAGTATAATTTTTAAACAAAGAGGAATATTTATTTAGCAGAGACTTTACAGACAATACGTCTCCTTGGCATTTGTTTTTCTAGAGAAAAATATGGGTATTTTGCTCTAGATGGGTATATGGGTAGTATACAGCTTATCTTCTGGAATGAGGCACACTGAGGCCCAAACTTACTTTCCTTGGGAACTAAAGGACATAGTCACAATTGTTAACCCCACCGGCTTCCCAGAAAAAAAGACACATGGACATAAGGAATAGGGGAATCTCTGGCCCTGCAATGCTTCCTTGGGGTAACAAATTACCACAGGCCCAGTGGCCTCAAACAACAGAAATGTATTCTCACAGTTCTGGAAGCTGGAAGCTTAAAAATCCAAGTGCCAGCAAGGTCGGTTCCTTCCAGAGGCTCTGAGGGAGACCCTGCTCGATACTTTTCTCCTTGTTTCTGGTGATTGCTGGAAATCCTCGGTGTTCCTCAGTGTTCCTCGGCTTCACTCCAGTCCCTGCCTGTGTCTTACACAGCCTTCTCCCTGTGTGTCCGTATCTCTGAGAATTTTATTGTTTTTCTTTTTTGCATTTTTTTAGTAGAGACGGGGTTTTGCCATGTTGGCCAGGCTGGTCTTGAACTCCTGGGCTCGAGCGCTCCACCCACCTCAGCCTCCCAAAGTGCTGGGATTACAGGCATGAGTCACCGTGCATGGCTAGTATCTCTGTGAATTTTCTTATCAACATACCAGTGACTGGATTTAGAGCCCATCCTAATTCAGGATGACTTCAATTTAACTAATTACATCTACAAAGATCCTATTTCCAAATAAGGTTACATTCTGAGGTTCCGGGTGGACATGAGTTTTTTTTGGGGGGATGCTATTCAACCCAGTACAGGCATCAAGGAAGTAGATTTTTCTGGGATGCTTCCCAAAATCATTGTGGGAGCCTGACACTTCAGATACTTCACAATGGCTTAAATGCAGCTGCTACTGCATCAATTATTTGGCTCAAGGCTGAGTACAGGGTGATACCTATCGATGGGATGGTGGCATGGGGGAGTGGCAGATTCATATATATAGCCAGCATATATATATATGTAAGTATATATATATAAGTATATATATACGTATATATATATAGGTATATATATATACGTATATATATGTATATATATATACGTATATATATGTATATATATATAAGTGTATATATATAAGTATATATATATAAGTGTATATATATATAAGTATATATATATAAGTATATATATATATATACACACACACACACACATATACATGGAGAGAGAGAGAGAGACTCCCTCTGGAATGCAGTGGTGCAATCATAGCTCATTGCATCCTCAAACTCCTGGGCTCAAGGGATCCTCCTGCCTTAGCCTCCTGAATAGCTGCGACTACAGGCGTGTGACCATGTCCAGATACTTAAAAAAAAATTTTTGTAGAGACGGTCTCACTATGTTGCCCAAGCTAGTGCTGACCTCCTGTTGTCGAGCAATCCTCCCACCTTGGCCTTCCAAAGTGCTGGGATTACAGGCACAAACCACTGCACCTGGCTTATATTTCTTTTGTTAAGACACTACTTGTTGATATATGAAAAACTCACTATTGGAAGTTATCACAGAAAAATGTTGGCTAAATCCGGGAAACTGTGGCAAAATGTGATGTGCATTCAATTCAAACTCACTTCTGTTTATTCATAGTTACTCCAGATTTAGTTAGGGAATTATCTCCTTAAAAAAGAAGTGTAAAAAATACAAACTCCTTAAAATGAACTCTAGTTTTCCATGTTTGCTGATTGTTCTTTCCTGTGACAGACGCTCATTTGTTCTAAGTCTCTATGAATTGCTGTCCTCCCAATTTCAAAATGATACTACCGAGCCTGCCTGTTACCTAAGTGGAATAGGAAGGCCAAATAATACTCTTAATAAGAATAATAGTAAAGGTCTGTGGCCAAGAGTCCTTTCTATGCCACACATGGAAAGAAAGGGCTGCCTTCGGATGTGAGCCCTGTGTGGCTGCCTTGATCCTGGCAGTTCCAAGAGATTCATTCTGTTTCTGACCATGTGTCTGTGGTCATTTGCCCAATATTCTAAGCCAAATCGCAGAGACTGACCAGTGGCAGCCAGTCAGCATACAGTAACTGGACAAGCAGAAGGTTTGAAAGTGGACTTTGTCACCCAGTAGTTGCCTCAGCCTTCAGTGTCACCCAGTAGTTGCCTCAGCCTTCAGTGTCCACACACATACCCCGGGCTTTGAACCTCAAAGACCTAAGTTTCCATTCTGACTCTGAGACACCTGAGAGTTTTTGTGATCAGAAAACAAGCACATGACCTGCCTACTACCGTGGCTTGCACACAGAAGCTCTTATTATTATCATTTTTATGTCTACCATCAAAATCTGGAATGGAAGCAAGAAAGATGCTGATGTTGGCAGAGTGGCTACACAGAGCACCTGCTGTAGGTGAGCCTGACTTCCAACCACCTGGGGCTCCAAGGAGAGACCGATTGGGGACTGGCAGAACTGCCGGCAGGTGACATTGGTTAAGGGTTTTATACTCTGCCACCAAAATGTCCTTTGGTGATACACCTGGAAATAAAGCCTGTCTACATTTGAAGTGAATCAGATCACTAGATTCCTTGCTTAGCTTCGTAATAACACTATTTTCCTGGTCTTGCCATCAGACAAGGTGGATTATTAAGATCTTGAGACCGTTCATGATGTTCTCCTCGCTTTGAGTGATGAACAATCTGATGATTACTGACCTCAGAGCACAAATACTTAGCCAGTGCTTCACACGTTTTCTGAGTACTCTTTTTTTTTTTTTTTTTTTTTTTTTTTTGAGATGGAGTCTCACTCTGTCACCCAGGCTGGAGTGCAGTGGCGCGATCTCGGCTTAATGCAAGCTCCGCCTCCCAGGTTCATGTCATTCTCCTACCTCAGCCTCCCAAGTAGCTGGGACTACAGGCGCCTGCCACCTCGCCCGGCTAATTTTTTGTATATTTAGTAGAGATGGGGTTTCACCGTGTTAGCCAGGATGGTCTTGATCTCCTGACCTCGTGATCCACCTGCCTTGGCCTCCCAAAGTGCTGGGATTACAGGCGTGAGCCACCGCGCCCGGCCTCTGAGTACTCTTTAAAGAAAAATGTCATGAGCAACTGGGCGCGGTGGCTCATGCCTGTAATCCCAGCACTTTGGGAGGCTGAGATGGGCAGATCACCTGAGGTCAGGAGTTCAAGGCCAGCGTGGCTAACATGGCGAAACCCCGTCTCTACGAAAAATACAAAAATTAGCTGGGCGCAGTGGTGCGTGCCTGTAATCCCAGCTACTCAGGAGGCTGAGGTAGGAGAATCACTTGAACCTGGGAGGCAGAGGTTGCAGTGAGCCGAGATTGTGCCACTGCACTCCAGGCTGGGAGACAAAGCGAGACTCCATCTCAGAACAAACAAACAAACAAAAAAACAAAGAAAAATGTCATGAGCCCCCCACACTAGGAACTATAGTACCTTTTCGATACGGCTGATCAAAAGCTACCATGAATTCTGCACCTTTCCAAATAAATTTGTATTTTTAAAATTTCAACAGAGTCTGCAGAAATTTGTAAAAGTCTATGTGGGAGATAGTTATGTAGTCTACAACCAGGGCTCAGCATGCATTGGGATTAGATAATGCTTAGGTTTTGCCTGGTCTGAAACCAGGGGTCAGACCTGCTAGGTCTGCATCCCAGCAAGGAAGTCAGATCACTGTTCTTCATTCCTTTGTGCTCCCCAGAGCTTTAACCCCACCTCTCCCCGTTTCTGCAGTCTTTCCTGTCCATGAAACAGAAACCTTCTATTACCTCTGGCCCCTGAGACTTGGCCAAGCTCTCTTGGGGCCTTTCTCCTGGGAGAATTTATCCAATATGGATGACAGTGGCACTGATGTCTCTAAGACATGTTGGGGTCCTAACAAGCGACTGATTAGAAGACAAAACAATGAAGTAATGTGGAAAATGGCAGGTTTCCTCCACAGGGCAACAGTTGGGCCCCTCCCTGGTCTTTCACTCAGACACTGGCTAATGGAGATGTCTCCAGGCGTTCAGACCCCTCGCCCTGCACTACCCACCACTGCTCCTCCAGCATTGGTAACACCTTCCAGGCTTTGGAATACCAGAGGCTGTTCTTGATGTTGACGTTAAAACCACTAGTACCAACGATCTGTTTTGGGTTTTTTATTTTGTTTTGAGAGGGAGTTTCACTCTTGTCGCCCACGCTGAAGCAGAGTGGCGCAATCTTGGTTCACTACAACCTCCACCTCCCAGGTTCAAGCGATTCTTCTGCCTCAGCCTTCAGAGTAGCTGGGATTTACAGGCGCCCGCCACCACACCCAGCTAATTTTTGTATTTTTAGTAGAGATGGGGTTTCACCATGTTAGCCAGGCTGGTCTCAAACTCCTGAGCTCAAGTGATCCACCTGCCTCGGCCTCCCAAAGTGCTGGGATTACAGGCCTGAGCCACCGCACCCGGCCTCAACGATCTGTTAAACATACCACCTCATCAACTGGATGATTTCTAAAGAAAAGTCCTCCCCAATGAAAAGGTGACCCCTCCCTTATTTCCATTGCCTCCACCCCCCAACCTTGAAGAGTGGCCTATAGGGATAGGAACTTGTAATATGGGACTTGAGTAAGTCAGACTGTCTGCTAAAATGGTCTACACCAGGGGTGTCCAATCTTTTCTTCCCTGGGCTACACTGTAAGAAGAATTGTCTTGGGTCACATATAAAATACACTAACACTAATGATAGCTGATGAGCCAAAACAAACAAAAAAAATCTCATAATGTTTTAACAAAGTTTATGAAGGCCCAGCGTGGTGGCTCACACCTGTAATCCCAGCACTTTGGGAGGCCGAGGGAAGTGGATCACTTGAGGTCAGGACTTCCAGACCAGCCTGGCTAACATGGTGAAACCTTGTCTCTAATAAAAATACAAAAATTAGCAAGGCATGGTGGTGCAGGCTTGTAATCCCAGCTACTACGGAAGGATAAGGCAGGAGAATCACTTGAACTCAGGAGGCGGAGGTCACAGTGAACCAAGATCGTGCCACTGCACTCCAGACTGGGCAACAGAGCAAGACTCTGTCACAAAAAAAAAAGAGAGAAAAGAAAGAAAGGAAAAGAAAGTTTACAAATCTGTGTTGGGCCTCATGCAGCCCTTAGGCCAAGGGTTGGACAAGCTTGGTCTAGACCATCATAAGCCCCCTGGTTACCATTTGAAGTGAGTTCACAAGCGGTCTTAGGAGGATGTTCAGGTATTTTTTAATCAGTCTCATCATTCTTTCAAGTCTCTGGAGCATAATTTAAACCCTGGAAACTCTAATTTACTAAATGGCGAACTGAAGTCATTGAAAGGCATCCTGAGTCCTTTCTTCTAAGAACGATGCATGAGGGGCCTGGGTCGGTGAGTGTAGCAGAAACCTAGCCCGGCTGTGTAACACTGAAAAACGCTGTGTACTTCAGTATTTATTCATTTGATTTTTTTTCCTCTCATTGAAGATAAGACATGTCAAAAATGTTCTTTTGGAGGAAAGTGGTAACTGTTTAGGCCTGCCAGGGTTATAATCACAAACACGCCCTTCATTTTTGTTTCACTCACATGACTTTTTCAAAAGTCTTCCCTGAGAAATATGCTTTGAAACTTAAAAAGAGAAAAATGTACTCTGTTATATAACAGTTATTCACCTTGTAAAACTAAAGGTCCTAGAACTGGTTTCAATTATTTTTCTATTTAAGAAGATCTGCAACCCCATGAGTTTCTCAGTCCCAAGGGCTGAGGATATTTTTCTTTCCCTTTTTTCCTGCTTCGACTTAAATAGCTGGAAGTGAATTTCACAATGCGGAATGCATTGCTAAAGCTAAAAACTCCTAAGCTTTAAATTAGGAAACATCCCATCCTGGATCTAGGGAGAGAAAGCTTTTCCTCCCCTGGCAAGGCCCAGGAGCTTTTGGATGTACATGGAAGCAGGGTCCAACCAACGGGTCCCCGCGGGGCAGACCGGATGGCTTTCCGCGGGAAGGGTGACAACGGGGAAGTCACAGATGGGAAGCCCGGCCCCATCGCCGATTCGGGCCCGGGGCTTTTACGCGTGTGCGTGCATGGCAGGTCCCTCCGCGCTGCGGCGGGCGAGCATCAGAAAGCGCTGGGCCTGGGGCCGCTCCTCACACCCGGCTTTGACCCGGCGTCCCGAGGGCAGCCGTAGCGGGAACCACGCTTCCCCTCCCCGGCCCCACCTCCTCCATCCCAGCGTCCCAGGCGCCTGGCGGCTCACCACTGGATGACGCCGCTGTGCGGGCCCCGGCTACCCTCGCCGCTCGACGGCGAGGCCGGCACCCCCTCGGCCATGGCTCGGCCCCGGGCCTGCAGCACCGAGGCAGGCAGCGAGCGGCGGCCGTGGGCGGCGCTGGGTTGCACCGGTCCTGCTACCGCCGCTCCTCGGTGTTTACTTTAGAAAGGAGCGCGCGGGGGGCGCGCGGGGCGCGGGGCGGGAGCCCAGTCCTCCAGGCCCGAGCCCGGGGGCGCGGAAGGCGCGCGGCGAGTACGGGAGGCCACAGCTCCCCAACCCCCGCGCCCCGCCGAGGATGCGCGGACCCCGCCCTGCATCCTGCGGTGTGGGCTGGAGCTGCCTCCCGCTCTCACCCAGCGCCCTTCCCACCGGCGTAGCAACCAGTCAAACAGGGACGCGAACAACAAGCACCAACTTACACCTTTTCCAATCTGGTCGCGGTGTTGAGTCCGTGGGTGTCCTTGACTTGCTTGAGCGTTGGAGTTATTCAGGCAGTTTTCAAAAATATTGATACCCCGGCTGCCGCTCCCCATCCCAGCCCCGCCCCACCCCACCCCAAGAGGTTCTGATGAATTGGTCTGGGCGAGGGCCGCCTGGGCCAACCGGCTTTTTCAGGGTCCCGGGTGATGCTAATGTGCCCGCCGTTGCTGAAAACCACTGTCTCTAGGAGTTTTGAAAAATCTCGGAGCTCTCTGGCAGGCGGGCGCATCTGGACTTCTAGGAGGCTGGTCCCAGGTGACT
This sequence comes from Homo sapiens, assembly GCF_000001405.40. Lineage (NCBI taxonomy): Eukaryota > Metazoa > Chordata > Mammalia > Primates > Hominidae > Homo > Homo sapiens. The sequence continues at coordinate 101,474,958 of NC_000002.12, forward strand.
CCAGTGTGCTGCTCCAGGTGAGCAGTGCCACCTCAACGTGAGTCCCCATATCTGTAGCCAGGTCCTGCCAGTCCTTGCTCTCAAGAGCCATTTATGTCAGTGTCATTGCTGTGTGACATGGAGCTGCTGGCCATCTCCAAGTTCACTTCCTTTGTGGGGAACTGTGTGGGTTGTTGTGAGTATTAAGCGACATTCACTTGCAAGGCTGTGTTGTAGTCAGAGCTCAGTCATGCAGCCGTTACTGTGGCTGCTAACCGCTTCAGAGTCTCCGGGTAAGGATTTCTCAATCTAGATCAAAAACACATTTGCCGACTTGACAGCAACAAAAACCAAACCGCCCAGTTTAAAAATGGGCAAAGGACTTGAATAGACATTTATCCAAAGAAGATACATAAATGCCTACTAAGCACATGAAAAGATGCTCGACATCATTAATCATTAGGAAACGCAAATAAAAACCATACCCAAGAGGATGGCTATTATTTAAAACACAGAAACTAACGAGTGTTGGTGAGGATGTAGAGAAATTGGAACTCTTGTTCACTGAGGGTAGGACATTTAAAGTGGTGCAGCTGGCCGGGGGCGGCGGCCCACGCCTGTAATCCCAGCACTTTGGGAGGCCGAGACGGGCAGATAACCTGAGGTCTGGAGTTCGAGACCAGCCTGGCCAACATGGTGAAACCCCCGTCTCTACTAAAAATACAAAAATTAGCCGGACGTGGCGGCAGGCGCCTGTAATCCCAGCTACTCGGGAGGCTGAGGCACAAGAATCGCTTGAACCTGGGAGGTGGAGGTTGCAGTGAGCCAAGATCGTGCCACTGCACTCCAGCCTGGGTGACAGGGTGAGACTCTGTCTCAAAAAATATGTATAATATTAAAGTGGTGCAGCTGCTATGGAAAACAGTACGGCCTCAAAAATTAAACATAGAATTACCTTATGATCCAGCAGTCCCAATTCTGAGTGTATACCCAAAAAGAATTGAAAGCAGGAACAAAAACAAATATGTACAGCAATGTTCATAGCAGCATTATTCACAATAGCCAGAAGGTAGAAGTAACCCAAGTGTCTATGGACAGATGAATGGATAAACAAAATGTGGTACATATACATACACTAGAACATTATTTACCCTTAAAAAGGAATGAAATTCTGATACATGCTACAACACAGATACACTGAAAACATTAGCACACAGAAAAGCATGATTCCACTTACATGAGGTCCCTAGAGAAGTCAAATTCATAGCGACAGAAAGTAGAATGGGGGTTGCCAGGGGCTGGGGGTTGGGGGATTAGTGTTTTAATAGGGACTGAGTTTCAGTTGGGGAAGATGAAAAGTTCTGGAAATAGATGCTGATGGTTGCAAAACAATACCAATGTACTTAATACCACACCACTGAATTGTGTGCTTATAAATTGTTAAAATGGTAAATTTTGTGTTATATATATATTACCACAGTTTTAAAAAAAGTCTGCCCCCAAAACATATGCACACACACACACACACGTTTGAGAACCACTTCTGGAAGCAGGAAAGACATCGATTCAACAAAGGAAACAACTGCCGACTGCCTCCCACGTGCCAGCCCTGGAAGGTAGTTGCTGGGGCCCACCAGAGATCTCCATGGCCAGCATCCTCCCTTCCACAGGGACACCATCACCAGGGTGAAGCTCCAAGGTCAGTTCCAGAGAGATAGCAGGACATTCAGAACCTGGACCCTGAAGTTCAACCAGGTCACTGGAGCTGACCCGGGATGGCATCTGACTCTCCTTTGGGGCACTGCCCCATGAATCAGCCTGGTCCTGAAGCCTGGGGCATTTGGAGTGTAGGGGTAGGATAGGCAAGGGAGTGGGAATGACGTAATCAATAAGTGAATGGGGCCACTGTTAGTCCTATTTATCTTCTCAGCTGAGTTTCCTTGCTCAGGGCCGGCTGCTTTAAAACGCCACCCAGTAGAGGACAGTTCACTCCACATCATCCTCTCTCAACCTCACCTCATGTATTAAGAGCATCCATATCAGGATGGGAGGCCAAGTATATGAGTAACAAACAGAGTCAGGAGACTGCTGAATGGCAACCACGATGAAGAACCCACAGGAAAAAAGAAGATGAAGCAATGAGGTGAGGCGATATGGCAGAGCTCTCCAAGGCCTCACTCTGCAGGTCAGCCTGTCTCTAGGAGAGGTAACACATCCCTTTGGACTCGGAGGGGGAGCCCCGTGAGGTTCCTTCATCTGATTTGCTTTGCCCTGAGTGCTAAGTCCTGTACTCTTGCAGTGGGACAGGCAGGTCCTTGTCAATGGCTGGGGGAAACATGGTTCCTTCCCCTTCTCATACTGGTCCTACAGCAGCTCCTTCCACCCAGGAAACTTCCCAAGATGCCTGCTTATGTCCACAGAGACTGGAAATAACCAAGGGAAGAGTCTGCTGTTATTTAGGGCCTTATTATGTCACTGCTGGTGCCATAATATTTGCACATTTACTGAGCGTCAACCAGTACCAGGCACTGGAACAGACCTTGGAAATACGATGGGGACACCATGACCATCTGGTTGACCAGTGGTCTCTTTGCTAGCTATTGCATTGAATGTTAGATGCTATGAAAAGCAAACATCTTCTTATCTTGGCTCAGAGCTCTTGAGGCTTGTTGATTAGAAGACTTTAGAAATGAGGCCATGTGATCAATTTTACACCCTCCACCCAGAGGGCCTATTAATTTCATCTATTACAGGTGACAGCTGGTGTCCCTAGTTTGACCAGCCATCTTATAGATCAGACTCTGAGTAGTTTTGTGCTAACACAGCGACACTCTCCGAAGATTTATTCCCAGTGTATGCCTTTCTAATGTGCTAAATATGCAAAGGACATTTACCTCTGCACACAACTCCATTACTAGCAGCATAATTAAGGCTTTCAGTTGAGTTGACCACATAGCCACATAATTTGCTCAGTAGAAATTAGGTATAAAATCCATTTTCTTTTCAAAGAATGTTTAACTGGAAGTGACATCACAAAAAACTTCATTCTGTGGCGTTCACTGAGAAGACTGCTAGACCCATGCATGTGCTGTCTTGTACCTGAAAATCTAGTCTCTCTCTAACTCCAGGTTGAGTATCTTTGCTCTAATATCTAAACCGTGACAAGGAAAATAAATTCTAAGGTTTATATCAAGTAGAATTCCAGTTTCTTATGTCACATTTTATGTACACAAAGCTGGAGAACCACATCTCTTCTATCTAAACAGTAACTTATTTTACCTACTTCCATCTAATTGGTTTCTAGCTTATCTAATTAGTCTCATTTCACCTTCTAAAAGGGCACCAGCTGTGTCTTCTCCTTGCACAAAACCATTTCTGATCTAGGGTGCTTAATTTCATTCAGTTCTTGCAATTATTCACTTTCTGTGGATGTACCCAGGTGTCTTCAGGCAATAGATGTATTTTTAAATAAAGCTAATGAGCATAGTGGATTTGGTCCAGAATGCACAATGTAGCTGCATCTGCACAGACAGAGCATTACAGAGAACAGACAACTGCATGTTCCATTTAGCCTGGAAGAGACTCCTTAAGATCCCTGGGCTCTAAACCAGCAAGCTATGGAGACTTTCAAACTATACTAGAGCAAAACAGTCTCATTGGAGAGATTCCAAATCACTATCATATGTTGCAATTTTCCTTGGTCTACACTCACCTTTTGAATATCTGGCTTTTACCCCAGTTGAAATCAATGGGAACATTGCATTCAGGAGAATGTATGTAATGAGAAAACCTAACTCCAAATATAAAACACTTCTCTGCCATTTCTTTATCTAAAATCCATGATTCAGAGGACCATGACGATATCCCATTGCTATAGATGTTTTTTCCCCAATGCGGTGTTCCTGTTTCCCTTTTTGCAGAGAGGTGCTGGCCACATAAGGTATAACAAATAGCAATATCTGCAGAGGAACTCTGAGAATGTGTGGAATGAAAAGAAACAGCCTTCATTACAAGTCACAGAGTGCTTGTAAATTGTAATTTGCAAAGTAATGCATTTGAATTCTTTTGTTACATTAAAAGTGGGACTTTTCTGGAAGTCTCATAGAAAACCAAGCAAAAACAAAATGAAAAGTGGTTTCCTTTTCTGCAGATGATTAGTAGGAATTTAATAAGTCATCTTATTAAAGCCATCATGGAAGCAAGGCAGACACTTTTCCAAATCATAATTATGAGCAAAATCATACATCTTACCCCAATTTATTAAATAATTTTCCAAAAGAATGAGAAAAGGCACACTAAGTCAATTACTTTGGATTTGTGTAAATACTATTTTAAAGCTTTTTACAAGCATGAAATAATTATTTTTGAAAAGCAGTTTTAAACGATAGCATTAGCTGATTTTGGGTGTGATAAACCTTCATCTGTCCTCATGGTTCATATTATTCTTTGGTAGAAATGTACTGGAACAGCTGCCTGCTCCCTGCTGTTCTGCATGGAATTATTTCCTGGTACTATCCCCACCGTGAAACGAATTTCACTACAGCATCTCCAGACAAAGTACGTGTTTGACACATCTTTCTAAAGGACAGCAGACTGCCTTTCAATTGGTCATATGACGCTCCTTCTGCTAATTACCCATTGGAATTCCCCAGCAGAGAGAAGCAGGAAAGATGCTTTACAAAGAGCATCTGCCTGTGAGCTTTGCTGGAGAACAAAGGTAAACACATCCCAATAGATGTGTAAAGATTGTTAAAGCTCACTTTATGAAACAAAGCCTGGCTTTAAAAACCACTAATCTTAAGACCCCGCAAAGCCAGTCTAAGATGCAAATAGTTGTCAAGATGGTCTTTTGCAAATATTATTTTCACGTTATCGCTGTGCCGGAACCGTAAACACTTACCCAGTGCCTCTCAGCGCATCTGTGTGGAGGTGAACTGAGAGGCAGGGACCTCTCCCACCTGCCTCTGCTTGTTCCTCAACCAGCCCACTCCATTTAATAATGTCTTAGAACCTTGCACAGGAAGCAGGCAAGGCGAGAGATGCTGAAGAGAGAGGCCACAGGCACCCGAGTCGGAAGAGCTGGAGGGCGCAGACCCATGAGAATTTCCTGCCTCTCATGTGGTCCAGGAGCTCCTCTGTGTCCTCCGACAAATTACCTTTTCCCTTGAGCCATTTAGAGCAGGTTTCTTTTTCTTATCACAAGTTCATGAGGGTTTTTTTGTTTGTGTTTTGTTTTTTTGGGATGGAGTCTCATTCTGTCACTCAGGCTGGAGTGCAGTGGCACAATCTTCGCTCACTGCAACCTCTCCTTCCTGGGTTCGAGCAATTTTCCTGCCTCAGCCTCCCAAGTAGCTGGGATTACAGGCGCCTGACACCCTGCCTGGCTAATTTTGCATTTTTAGTAGAGACACGGTTTCACCCTGTTGGCCAGGCTGGTCTCGAACTCCGGACCTCAGATGACCCACTTGCCTCAGCCTCTCAAAATGCTGGCATTACAGGTGTGAGCCACTGCGCCCCACCAAGTTCATGAGTTTCTAATACCTGTCATTTGTCTTCTCGGTAAGGATCTGGGAGAAGGAGGTGGTTCCCACACCCTTCCAGAGGTGACCATTTTGAAGGACACTTGGTGCCCCATGGCTAAGCTAAGGGGGAGCTGGAGTTGAGTCATTCACTGGACAGATATTTAGGGAGAACCCACATGAGCCTCTTGTGTGCTAGGCGCTGGGGAGACCTCAGGAAGGATACGTTGCAGTGGTCCCTGCCCTCGGGGTATCCACGGTAATCACCATCTCTAACAAAGACACAAGAGTGAAAGTAGGGCTACCCCCAAAACTTCTGTCCAGCAGAACCCATTAGACAGTAGTTGGAGGTCTGGCTGGGGACCTTGTTAACACGGTCATGCAGCTGAGGACCACCGCATGGGCCCCTTGGCAGGGATCACAGGAGTCACAGCCAGACCACGGGGCCCACAGAGCCCACGGGAGGAAGCAGAAACAAGTCCCTCAGGGAGAGTGACTCAGGTGCAGCCACACATTGGCCGTGGCTGCCGTCAGTGTGACTAGCACCCAGAGGACAAGGGCACTGCCTTAGAGTCCATGGTCCTGCGATGAGGAGGGACCCGTATGGGTGGGGCCTGCCTGCCACTTTTAGCTGCTGCTGCTAGCTCTCTTTCCCACTGTGAAGAATGCTCTGGCTTGAGCCATGAGTTACAGCATCCTCCCACCAGGTGAGCCACCCCTCTTCCCCATAGACCCTGGGGCCATCTTGGAGAAAGCCAGAGAAGAAAATAAACTGAGAGATAAGTCATGTTTACCTGAGGAGACTAGGCATGATCTCAGAGGCCTGACTGAGTCCGTGACAGTGGGCTAAGTCTAAGATCAGACCAAAACTTAGACCCCTCCAGCCCTAGTACCCAGCATATGCAGAAGAACCAATCAGTACCTGCTTAAGATCTTTTTTTTTTTTTTTTTTTTTTTTTTTTTTTTTGAGACGGAGTCTCGCTCTGTCGCCCAGGCTGGAGTGCAGTGGCGCGATCTCGGCTCACTGCAAGCTCCGCCTCCCGGGTTCACGCCATTCTCCTGCCTCAGCCTCCCGAGTAGCTGGGACTACAGGCGCCCGCTACCACGCCCGGCTAATTTTTTGTATTTTTAGTAGAGACGGGGTTTCACCGTGTTAGCCAGGATGGTCTCGATCTCCTGACCTCGTGATCCGCCCGCCTCGGCCTCCCAAAGTGCTGGGATTACAGGCGTGAGCCACCGCGCCCGGCCCCTGCTTAAGATCTTATGCGTGAGTTCGTGAATCCAGTAGAGTGGACTCATTTCACAGGGAGGAAAAGGAGACTTGCAGGGAATTGAAGACACTTGAAGTGAGTTTGCACAAGGTTGTGTAGCCAATGAGTGACAGAGCACATAGGGCCACGGATTTAACCGTTCTGCCTGGGGGACCTCTGAGGGGCCGTTTCCTGGATTGTAAAGTGCCTCCTGCAGAGTGTAGCTGTGAGAACTAAAAGAAAGCAAGCTGAGCTGGGCATGGTGGTTCACGCCTGTAATCCCAGCACTTTGGGAGGCTGAGGCGGGTGGACCGCCTGAGGTCAGGAGCTCGAGACTAGCCTGGCCAACATAGTGAAGCCCCTTCTCTACTAAAAACACAAAAAATTAGCTGGGCGTGGTGGCGGGCACCTGTAATCCCAGCTACTAGGGAGGCTGAGGCAGGAGAATCACTTGAACCCGGGAGGTGGAGGTTGCAGTTAGCCAAGATTGCGCCATTGCACTCCAGCCTGGGTAACAAGAGCGAAACTCCATCTCAAATAAATAAATAAATAAATAATAAGTAAATAAAAGAAAGCATGCTGATAAAGCTTTTATCCTGGCACGTCGTAAGTGCTCAATAAACTTTTGACTGTTGCCTATTTGACAGTTTCCCTTGCAGAGAAATACTTAAAATGATTTCAGTTATTTCAAAATTGTTGGTGTAGTAATAGTATTATGGTTATATATTTAAAGAGAATTTGTATCCCTTTTAGAGATACACCTTGAAATATTTATAGATGAAATAAAATGATGTCTGAGATTTTCTTCAAAATAACCCAGCTGGCAGGAGTGGGGGATTGGGGGAGCAGGTGAGTCAAAGTTGGCAGGTCCAACGCTTGCCGAGACAGGGAGCTCATCGCACTCTGCTCTCCACTTTTGTGTGTGTTTGAAATAGTCCATAAGAAAAAGTTTTTATGTGTACATTTGAAGCTGTGTCCTGGGGGAGGATGCACATAAGACATTTATACTCACACACCGTAGTTTCAGACTTGCCTAAAAGCCTTTTTCAACATGCAGAGCACTCAAACACAGTATGTGATTAACAGTATAATTAGCACTAGGTTTATGTTTTGTTTTTTAAAATCAGTACGGCATTGTTAGCACTGTGGTTTAGTGTTCTGCAGAATACTCCTGCAACTTTAGCTGGGCATAGTGGCATGTGCCTGTAGTCCCAGCCACTATGGAGGCTGAGGTGGGAGGATGGCTTGAGCCTGGGAGGCAGAGATTGCAGGGAGGCAGATGTTGCAGTGAGCCAAGATTGCACCACTGCACTCCAGCCTGGGCAATAGAGCCAGACCTTGTCTCAAAAAAAAAAAAAAAAAAGAAAAAAATGTTTCTTTCTTAAAAACTCCCAGGGCCAGGCAAAGGTGGCTCACGCCTGCAATCCCAGCACTTTGGGAGGCCGAGGTGGGCAGATCACTTGAGCCCAGGCATTTGAGACCACCCTGGCCAACATGGCGAAACCCTGTCTCCACTAAAAATATAAAAATTAGCTGGGCATGATGGCGCATGCCTGTAGTCCCAGCTAGTCGGGAGACTGAGGTTCAGGGGATCACTTGAGCCTGGGAGGCAGAGGTTGCAGTGAGCTGAGATTACGCCACTGCACTCCAGCCTGGGCAACGGAGCGAGACTCTGTCTCAAAAACAACAACAACAAAAAAAACCCAGAAAGAAACTCCCAAATATTATACCTCTGTCTTGGTGATTCACAGACAAATTATTATATTAAAGAACCTGAGAGAGATCCTGTAGTAAATAAGGTTGTTTAACTTTATTTAACTTAGTATTTCCAAGTTTAATTGTCTATAGAAGCCCACCACCCCCCCATGTGCTTTTTTTTAATAACATTGTTTATTGCTTATAAACATCTTGAAGGATACTAAGGGTCCATGGTTCCCAGTTTGAGAAACACTGGTATGAGCTACATCATAGAATCAGACTTTGTGGGCTGTTCTGGGAGTTTAGGCTGTTGTTAAACAGGGTTTCTAGAGGTTTGACAAAAAGAAAATTTAGTGCCAGCTATGTGCCTGAATGTGTCCCCTCCAAAATTCATGTTGGAACTTAATCGCCATTGTGGTAGTATTAAGAGGTGTGGCCTTCTGGAAAGTGATTAAGTCATGAGGGCCGTGCCCTCATGAATGGATTAGTGCCCTGTAAAGGTGCTGCAGTGAACTAGCTGAGGCCCTTTTTCCCTTCCACCTTCTGTCCCTTATGCCATGTGAGGACGCAGCATTCAAGGGACTATCTTGGAAGCAGAGACTGGGGCCCTCATCAGACACAAAACCTGCCAGCAGCTTGATCTTGGACATCCCAGCCTCCGGAACTTTGAGAAATAAATTTCTATTACTGATTAATTACCCAGTCTCAGGTAGTTTGTTATAGCAGCAGAAACAGGTCAAGACAGTGCCTTTGTCTCATGCTCCCCTTGTCCACTCTCCTTCCCCCTTCTCCTTCCCTAGCGGCTCCCACCCACACCTGCCATACACCTTGAGGAGAGAAAAGGGCAGGCAGCCTGGTGAGTATGACTTGCTCACCTCCCCACAGGAGCAGCGTGTCTGGCTATGGGTATAGAAACATTTCTGGCTACAGGGGCTCAGGGTGAAGGCTCAGCCCTGCCCTTTCCTCTCCACAATTGTCAGATGTGACTTAAGACAGGTATTCCTAAATTAGTGCTTGGCTTTATTTAATTGGGGTTGATACATACAGTTAAAACTATGTATTGGCTGGGCATGGTGGTTCATGCCTGTAATCCCAGCACTTTGGGAGGCTGAAGCGGGAAGATCATCTGAAGTCAGGAGTTCGAGACCAGCCTGGCCAAAATGGTGAAACACCGTTTCTACTAAAAATACAAAAAAAACCAAAAAACAAACCCAAAAATATAGCTGGGTGTGGTGGTGGGCACCTGTAATCCCAGCTACTCGGGAGGCTGAGGCAGGAGAATCGCTTAAACCAGGGAGGCGGAGGTAGCAGTGAGCCAAGATCGAGCCACTGCACTCCAGCCTGGGCGACAAGAGTGAAACTCCTTCTCAAAAACAAAAACAAAAACAAACAAAAAAACTGTGTATTTAGCCATGCTTTGCACATTCAGCATTTTGAAATGATGCAAATACATTGCTTCTGGTTTTCCTTTTAGCTAGCACTTGAACTCAGGCGTTAGTGCATTGAAAAGGACTATGAAACCTGAAAGTTAGGATTTCCTTGCTCCAGAAGCTTTATTTTAAAAAACCAGAAGAGTGTGATTATAACTGAGAGTCATAGAATATTGATTCACAAAGACTTTTTTATTTATCTGCCCACCTCACAACTGGCCACATCCCCTTCCCTCCCCGTCTGCAGCTCAGCCAAATGCCCCCCATCTTCCTCTTCATTCTCCAAGCTGGCTTTCCCCTGTCAATGGTCCCCAGAAGCTCTGGGATTTAGGAGCCCTCTGCTCACTCCCTTCCATTCCTATCTATTTCTCTATTCTTTCCTTTCTATTTCTCCTCCTCTCCTCATGTGGAGGGTTGGGAAGAGTTACTAACCTTGTAGGGATGATGCAGATTAGGGTGATAATGATGCTAATACTAAACACTGATACAAGTGTTATTAGCATTCCATCACATATGCTCACAAAACTCATAAAACACTGCTATGGTCATAAACCTATGGAATCGATATTTTTTATTGTTTTATAGATAAAGAAATGGAGCCCTCGAGAAGTTAAGCAGTTTGCCCAAGATCATACAGCTGCAATTTGTATTGCAACAAAATTTGTGACCTGCCTAAATTTTCACCATCATTCATATTTCTGTCACACTCTGGATCCTCCATCTACCAAAAATGAATATAGTGACATGGCCACGCACCTGAGGAATCCTTTTACTTCCCACAGGTATGGGGCTATAGTTTCAAATATTTGCACAAAAAATATTTAGGCCAGGCACAGTGGTTCATGCCTGTAATCCCAGCACTTTGGGAGGCCGAAGTGGGTGGATCACTTGAGATCAGGAGTTTGAGACCAGCATGGCCAACACACAAAACCCCATCTCTACTAAAAATACAAAAATTAGCCGGTTGTGGTGGCACACGCATGTAGTTCTGGCTACTCAGGAGGCTGAGGCAGGGGGATCATTTGGGCCCAGGAGGCGGAGGTTGTAGTGAGCCAAGATCACTCCACTGTACTCCAGCCTGGGTGACGGGAGTGAAACATTGTCTCAAAAAAAAGAAAAGAAATTATTTAGATTTGCACATCTGTTTATCCAACCTCATCTCATTCATCTCCCCTCTAGGCTCCCTGAAGCCCAGGACCGGCAGTTCCTTAAGGAACTGTGTGTTGGCATGCCTCAGTGCCTTTGCACAAGCTGCTGTTTCTGTCTGGAATCTCTAGACTCCTTCTAATCTTCCTCAGCTGAATGCTGCCCAGCCCACTTCAGCTTAATCATGCTCCCTTTGTCCTGAAGGCTTCCCGGAGAAGCCCTCCATCTTCTTCAGCCAGCCTGAGTGCAGGCTCCCCTGTGCCCTCCCATACCCACTGGGCTCACCTCTGTCACAGTGTTGCTCGTGCTCGGCTGTCCTTCCTCTGTAAAGTGAGCTCCTTAAAGGGGACACTGACTAGCAGAGTCCTCAGCAGATACTGGGAGCTGCTGAGTCAATGTTCGCTGAATGACTGGAAAAATGAGAATTGTCATCTTAGAGGAGGTGATAGGAATTGAATTCTGTGTTTCTCAAAGGTAGTTTCTTGCACCTTTTGCTCTTGCATAATAGTTTCCATTTCTTGAGGAGGCGGGGGTGGTGTTTTTGTTTGGACCATCCTAGGAGCCATCACTTGAACTTCCTGCCACACCAGATTCAGCCCACTGCAAAGAGGCTGGCTGCATTTGATTTCCTCTGCAAGGAAGAAAAACAAAACAAAACAAAAGTCTTGATTTATCACAAAACTCAGCACAGGAAAGCTTAAACAATGGCTCCCAAACTCAGCTCTCATGTTGCTAAAAATTATTTGTCTTATAGGAGGAAGAGAATTCCTCAAATCCCACAAAGGCAACTCTTCTTCCTGAAGACAGCAGCTTTGCCAGTAATGAGGGCAACATTCCCAATACAGGTTGGTGGTCAAGTGACTTTTGTGAACCCATAAGCTAGTCAAGGGAGGAGGGGCTCTCAGGGTGTCACTGGGGAGTGGGTCCAGTTAGTTTTGAGCATAAGATGGGCGACAGCTATGAATTACAACCTCATTGGACAACATCCATGTTAAAAGCACATAATGAAACATCAAATGTTGTGGAGGATGCTGGGAGCCCATTGAGTGGCACATGGCTGTTCCTATGGGGAAACAGAGTCTACCTCTGTTCTCATCTTGCACCTTCCTCTGATAATTGCCTCCAGGAGCACCTGCTTTAACTTCTTCCAATACTGACCTCCTATCGTGAGGTCTGTGTTACTAGTTTCACTATCTGTTGAGCACTCTTTGATTTTATGATTAACTTTGGTTTGTTTGTTTTTTGAGACAGGGTCTCATTCTGTCACCCAGGCTGGAGTGCAATGGCGAGATCTCGGCTCACAGCTCACTGCAGCCTCTGCCTCCTGGGTTCAAGCAATTCTCCTGCCTCAGCCTTCCGAGTAGCTGGAACTACAGGTGCCCATGATGACGCCAGGCTAATTTTTGTAATTTTTTGACTCCTCATTCTTGAACATGGTTATAGTATGCTAAGTTGGCAAGCACATTGAAAACTTCTCATCTTTGGTTCCTGACTTTTGTTGTCCCTGCTGAGAAGTTAGCTGGGTTTTTGTTTTTTTTGAAAATAAGCTGTTTTTCATTCTCTGTGGCTGCTTTTAAGATTTTCTTATTGCTTTTAGTGTTACTTTTTACTGTGAGGTGTCTGGACCTAGATTTCTTTTTATTTATCTTATGTCAAATTTATAGGACTTTTTTTTTTTTGAGACAGAGTCTTGCTCTGTCTCCCAGGCTGGAGTGCAGTGGCCCGATCTTGGCTCACTACAACCTCTGCCTCCCGGGTTCAAGCGATTCCCCTGCCTCAGCCTCCCGAGTAGCTGGGACTACAGGTGTCTGCCACCACTCCTGGCTAATTTTTGTATTTTTAGTAGAGACGGGGTTTCACCATATTGGCCAGGATGGTCTCAAACTCCTGATCTTGGGATCCGCCTGCCTCAGCCTCCCGAAGTGCTGGGATTACAGGTGTGAGCCACTGCGCCCGGCCAATATAGGACTTTTGAGTTTTGGGATTGATGTTTTTCATCAATTTTAGAAGATTCCATTACTATTTTACTTTCTTTATTTTTATTTATTTATTTATTTATTGAGACAGAGTCTCACTCTGTTGCCCAGGCTGGGGTGCAGTGGCACAATCTCAGCTCACTGCAAACTCCACCTCCCAGGTTCAAGCAATTCTCCTGCCTCAGCCTCCCGAGTAGCTGGGACTACAGGCACGTGCCACCACACCCAGCTAATTTTTGTATTTTTGGTAGACATGGAGTTTCACCATGTTGGCCAGGCTGGTCTCAAACTCCTGACCTCAAGTGATCCACCTGCTTTGGCCTCCCAAAGTGCTGGGATTACAGGCGGGAGTGGTTTTACTTTCTTTAGATTTAATTTTGCCCCATTATTATTCTCTTTTCTTTCAGGGATGCCAGTTCAATGTATGTAAGACCTTCTCACTTTATTCTTTATGCCAGTAATTCTCTCCTTTTGTGTTTTTCATCCCTTTCACATTCTATGCTTCATTCTGGATAGCAATTTTTAGGCTGGCCTATCTTGCAATAGGTTTTCATTTCATCCATTTCTAATTAGCTGTTAATCCCAACTGTGGGACTACTTTGTTATATTGTATTTTTTCATTTCTAAACTTTCTATTTGGTCCTTTTTCATACTGATGATTTTACTTTTTAAAAATCGGTAGACTTTATTTCTTATAATGATTTTATTTTATTTTATTTTTTCTTACCTTGACTTGAAGCTCATGATTTCAGATTTATCAAAAAATTAAGCCAATAATACAGAATGTTCCATATGTGCTCCTCCCACACACAGTTTCTCCTATTGCTAACATTTTGCATCAGCGTGGCATGTTTATTGCAATTAATGAATCAATATTAATACATGTTCACTAACTAAAAGTCCCACAGTTTACAGTGAGGTTCACTCTTTGTGTTGTACAGTTCTGTGTGTTTTGACACTTGCATAATGTCATGTAGCCACCGTTACAGAATTACAAAGAATCGTTTCACTGTCCTAAAATGCCCCTATACTTCACCTATTCATCCGTTCACCCACTCCCCCTGAACCATGGGCAACCACTTGATTTTGCTTTTTTGCAATTCAGATGTTGCCAAGGTGATTACGTTAAGTGAGGGTGTCTTTAATAAGTGATTAGGCTATGATGATTTCTTTTTTAAAGTTTCCAATTTCCTGCCAAAATTTGTGAGTTTTTATTTCTTTGACCATATTCAGCATGGTGGTTTGACAGTCTGTGTCTGACACTTCCAATATCTGGAGTCCATGCTGCTAATGATTTTTTTTTCCTGCTATTTCTCATTAACATCATCTATCTTGTATGTCTGGTAATTCTTTCAAATATTTTTTCAAATTTTTTTATTCTGGTAAAATACACCTAACATAAATTAGCCATCTTAATCATTTTCAAGTATACCATTCAGTGGTATTAAATATATTCATATTGTTGTACAACATCACCATCATCCATCTTTAGAACTCTTTTCATCTTGCAAAACTCACACCCAATACCCATTAAATATTAACTCATCATTGCACCCTTCCCCCAGCCCCTGGCAACCACCATTCTACTTTCTGTCTCTATGAATTTGACTACTCTAGGTACTTCACATAAGTGAAATCATACAGTATTTGTCTTTTTGTTACTGTATGATTTTTGTCCATCACTTACCATAATGTCCTCAATGTTCTATTTTATGTATATGCCACATTTTGCATGTGCATTTTATGGTCAATGGAAACTTGGGTTGCTTCCGTGTTTTAGCTTCTGTGAATAATGCTGCTGTGAGCATGCTATAAAGATAGGCATAGCTGTATCTCTTGGAGACCTTGCTTTCAATTCTTCTGGGCATATATCCAGAAGTAGAACTGCTGGATCATATAGTAATTCTATTTTGAATTTTGAGTGGAACCACCATCCTGTTTTCCACAGTGGTTGCACCATTTTCTATTTTCACTAACAGTGCATAAGGGTCCCAGCTTCTCCACATCCTCATCAACATTTGTTATTTTCTGTTTGTTTTAATAGTAGCCATCCTAATGAGTAGGAGCTGGTACCTAGTTATTTTTTATTATTTGCTTGACATCATGTTTGAGAAGTTATTTGTAGGAATAATTTGAAGTTTAGGATAATGTTATTTTCTCCTATAAAAAATTTTTCATTTGTTTCTGTCAGGTACTTTGGTGCACTACCAATAGAGTGTCACCTTAATCTATCTTCAGGGCTAGAGATTTTCTAAGTAACCAAAGGGACTCAAAATTTGGTTGTAGTCCATGCTAACACTGATTTCTTTTTTATTTCCTCTTACTTCTCAGGAGCAAACATTTGTGGCTTCTGCCTAAGCAGGGGATTAATTAGCAGGGGACCCAAACTTAGCCAGCCCTGGACTCTGACATTTGACCCCCATTTTCATAAGGCTCTCAAAAGTGCAGCTCAGCCTCTGAACCGCTAATCCCATCTCAGACACCCTCATACCCTCCAAATGTATGGTTCATTGCTAGGATGTAAATGCTTCCCCTTGGCCAGGCGTGTGGCTCACGCTTGTAATTCCAGCACTTTGGGAGGCGGGTGAATCACTTGAGCCCTGGAGTTCAAGACCAGCGTGGGCAACATAGCAAAACTCCATCTCTACAAAAAATGCAAAAATTAACCAGACATGGTGGCGCATGCCTGTAGCCCAAACTACCTGGGATGCTGAGGCAAGAGAATCACTTGAGACCTAGAGGCAGAGGTTGCAGTGAGCCACGACTGAGCCACTGCACTCCAGCCTGGACAACAGAGGGAGACCCCGTCTCAAAGCAAAACAAAAACAAAAAACAAAACAAAATAAAAAAAGCTTTCTTTTCAAAATTCATGAGGGTTTCGGATTACAGCCATTACAAAACAGCCTTCATACAGCTTTTGGTAGCTTCTCCTTCTGCCTTCTACATGTGAGGACACAGTGCACCACCCCTCCAGAGGATATACAATTAGAGGATATAAAATTAGGCACCATTTTGGAAGCTGAGAGCACCCCTCACTAGACAACCCAAACTGCTTGTTTCTTGATCTTGGATTTCCCAGCTTCCAGAACTGTGAGAATATAAATTTCTGTTTTTTAAAAAGTACCCATTCTGTGGTATTCTGTTATAGTAGCAAAGAAGAGACAAAGAAAATTAGTACCAGAGAAGTGAGGCACCAACTCACTGGCAGCAAATGCCTAAAACTGTGAAAGTAGCTTTGGAACTGGGTAATGGGTAGAGCTGGAACAGTTTTGAAGTGAATGCCGTAAAAAGCCTAGAGTGCTATGAATGGAGCATCTAGGGCGACTGGGGAAGGCTCGGAAGAGGAGAGCTGCAGGGAAAGTCTGGAACTTCTGGAGATTACTCAAGTGGCTGTGTGCAGAATGTTGGTAGAAATAGGAACAGGGGGCTGGGCATGGTGGCTCACGCCTGTAATCCTGGCACTGTGGGAGGCCGAGGCGGGCGGATCACTTGAGGTCAGGAGTTCAAGATCAGCCTGGCCAACATGGTGAAGCTCCATGTCTACTAAAAATACAAAAAATTAGCTGGGCGTGGTGGTGGGCCTCTGTAGTCCCAGCTACTCAGGAGGCTGAGGTGGGAGAATCACTTGGACCCGGGAGGCGGAGGTTGCAGTAAGCCGAGATCGTGCCATTGCACTCCAGCCTGGGTGACAGAGCAAGACTCTGTCTCAAAAAGAAAAGAAAAAGAAAAAAAAAAAAAGAAATTTGAACAGGAAAGACCATCTTGAGGAGGTTTCTGATGAAAGTAAGAAACAAGGTATTGGACACTAGAGGAAAGGCCATCCTTGTTACAAAGTGACAAATAACTTGGTAGAATTATGTTGATGTCCCAGGAGTCTGTGGAAGGCAGAATTCAAGAGCAATGAACTAGGATATTTGGTGGAAGAAATCTCCAAGCAGCAAAATGTTGAAGGGGCTGTATGTGTTCTCTAAACTGCTTACAGTAGAGTGCAAAAAGAGAAAAAGGATTTAAAGATGGGATTGATAATTAAAAGGGAAGAAGATGTAAAGATCTAGAAAGCTGTCAGCCTGGCCATGTAAAGAATAAAAAAGCGTGGCCTGGCGACCTTTGCTAAGGAGATTAGTAGGGATAGAAGGAAGCCAGACACTATTCATCAAGATAATAGGAGAACAACCTTGAAGGCATTGTGGAGACCTAAAATGTCGCCTGCCCATCGTAGGCCTAGAGTGCCAGGCTCTTGAGGGCAGAAAGATTTCAAGGGAGGGGCCCAGGGCGCCTGTGGGACCTCAGGGCTCACGACCCAGGGGCACCTTGGGACCCCATGCTCCATGTTTCTACGCAGCACTCCTCAACTGACCCAGTTGTGTTCAAGTGGGTCCAGGTGTGGCTTGAGTCACCGCTCTCGAAGGCTGAGGCCATAACCCTTTGCAACATCCACGTGGCACTAACTCCACAAGTGCACAGATGCAAGAGCTGTGGAGGCATGATTTCTCCCACCAGATTTCAAAGGATGTCATGGACAGCCTTGGGCACCAAGCTGAAAGTTGCTGCAGGGTGGGCTCACTGCAGAGAATCTCCACTAGTGCAATGCTCAGTGGACGCAATGGAGGCAGGGCTGTTCCCAAGACCCCAGACATGTAGAGCTGCCAGTGTGCAAAGCCAGCCTGGGAGTCACAAGTACCCAACTCCAACTGCTGAGAGCTGCATTGTGGGCTGCTCCCAGCAAAACCTTGAGGCTAGGGTCCTGTGGAGCCTTGGAAGCCCTACAGCCATCCCACACTGTATCTAGAAGGCATGACATCGAGTCAGGGAGGATTGTTCTCAGGCCTCAAGATTTAATGTTGTGGCTGGGTGCGGTGGCTCACGCCTATAATCCCAGCACTTTGGGAGGCTGAGGCAGGTGGATCACCTGAAGTCAGGGGTTCAAGACCAGCCTGGCCAACATGGTGAAACCCTGTCTCTCCTAAAAATACAAAAAAAAATTTGCTAAGGTTAATTTGCTATTGAAGAAAAAAATTTAGAATACATTTAGTGTAGGCTAAGTGCACAGTGTTTCTAAAGTCTACAGTAGTAAACAGCAATGTCCTAGGCCTTCACATTCACTCACCATTCACTCACTGACTCACCCAGACTAACTTCTAATCCTGCATGCTCCATTCGTGGAAAGTGCAGTATGCAATGCACTATGTTTTAATCTCTTATCTCATATTTTTACCGTAACTTTTCTATGTTTAGTTGTTTAGATACACAAATATTTGCCATGGTGTTACAGTTGCCTGCAGTATGCAGTACAGTAGCACGTTGTGCAGGCTTGTAGCCTAGGAGCAGTCGGCCATACCACATGGCCTAGCTGTGTGGTAGGCTGTACTATCTAGGTCTGTGTAAGCACGCTCTATGATGTCCACTCAGTGGTGAAATGGCCTAACAGTGTGTTTCTCAGAACATATCCCCATCATTACATGACATGTGGTTGTGTTTTGTATGTGAGAAGGACACAAATTTTGGAGGGCCAAGGGCGGAATACCATGATTTGAATGTGTTCCCTCCAAAATTCAGGAGTTGCCAATGTGACAGTATTAAGAGGCAGGGCCTTTAAGAGGTGACAGACCATGAACGTTCTTGCTCATGAGATTAGTGCTCTTATAAAGAGGCTTCACACAGCATTCAGCTGCTTGCCTGTCAGCCTCCAATCTGTGAGGACACAATGCTCCTCCCCTCAAGAGGAGGCAACACTAAGGCGCCATCTTGGAAGCAGACAGCCGCCTTCACCAGACCACCAAACCTGCCAGCACCTTCATCTTGGGCTTCTCAGCTTCCCACACTGTAAGAAATAAATGCCTATTTTTTTAATAAATTGCACAGTCTCAGGTATTTTGTTATAGCACCACAAAATCATCTAAGATACTCAGTTCTCTGGATCTTGGCCTGGTAACATTTCAGTGTCATATTAACTCCTGGATGTTCGTAAGTTTTCTAAAAAAAAAAAAAAAAAAAAAAAAAATTTATGTTACTTAGTTGCTATCAGCTGGATTTCAATTTGTTTACTTCTCTTTCCTTACCAGATCTGAAGCTTATTAAGCTCAAGGACTGTGTGTGTGTTTTTTTTTTTTTGTTTTTTTTTTTTTTTTTTTTGAGACAGGGTCTCACTCTGTTGCCCAGGCTGGAGTGTAGTGGCATGATCATGGCTCACTGCAGCCTCAACCTCCTGTGCTCAAGTGATCCTCCCACCTCAGCCTCCCAAGTAGCTGGGACTACAGGTGCGCACCACTATACCTGGCTATTTTTGTATTTATTGTAGAGATGGGTGTCTCACCATGTTGCCCAAGCTGGTCTCAAACTCCTGGGCTCAAGTGATCCTCCCCACTCAGCCTCCCAAAGTGTTGGGATTCCAGGTGTGAGCCACTGAGCCTAGTCTATGTTCCTTTTTATATTCTCAGAACTGACGCCTTATTGTTAGTGCCTGATGTGCTTTTTAGGAACTCACTAAATATTAGTTGATGAATGCGTTCTTAGTAGGGAGTCATTCCACCTGATCTGGGGAAGATATTAGAAGAACACTCAACATTACACAATGTCAAAATCAAGTTTGTATAGTGCAGCAAAGGTAGAGTTTCAGAGGCATGGCCAGGGTCAAGAAGCAAAATAACTCCAAGAAACACCCATATAGGAAAAAACGAAAACAAATAACAAATGAAATGTTTGCAAATGAAAGCAAACAGACAGGAAGAAGGCATAGGCTGTAAGATAGTAAGGTAGGGATAACATTGGTTGTCCTTCAAATTTCAATGACAGGTTTTTGTTGCTTATGATTTTTAAAAATGCTATGTAATCATTGTTACAATATTGTTGCCTATGAGATAAATTAGACAGTTAAGAAAAATGCCTGTTGTTTCCAGGACACACATCATTCATCTGAGGATGCATATTAGACTTACTGGTGCCTGTATGGCATGAACTTTGGGAGTCAACTTGAAATTTTGTACCTGACTTGGCCTCTAAATAATTGTGAGCAGAGTTCTTAACTCTGTGAGCTTTACTTCCTCCCCTCCAAAGGGAGATGACGTAGCTTCTCTTCAGGGCTGTTGGTGAAGGTTCCATAAGGTGAGATACTGCCGGTCAGTGCCTGGCATGAGCAGGTGGTCAGCGCACATACAGCTTGTCCATTCTCATGATCCCGAGCCATAAGCTCAGCAATGAGCTGTGCCGGCTGCCACCACTCTTGGACAGTAGACAGCACAACATCTTCCAGACAAAGGTATGTAACATATTTATTGATTGACCTTCTGCTGGCAAGGATGAAAATAAAAAATAACACATTTATTGAATATTTATTTCTACTTGGGGATTAAAGAAAATAAAGGTGATAATTTCTCTGCTTCTGTTCCCAGGACCTGTGCACTTGGGGCCAGGGCTGTAGTCTTCAAACTGACTCCCACTTTCCTCATGCACTCCCAACCAGCCTCTCCATGAGTATCCACTCATTATTCGTTCATTATCTTAATTACTTATTAAATTTTAAGTTAATTATTTCATTCACTATTGATTAATTATTCCAAACACCCTGATGTCATTTTCTTCACTGGGCGAAGTGTTTCCTTATTGGTGCCTAGTGTCTTGAATAAGCTAATACATGTTTGCCTTACAGAAAATCACCTAACGTTTTTTTTTTCTTTTTCCTTTCTGAGACGTTGTCACACTCTGTCACCAGGCTGGCGTCCAGTGGTGCGATCTCAGCTCACTGCAACTTCCACCTCTTGGGTTCAAGTGATTGTCCTGCCTCAGCCTCCCTAGTAGCTGGGACTACAGGCATGCGCCACTACTCCCAGCTAATTTTTGTATTTTTAGTAGAGATGGGGTTTCACCACGTTGGCCAGGATGGTCTCGATCTCTTGATCTCACGATCCGGCCGCCTTGGTCTCCCAAAGTGCTAAGATTACAGGCATGAGTCACTGTGCCCGCCATGTTTTTCTTTTCTTTTCTTTTTTTTTTTTGAGATAGAGTCTCCCTCTGTTGCCAGGCTGGAGTGCAGTGGCTCGATCTCGGCTCACTGCAACCTCTGCCTCCCAGGTTCAAGCGATTCTCCTGCCTCAGCCTCCCGAGTAGCTGGGACTACAGGCATGTGCCACCATGCCCAGCTAATTTTTGTATTTTTAGTAGTGATGGGGTTTCACCATGCTGGCCAGGATGGTCTTGATCTCTTGACCTCATGATCTGCCCGCTTCAGCCCCTCAAAGTGCTGGGATTACAGGGGTGAGCCACCGTGCCCGACAGGGCCATGTTTTTCTTAATAAAAACAACTACCTCCCATCTCGTTGCAGAGAGAGGGCCTGTTCTCTTTCTTTGGTAAATGGAAGAGATTTGATCCACTCTGGTGATGGGGAATAGCTGTTTTAGTATATAAATAGCTTGCTGTGACTAAAGTGTCAGACTCTGGTGAGATTAAAGATACGGTCCCAGATGAATTGCAAATGGGTTATATTAGATTTTATGTCTGCTAATATCGTGGAATGATGCTGGTACAGGGTACTTAATGCCACAACCCCCTCCACCCTGCAGAGGCCCAAGCAGTTTCTCTCCAGGCACTTCCCTGAAGCCTGGAAACACCTCCCTTTCTTCTGCCTGCCTGCCCCCTTTCATCCAGAAAGCTTTTCGAGGCTTGGGCCCTTCACTGACGAAACTCTGAGAGCTCCCTTTGACCAAGATAACATCAAGAAGGAAGGAGAATTATCTAAGTAAGTTGGAAGGTAACTAGCCATAGAGTACTGTAACTGAAGTCCCTGTGGGATGCTAAAAACAAAAGAAGATCAAATTAAAGCTGATGAGCATTGTTGGCTCACAACATATTGATTGATATCCCAGATAGCAAAAGAATTAACAAAAGAACATTTGGAAATGTGTACTCAGATTTAATAAATGTCCAATACGAGGAAAACAAGATTTAAAAAAATTTTTTTTTTTTTGAGATGGAGTCTCACTCTCTTGCCCTGGCTGGAGTGCAGTGGCACCATCTCGGCTCACTGCAACCTCCGCCTCCCGGGTTCAAGTGATTCTCCTGCCTCAGCCTCCAGAGTAACTGGGACTACAGGCATGTGCTACCATGCCCGGCTAATTTTTGTATTTTTAGTAGAGACGGGGTTTCACCATGTTGGCCAGGCTGGTCTCAACCTACTGGGCCTCAAGTGATCCACCCACACTTTGGCCTCCCAAAGTGCTGGGAGTACAGGCGTGAGCCACCACGCCTGGCCTTAACATTTTTTTTCATGTCAAAGTTCAATGTTCAAAAGGCTAAAAACATGACTTACATACAAACACTAGTTGAGAGATTCAACAGGACATTAAAGCTGTTTCAAAGTAGAATTCAAGAATGTATTTAGTCAGGAAAGGCATGCTGAAATGACTTAGCTAAGAGTATTAGTTACTCGGGTTGCCATAACAAAGTACTGCAGTGAGTGATTTAAACAAGATAAATTTATTATCTCATAGTTCTAGAGGCTGGAAGTCTGAGATCATGGTGTTGGCAGAGTTGGTTCTTTCTGAAACTTCTTTCCTTGGCTTACAGATGTCTACCTTTTCCCTTTTTTATTGTTTTTGTTTTTATTTTGGGACAGGGTCTTGCCCTGTCACCCAGGCTAGAGTGCAGTGGCACAATCATAGCTCACTGCAGCCTCCACCTCCCGGGCTCAAGCAATCCTCCCACCTCAGTCTCTGGGGTAGCTGGGACTACAGGTGTATACCACCATGCCTGGGTAATTTTTTATTTTTAATTTTTTGTAAAGGCAGGGTCTCAGTATGGTGTCTCAACAGGTCTTGAACTCCTGGGCTCAAGCAATGCTCCCAAAGTGCTGGGATTACAGGCGTGAGCCACAGCACCTGGCCTCCCTTTTGTCTTCACGTGGTCTTCCCTCTGTGTGTGTCTGTGTCCTAGTCTCTTCTTATGAGGACAGCAGTCATATTGGATTAGGGCCCACCCTAATGACCCCATTTTAACTTAATCACCTCTTCAAAGGCCCTATTTCCAAATGCATTCTGAGGAAGTAAGGGTTAGGATTTCAACATATGAATTGTTTTTAGCAGGAGATGGTTACTGTCCAAAATTGATTAATGTCCTAAACAGGAAAAGAAAACTGTAAGCTTTAGGGTAACTTTCTTTACCAGAGAGAAATTGTTTTCTAATCTACTCTTGCAGTGAGCTGAGTCGCACAACAGCACTCCAAAAATGTAAAATTAAGTATGTAGGCTAGGCGCAGTGGCTCTCACCTGTAATCCCAGTACTTTGGGAGGCCAAGGCAGGCGGATCCCTTGAGGTCAGTAGTTCAAGACCAGCCTGACCAACATGGTGAAACCCTGTCTCTACTAAAAATAAAAAAATTAGCCAGGTGTGATGGTGGGCACCTGTAAGCCCAGCTTCTCAGGAGGCTGAGGCATGAGAATCTCTTGAACCCGGGAGGCAAAGGTTGCAGTGAGCCGAGATCTCACCACTGCCCTCCAGCCAGCGTGACAGAGTGCGAGACTCCATCTCAAAAAAAAAAAGAAAGAAAAAGATTCTGTCTTCTTTGACAATAGATCTAACTGAGGCTCAGCTTTCTTAGCTATTAACACTGTGCTGACTGAAAGTGATCTTTGTCTGACCTTAATGTTGGCTGGACACACTCCAGTGCTAAGTCATTTCCAGGTTCCCCAAATTATGTCAAATTCATAAGCTACTAGTGCTTTTCTCCATGGTATATAAAGGGAAAATATTCTATCGTCCATTTTTGGAAAACTTCAGTCATATCCTTCATGTTTCCCCTAATTGTAATAGCTTTATTATTATTATAAAGAAAATATATTTTGTTACTAAACAAACAGGAGATCTTATCCCTTTCCCCACTGTAAACAAGAGAGCAGTGGATAAAATTCTACAGAGTTCTCTGCACAAGTAGATGGTGATTTTCTTAGCAAAGTTTCCTTTTTTTTTTTTTGTTTTGAGACAGGGTCTCACTCTGTCGCACAAGCTAGAGTACAATGGTGTGATCTCAGCTCACTGCAACCTCCGCCTCTGGGGTTCAAGCAATTCTCCTGCTTCAGCCTCCCAATAGCTGTGAGTGCAGGCATGCGCCACCATGCCTGGCTAATTTTTGTATTTTTAGTAGAGACAGGGTTTCCCCATGTTGGCCAGGCTGGTCTTGAACTCCTGGCCTCAAGTGATCCACCTGCCTCGGCCTCCCACAGTGCTGGGATTACAGGCATGAGCCACTGCGCCCAGCCTTCTTAGCAAATTTTTCTAGAAATGAAATCACTGGTTAAAGCAGCATGTGTGTTTAAATTTTTAATAGATACTGTCAAGTTGCATTACAGAAAGGCTGTTTCTGTTTTTCCTGTCACACACAGTGTTTTCAAATACCTGCTTGTTTTCCCATAGACCAGTCAACACTAGTTGTTTGTGCTTTGTTTCTTAAACCAATTTTTAAAAAATTGTTGCTAATCTAATGAGTGAATTTTTATTTCGATTTCTTCGATTATTACTAAAATTGTTTATCTTTTCCATATGTTTTATACATTTTTAAATTTCTTTCGTGAATTCATTAATAATATTCTTTACCTTTCTTTTCTTGTTGGTTCACAAGAGCCCTTTCTTTTTTAAAATTTAGAGATGGTCTCTCCGTGTTGCCAAGGCTGGACTTGAACTCACAGGCTCAAGCAATCCACCGGTCTTGGCCTCCCAAGTGCTGGGATTACAGGCATGAACCATCACACCTGGCCCACAACAGCTCTTTCTGTAGTAAGGATTGTAATTTGGATATTAACAATTTCAATAGGATATTTTGCAAATATTTTCCCCTGCTTTTCCTTTGATCACTTGATTGTTTTATTTATTTATTTATTCATTCATTCATTCATTATTTGGGTGAATGTTTGCCATATACAAGTCTTACATGTTTTATGTAGTAATCTTTTAAAATACCATTTATGATCCTAATACAGGCTAAAATAATTGCATAGTTTAAAAAATAATTTCTTAAAAGATAGGGACTGATGGTACATCCTTATCTACATTCTGGAAGTTGGGTAATTATTAAACAGCAACAAATTTAGATTTGCAAAGAAAAATCAATTACATTGTAATAAGCAATGGTGAGCTAAGAAAAAAGAATGACCCTACCAGAGTAATTTCCAAGTAAGTATTTAGAAGAGAACTTAAAAAAATCTATGTGCTGCAGTGGGTGGTAGAAGCAACAGTTTTCATTCATTCTGGATTTTTCTGCGAGTGTAACTGATCTTTAAAAAGTTGAAGTCCCTGGAAAAAGAAAGGCTCTGGAAAGTAGGCTCACTTTGTTTAAAAATTCATGAAGCTCTTTGATAATACAGCATGGTTGGGGAAATGCCAGGAATTGAGATCTAGCCACAAGAACAAAGCTAAAGTATTTTATGTCATGAAATGAAATAAAAAATTTAAAAGGATAATTTCAGCAACTTTACGGCTATTTTCCAAGAGATCACTTACAACCACAGATCTGCAGCTGTGACCAGAAATTATCTGGGTTCCCCCCAGCATGGGATGAGAAGACAAAGACAATCCTGAGTTCATACAAATCCAAGTCTATAGCCAAGGATAATTTAAGAGGAACTCAAGTTGCTATAAAAGATTAGCAATCTGCCTTTAAAAGAGTGTGTCATGCAGTATGAGTTTGAAGTCTTAAAAAAAAATCAGCAGAACTGAAAACATAAAATATATTGTCACTGTTGTTGTCATATTCTCCAAAGCCAAGTGCAAATTCTGCAGGCATCTCAAATGTCAGGTGTTCAAACACAGCCTCTGCCTCCCTCCCAATCCTCCCCCTGAGGTCTTATTTTGTTCCAGTTTCACCTGCCCCCATATCCAAGCTAGAAAGCCTCCATTTCTGGGATTCCTCCCTCCTTTTCTCCTTGCCTTATGTCATTTCTTCCAAGGAACTTTCCCAACCCCTGGTAAAAGTCATTCCTTCAACTGTGCTTCTAAAAGGGAGGTGCTTTCAATGGGCGTGACTGAGCTTATCATGACCATTTTGTATTTCTCAGTCCATGTATATCCCTGGCACATAATGGGTGCTCGCAATGATTTCTCGGGTTGAAGTTAAATCCAGGAAGCCCAGTCACTCACATGATGCATTTCTGCAGCCAAAATTAGTCTGGCTGCTGTTTTATCATCGCTACTCCTTAATCCTTGCAGATTCCATTGCTGTAATTTTTATGATGACTCCACTTGGGACCAGGATTCACGGGGCTTTTTGCAGCTGTTGGTAACTGCCTACAAAATTCTAGACTGTATCCCCAGGCTTGAATTAGTCTCTGTAAATTAATAGGCCACTGTAATCACTTTTTATTACCAAAATCAAAGAGCCACCTTGGATGCAAGGCATATTGTACCCTTTGGAAAAAAATATTTCTGAAAGCCATTCTCATGCATCCGTAAGTGGCAAAATGAAAACGTATATTGCTTTTTAAAAGAGAGATTTCTCCTTTTTAGTCTATTTGCAGAAGTAGCTTTCACATTATTTCACAAAGTGCATTTCAAATGCTTCTGTGCTGCACCTACTGAAATCATGTCACTTGAGATAAGTTTGAAAATAATCTGCTTGGGCTAGGAGGCTATAGCTGTCTGTTAGCTCTCAAGAAAACGTGTCTCATTCAATGATCAGAGCCAAACAGTCAGGCTTGTGGTCAGGTGGATGGTAAGCTGATCTTACAGTCGTGGTTATGGAAAAAATGAACAGACAGGTGGTCATGACACATGACAGATCCACAGCCCAGTTCACATAGCTTCTGAGGGACAGGGACTTGATCCTAGCCACCATATTATTCCAGAATATTACCCACGAAAGGCCCTTGAAGCAGTTTAATGTTTTAGAACATTATGCAAAAATCCCCCTTCAAATAGAGGCTGTTCTGTGTGTGTTTCCCTGGGGATGGACTTGATTAGGCAATGGGAGACAAAGGAGTGTCCTGGTTTTGGGCACAGACAAAGTACTTGAGTAAAATAGCCAGAAGGAGAATAGGCTTTTATTGCCCCAAGGTTATGAGAAGCTCCAGCTCCAAGAGGCGTTGAGATGTCAAGGGTCTGGCAGTGGTGAGGAAGGATGTTAGGAAGATCCGCTGAAGGGCTGAGATGCTGCCCACACCCAGGAGCAGCCAGGGAGGACTCTACTCACTGCAACCTGTATTCCCAGTACCTCTCCAGCCCAGCCTGCCAACCACGTGGCCACAGGCTACCCGGTGCACCTTTAGGCATAGCTGAGTACCGAACCATCTTGCCTCATGTGTACATCCCTCTTATCTCCAGCCCCCTCCAGACAGGCCGCCAAATGCCTGTAAGCACAGGGGAAAGAAGCTGGGGCTTTGAAAATGAAAGTGCCCCATTTCCTGCCACCTTGTACTGTTAGCTCACTGGAAGAAGGGCCTGAATGCAGCCAGCCCGGGTCTCCACCCTCAGGTGGTCAGTTACTTTCTGCTGAAGAAATATTGGATGGAAGCAGAAGAGTGAAGGAGGGAAAGGAAGTCAGCTGGCCAGCCAGGTTGCAAATATTTAAGAGCGCCTGCTAGATCTTAAGTATTCTTCTAGATGCCGGGAATAGCACAGGGAGTTTCTGTCCTGGAAGAGAAGAGAGACAGGAAGGCCGGCAGGTAGGCAGGTAGGGTCAAGTGCGGGCTTCAAAATAACAAGCAATGGGTCTATCCAGGTGATAGAATACTACTCAGCCATGCAAAGGAATGGAGCGCTGACGCTCAGATTAACCTTAGAAACATTAAACCAAATGAAATAAGCCAGACATAAGAAGCCACATATTGTATGCTTCCTTGTATGTGATATATTCAGAAGAGATAAATCCATACAGACAGAAAGTAGGTGAATGGTTGTCAGAGGCTAGGGAAAGGGGGAATGGGAAGAAGCTACTTACTAAGTAAGTTTTACTTTGGAAAATGTTTTGGAACTAGATAGAGATGGTGGCTACGTAACATTGTGAATGCAATGTACTGAATATCACTGAATTGTACACGTTTTTTTTTCTTTTTTTTGAGATGGAGTCTCACTCTGTTGCCCAGGCTGGAGTGCAGTGGTGCAATCCTGGCTCATTGTAACCTCTGCCTCCTGGGTTCAAGCAATTCTCCTGCCTCAGTCTCCTGAGTAGCTGGGACTACAGGCACGTGCCACCTGGCCTGGCTAATTTTTGTATTTTTAGTGGAGACAAGTTTTCACCATGTTGGCCAGGCTGGTCTCGAACTCCTGACCTCAGGTAATTCACCCGCCTCAGCCTCCCAAAGTGCTGCGATTACAGGGGTGAGCCACTGCGCCCAGCAGAATTGTACACTTTTAAGGTGTACGATTTTAAGTGTACATTTTAAGTGGTTAAAATGGCACATTTTATTATTTTAATATAATACAAGTGCTCAAAGCTTGTATATATGGATTGAATCTTCAGCATTTAATGCAAACCATATAAAGCTTTGATGGGCAACTGCAAAAGTTTTATTTTGAATAAACAGAAACAGCTTCCTTCTCCAAAAAAAAAAAAAAAAATAATAAGTGCTGGTAAGTGCTGAACTAATGCTTGTTGCCCAGGGGGATGTTCTTAAACTGCTTCAGCCCCACCCCAAGAGCAGGTGGAGAAAGAGGGTTCTGTCCTCAACACTCCTTGAGATGCCCAGGAGAAGAGGCATAGAGATGTGAGGGGAGGTTCACATGGGTGATACGATGGGAACCAGGCAAAATCTGGTGGTCGAAACAGGTACACAGGCAACTGTGAGGTTGGGGAGCTGCAACATGGTTTTCAAAGTGTGCTCTTCATACCAGCAGCGTGACTATCACCAGGGACTTAAAAATGCACATTCTCAGGCATTTGAAATGCACGTTCTCGGCCGGGTGCGGTGGCTCATGCCTGTAATCCTAGCACTTTGGGAGGCTGAGGCGGGTGGATCACCTGAAGTCGAGAGAGTTCGAGATCAGCCTGACCAACGTAGAGAAACCCCATCTCTACTAAAAATACAAAAAAAATTAGCCAGGCGTGGTGGCACCTGCCTGTAATCCCAGCTACTTGGGAGGCTGAGGCAGGAGAATTGCTTGAACCTGGGAGGTGGTGATTGGGGTGACCCGAGATCACGCCATTGCACTCCAGCCTGGGCAACGAGAGCAAAACTCTGTCTCAAAAAAAAAAAAAAAAGAAAGAAAGAAAGAAAAGAAAAGAAAAAGAAAGAAATGCATATTCTCAGGCTGTATCTACTCCAGCTTGACTGGGACCCAACTACACCTGAGTTCAAAATTCTGGGGATTGCCTGGGTGTGGTGGCTCATGCCTGTAATCCCATAACTTTGGGAGGCCATGGTGGGCAGATCACCTGAGGTCAGGAGTTCAAGACCAGCCTGGCCAACATGGCGAAACCCCATCTCTACTAGAAATACAAAAAAATTAGCTGGGCATAGTGGCGCACGCCTGTAATCCCAGCTACTTGGGACAATTGGGAGGCTGAGGCAGGAGAATCACTTGAATCCAGGAGGTGGAGGTTGCAGTGAGCCAAGATAGCGACATTGCACTCCAGCCTCGGCATCACGAGTGAAACTCTGTCTCAAAATAAAAAAATAAAAATTCCGGGGTGTGGGGCCCAGCCCACTGTGTTTCAACAAACCCTTGCAGTGATTTTGATGCATGCTGAGGCTGGAGAAGTCCTGGGTGGGAGAATTCCTGGTGTGGGCTGGGGCTGGGGCTGGAAGCCTCGTTCCTGGGTCTGAGGTAGCTGTGTACACCTGGGGAAGGCCCTGCTGGACCGACTGACTCCCCGCATGGAGTGAGCCCTGCTCAGCCCACTGCCAGCATCAGGCACTCGGCTCCCCTCAGTAGCAGGCCACAGAGCCTCTCCCTCTCTCCCGAGTGGCCAGGGGCGCTCTGGTTTTCTCCCAGTTTCTCCTCCCACCTCCTCACCTCCTCACCTCCTTTTAATCCGAGGGAAAGGCTTCCTGTTCTTTTATTTATTTATTTATTTATTTATTTATTTATTTATTTATTTTTTTTTTTTAATTTTTTTTTTTTTATTATACTCTAAGTTTTAGGGTACATGTGCACATTGTGCAGGTTAGTTACATATGTATACATGTGCCATGCTGGTGCGCTGCACCCACTAACGTGTCATCTAGCATTAGGTATATCTCCCAATGCTATCCCTCCCCCCTCCCGTTTATTGCGGCACTATTCACAATAGCAAAGACTTGGAACCAACCCAAATGTCCAACAATGATAGACTGGATTAAGAAAATGTGGCACATATACACCATGGAATACTATGCAGCCATAAAAAATGATGAGTTCATGTCCTTTGTAGGGACATGGATGAAACTGTAAACCATCATTCTCAGTAAACTATCGCAAGAACAAAAAACCAAACACCGCATATTCTCACTCATAGGTGGGAATTGAACAATGAGATCACATGGACACAGGAAGGGGAATATCACACTCCTGTTCCCTTTTCTCGTTTCCCTTCATTTCCTTACTTCTGCATTATCCTCAGACCATGAAACTAGTGGCTTGAAGGGAAGCAGAAAGATTTGTGGTCCATCCTTCTTGAGATAATGATGAACAGCCTAGAGTACTACACTTCCTCCTCCAAAAAAATAATAATAACACTGGCCCTGGGGGTCCCACACCCACCACGCCTCATCTCCAGACTCTTTACTAATGAGCATCTCATCTTGCATCCTTTATTTATTTATTTATTTATATATTTATTTATTTTTGAGACAGAATCTCCCTCTCCCAGGCTGGAGTGCAGTCATGCAATCACCTCTCACCCAGTGGGCTCAAGCGATCCTCCCACCTCAGCCTCCTGAGTAGCTGGGACCACAAGTGTGTGCCACCATGCCCGGCTAATTATTGTTAATTTTTCTAGAGATGGGGCCTTGCTATATTGCCCAGGCTGGTCTCAGACGCCTGGGTTCAAGTGATCCTCCCACCTTGGCCTCCCAAAGTTCTAGGATTAGGCATGAGCCACCGCACCCAGCCTAACATTTTTTAAATGGAATTAAAAAAGGCACAGAGATGGTTGGGGGAGTTTAAAGTAAGTAATATGTAAGTTAAAATAAGCGTAAATAAATAAGTTTGCAAATAAACCTAGCTCTGAACTCATTTGACAAAGCTCCCTCAACAGCAACCCAATGAAAGCCAGCAATAAAGAAATGAATAACGTAAGTACCAAGGTTCTTTTTGGCCACTCAGACCTGCAGGAAAGGGGACTCAGAAGGTGCTACTTAAGGCCAGAGGCCTCTACTTGACCCTTGCTGTGTACTTTGGCAAAGGTGGGATAATGGAGCTCACCCCAGAATACAGTGGGCCCCGCCTCAAAGAGCGAAGACAGACATAACGTCCAAGTTCATCTGGGGCTTCACAGAGATGACAACTTTCAGGAAAGTAGATAGAGCAACATCCTTCAAGTTATAGGAACCACCAAAACATGTCATTTTAATCTGATTTGGGGGCATCTTTTATCACTGGGTGGAAGAGGAGGATGGGGAAGGAAGGCCTGGGGGCTCAGCTGGGCTTCATTCCCAGCACCCACTCGGCTTCACTCTGCCCCTGTGATGCAGAAGTGGGAGCCAAGGCCCACCTGGCCCTTATGAGGGAGGCAGATGTGTGCAAAAGCACAGACAGCCCCCCAACATCTGCATGGGGCCCCCAGGCCCTCCGATGGCTACCTGAGACACCATTTGCCCATCCAAGTGTCAGTTCCCTCGGACTGGGGTCCCAGCCTTCAGTGGCACTCGGTTCAGCCGTCTGGTTTTTATCATAAACGAGGAGGGGGAGTAGTGGGATGGGGAAATATTCTTTTATTTAAGCCACTATAAATTCAACCTCTTTCCCCTCATCTTTCTCAAATTCTTCTTATGATACAGATGTTTTCTGCATCATTATCTGCTCAAATCTTGCCTAGAACCTCCATGTGTAGGAACAGATGTTTTAATGACTTTGGCCTCAAAGAAGACAGGGCCAAAGCAAAATTCTTCATTTACTTTGTTTGCAGCAAAACCAACAGCACATTCACAATTTGGGGCACAGAAGTTATAAATTTTAATTTTGTGGTGTGCAACCAAGGGGAAAATGAGGCAGCCACTGATATTCTGTTCAGGTGATATTGACGCTAAGGCTGAGGCCTTCAAACAGGTGTGTTCCTCGTCGTTCAGTGGACATTGACTAAACACCTGCCATGTGCCAGGCACTGTGCACAGGGGTGCAGTGGTAAATTAGACTTGGGTCCTAGACTCCAGGGGCTGAAATGGGGGCCCATAGGTGAAGACGCAGTGAAATAACCACAAAGGGGAAACCCCCATCTCTCTCATATTTGCTCTTGGGTGCGTCCATGCATTATTCAATACTTATGGCCCCAGGCACTGTGTGACAGTCCAGCCAGGGTGGGGGAGACCAGTAGGCAAGAACAACGGGATGTGAGAGGCAGGGAACATGATAGGGGTACACACAGGGTACCCTGGGGGGATTTAATAGAGCAGTATTTTATTAGTCTTTTTTTTTTTTTTTTTTTTTGAGATGGAGTCTCGCTCTGTCGCCCAGGCTGGAGTGCAGTGGAGCAATCTCGGCTCACTGCAAGCTCTGCCTCCCAGGTTCACACCATTCTCCTGCCTCAGCCTTCCAAGTAGCTGGGACTACAGGCACCCGCCACCATGGCCAGCTAATTTTTTGTATTTTTTGTAGAGACAGGGTTTCACCGTATTAGCCAGGATGGTCTCGATCTCCTGACCTCGTCATCCGCCTGCCTCGGCCTCCCAGAGTGCTGGGATTACAGGCGTGAGCCACCGTGCCCGGCCCACCTGGCTAATTTTTGTATTCTTAGTAAAGACAGGGTTTTGCCATGTTGACCAGGCTGGTCTCAAACTCCTGACCTCAGGTGATCTGCCCGCCTGAGCCTCCCAAAGTGCTGGGATTATAGGCGTGAGCCACCATGTCCAACCCATTGTTTTATTAGGATTCAGACCACTTAGGGCTTAGCCTTTTGACAGAAAGGAAACTGATTAAATTGTTACCTCCCTTTTTCTCCCCTAAGGGAGTTCAATGTCTGCCTGCTCAGCTTCTACTCTGCTCTCCTCTCCTATATTTATTTATTAGAGTAAGGGCCTTGCTGTGTCGCCAAGGCTGGAGTGCAGTGGTGTGATCGCAGCTCACTGCAGCCTCTAACTCCTGGGCTCAATAGATCCTCCCACCTCAGCCTCCCAAGTAGCTGGGACTACAGATACGCACCACCACACCCAGCTAATTTTTTTTTCTATTTTTCGTAGAGACAGGGTCTCACTATGTTGCCCAAGCTGGTCGCAGGCTCTCAAAGTGTTGGGATTATAGGTTTGAGCCACCATCTCTGACCTCTCCTCTACTTTAAATAAAGAGCTGCCTTTTTCACCCAGTTTGTGGACTTTTTGTGACACAGAATGGGAGGAAAGATAAAGATGAGGGGACGGGAGAGGTGAATGGAAGTGGAGAAGGACTGGGTGACCATCTGAGTGATAGCAGAAGCACTAAATAAATAAATAAATAAAATAAGAAGAAGCCAGAAAAAGGCTAAGTAGAGTTTCTCAGTGCAGAG
Organism: Homo sapiens; assembly: GCF_000001405.40. Taxonomy (NCBI): domain Eukaryota; kingdom Metazoa; phylum Chordata; class Mammalia; order Primates; family Hominidae; genus Homo; species Homo sapiens. Next base: position 101,508,547 of record NC_000002.12, read on the forward strand.
AGTGTGGGAGGATGTAGAGACATGAGAAAATATTGCCCCACTGGCTGTTGGATTGATGGAAGCATGGTCTCACAGTGAGAACCCCAGAGCGGTCTCAGAGGAGAGAGAATCAGAAAGAAAAGGAAAAGGCATTTGAAGAGAGGCTGGGTCAGTGGTTTTCAAGGTGTGTTGAAGATTGTGTGTCCCTGGGACCCTTCAGGGCACCTGCATGCCTGCAAGTATTTTCACCATGACAGGAAGCTATTATCTGCCTTTTTTACTCCCTCCCTCATACTCGCACAGTGGAGTGTACTAGAAACCATCCGATGTGTGATATTGCCACTGGCGGAGTACAGAAGCAGCTCGGAGAACCCAGCTGTCTTCTATTAAGCCAGACATTAAAAAGATTTGCAAAAATGTAAAACAAGTCTACTCTTCCTGTTAAAGTTTTTTTAATACAGCCTTTTTTCAATAAAAAGTGTCACTTATCTTAACCAATGGATTTATTGTTTTTAAAGTGAATTAATAAAGATAATTTTTAAATTCTCAGCTCTAATTTCTAACAGAGTATATTAGTCTGTTTTCACGCTGCTTTATCAAGACATACCAGAGACTAGTTAATTTATAAAGAAAAAGAGGTTTAATGGGCTCACAGTTCCACGTGGTAGAGGAGGTCTCACAATCGTGGTAGAAGGAAGGGACGTCTCACATGGCGGCAGGCAAGAGAGAAAGGGGAAAGCCCTTATAAAACATCAGATCTCATGAGACTTATCACTACCTCAAGAACAGTATGGGGGAAACTGCCCCTATGATTCATTTATCTCCCACTGGATCCCTCCCATAATTCCAACACGTGGAAATTACGGGAGCTACAATTCAAGATGAGATTTAGGTGGGGACACAGCCAAACCATATCATAAAGTAAATAGCATTAGATGGAGGGCACATACACAAAAACTCTCGAGTTCCTCAATTTTATTTTATTTTATTTTTGGGAGTCTAGTCTTATTTATTGGTTACTTAAAAGAATCCTAATTTTGGCTGGACTCAGAAGTTGAATCTCACAGAGAGGACAGTGTGCATCTCTTGGCAATCTGTTCCTGGAGTTTGTCTTTGGCCTCCTTCATTCTCTTGGCCAAAAGTTCAGCGTATTTTGCAGCCTCTTCCTCATTTTTCTTAGTACACTGTTTCTTCAGAGCAATACGCCAGCATTTGTGTTGCAAGACACATGGAGTAACAAGAAGCTGAATCTTGGGTGCTTTGGTCCCAGGTTTTTTGCCTTCTTTAAGGGCTTTCTTAACAACAGATTGGTGGACACTATCTTCTTTAGAGAAACTGAAAAGTTTGTGGATTCTGCTAGCTCTTTTGGGCCCCAGGCGATGATGCTCCACAGTATCAGTCAGTCCAGGAATATCCTTCTATCCTCTTTTTTTTTTTCATAATAACGAAGTTTAGAAAGCTTGGATTGGCATCCACAATGCAACTGCAAACAGCTTCGTGCTTCTTGCCCCAGTTCTCCTTGCTCTGTAACAGGAATGCCCCTTGCTCAGTAGTACACAGACCCAGCCATGAGTCAAACACCCTGCTTCATGGGAAAGCTTGTTTGTCGTTCCTGTCGCTGATTCCCATCACAGAACCTTTCCATTCTTCACTCAGAGTGTCAGCAACAACTTCTGTGGCTGTATACTTCTCATAAAAAAATACAAAGTTTGCATTCCTCATCCACTTCAAGGAGCTTCTGGCAGCCGACAGCTAGAAAGGAGACATTCAGCTTCATCTTGAAGTGGCTGATTGCCTCTGAGGTGCCTCTAAAAAGAGCCCTCAATAATTTTAAAGAGTGAGACCAAAACGTTTGAGAATTGTTGGTGTAGGTTATAAAATTGGACTCCTTTTTTGTGCTTTTTGAGGGATTCATATAAAAGCTGGGCCATGTGGGCTCTTCATTCTTTGGGATCAGCCATAAGAACCCAAAAGGGGAAAAACAGACACAAATGTTATCCATTATTATTATTGTTATATGGACAGTAATCACAAAAAGACTGAATACACAACATACTCAGGATTATTTGGAAAACCAGGCATTGCCCAAAGATTTCATTGACAGTTTGCATCTTTGTATGTTACTGGAACACGTTGGTACAGTTGTCACTGGGAGATACAGCACTTAACTTTTAACAAAGGGTCTCTCAAACTAGGAGTCCAGGGATATATCTCAGGGGTCACCAGTTTCACAGATTTGAGACACACATCTATAAACTAAATGGAAAATGCCTTCAAACTACATATAACTGACAAACCACAACTCTGCCTTGAAGCTGAATTGTGACAGAAATACCAATAAATGTGGCCACTGTATCTCTGAATACAAATGTGCTGTGGCCCTGTGCTGTGTGAGGGGTGGCGAGCTTGCCCCAGGCCCTCTGACACTCTGGAGCTTGCTCCATGGTCCCTGAAGCAAGTGGGAAAATGACCCTTGATTGTCCAGTGTGATTAGTTAATTAGAAGAAACACAGTGTATTAGCCTGTCCTCACACTGCTATAAAGAAATTCCTGAGACTGGGTAATTTACAAAGGAAAGAGGTTTAATTGACTCACAGATCCACGTGGCTTGGGAGGCCTCAGGAAACTTACAACCATGGCGGAAGGCGAAGCAAGGACCTTCTTCACATGGTGGCAGGAGAAAGAGAGAGTGAAAAGCCCAGGAAAAACCACCATTTATACAACCATCATATGTCGTGAGAACTCCCTCACTATAACGAGAACAGCCAGGGGGAAACTGCCCCCATGATCCAATCACCTCCCACCAGGTCTCTCCCTCAACACCTGGGGATTACATTTCAAGATGAGATTTGGGTGGGGACACAAAGCCTAACCATATCACACAGCAAGGAAGAATGTGCTCAGAATGGGAAACCCAAAGTGTGATATTGCCACTGGCAGAGTACAGAAGCAGCTCTGAGAACCCGGCTGTCTTGGAGACCTGTGAGATCTCCAAGGTCCTTTCCAGCTATGCAAGTCTAAAATAGTACATCTGCATTGGATAAAGAAAATGTGTTGTATACACCATGGAATACTACTCAGCCATACAAAAAAAAAACAATGAAATCATGTTCTTTGCAGCAACATGGATGCAGCTGGAGGCTATTACCCTAAGTGAATTAATACAGGAACAGAAAACCAAATAGCACATGTTCTCATTTATAAGTCACTGGGGACTACAGAGGGAGGAGGGATGGAGAGGAGTGAAAGTTGAAAAATTAGCTATCGGGTACTATGCTCACTACCTGGGTGATGGGATCAATCATGCCCCAAACATCAGCATCATGCAATATACCCATGTAACAATCCTGCATGTGTACCCCCTTAATCTAAAATAAAAGTTGAAATTTTTTAAAAAAAGCTCCTCTAAAAAATAAAATAAAAATAACACCTCCTTCAAAAGGTCTGAAATCACATGCCAGCCCAGAGGTAGATGACGGTGCTATGGACTGGATGCTTGTGTCCCCTCCAAATTCATAATCTTGAGGCTGGTGTCCTTATAAGAAGAGGAAGAGACCAGAGTGCACTCTTTCTCTGTCATGTAGAACATAGTGAGAAGACGGCCATCTGCAAGCCAGGAAGAGAGGCTTCACCAGCAACCCAATCAGCCAGCACTTTAATCTTGGACTTCCAGCCTCCAGAACTGTGAGAAATAAATTTCTGTTGTTTAAGCCACACAGTCTATAGTATTTGTTATAGCATCCTGAGCAGACTAAGACAGATGACAATCTCCATGGCCCCATTTTGGTTGAAGTAGTATTCAATCAATTAGGTGTTCATTTTAGACAAAACTTTGCAGCCTCTTGCTAGTGATTCCTAGTGGATTCTAGCTGGTTGTCTTACTAAGAATTTTATCAGAAAACCTATAGAAGACTTGGCACAACTCTGCCCCACATACGTGCAGCCTTAATTTAATGAAGGGCCACCTAATAAAGGAAGGGCTGGGAGTCAAAGGGCCTCGGATTAGGTTTCTGCTCTGCTACAAAATAGCTGCCTGGGCTAGAAGGTTCTTCCTCTCTTTGGGTTCCAGGAGCTTACCAAGGGCAGAGCAAAGGGAGCAGCCCTCAGCTGTAGGGAGTTGGGGCCACTGTCCATAAAGAATTTTAGAGTAATAATAAAACTGACTAAAAGTCCACTTTTAATTATCACTGTGCTTTGGCAATTCTAAACAAAGTCTGTGATAAAATTTTCCTCCCTATAAAAACATCTTTTTATTTTAAGTTCTATACAACGGCAATAGTTCATGTAGATTTTTAATCTATTTGCATTAACCTTAACATATTCATATTACTTCTCCATTGTATTCGTTTTCCGTGTCTGCATAACCCACTGCCACAAACTTAGTGGCTTAAAACAAACCCACCTGTTGCTTACAGGTCTGTGGGTCAGAAGTCTAGTGCAGTGTGGCACAGTGGGCTTTCTGCTCTGGGACACAGTGCTGAGGTTATGTGGTCAGCCAGGCTGAGTCCTCACCTGGAGGTTCTGGGGGAAAATTCACTTCCCAGCTCATCCTCGTTACTGGCAGAATTCAGATCCTTGCTGTTGTCTTAGTTCTGAAGTTCCCATTTCCTTGCTGGCTGTCTCCTGGCTGGGGCTACTGTTGGCTCCCAAGGCCACCCACATTCCTTGCCTCGTGACCCCTCCATCCTTGAGCCAGCCACATGTGTCAAGTAGTTCTCATGCTTCAGAGCTCTGATTTCCCATGTATCTGGTCTCTGCACCAGATCAGGAAGGCTTGTGGGATTTGGCCAAGCCCACCTGGATAATCTTCCTAAAACATCAACTGATTTCGGACCTTAATTACATCTGCAAAGTCCTTCAGAGCAGTCCCTATATTAATGTTTGATTCGATGATGGAGAAGATGCTTGTAGACCAGGAGCTGGAAATCTTGGGGACTGCCTTAGAATTCTGCCTGCCGCAATTCTTCATAGATGTTGTACACTACATGGAAGTTAATTCAGACAACTTGCAATTGTACAGTTGGCCCTGGATTAGCACGGACTCAGCTACATCTGTTCCTTAGGAGAGTAAGTTTGCTTTGCGTTCCTTTTGAGAAAGTTCACTGTGAGATCGTGTCTCATCTTCTGTGGAACTACATATTCCTGCATTTGAGTAGTAGGTTTGAAATGAACACTGATGATAGAGTGACTTTAAAGATAAAGAAACAGAATTTGAGTTACTGCAATTGTGCCTTTCTATGGAATCACTTGGAGTTTTGACTTACGTTTAAAATTTAAACTTTGCACGTAACAGAGATAGTATACTTTCTGTGAAACACAAAGCAACCTGAAAGTACAATATCTCTGTTATGTGCAAATTCTTCATATGTGAAATACATTATTAAATTTGAAAAATATTTGAAAATGTGAATATTTAAAATTTAAATGCGTTTTTTCTATTCATCTTGATTTTGTTCAATTGCTGTTCAACTATAATATTGTTCATGGCCATGAAAGACCAGTTTTGTTTTGTTTTTGTTTTTGTTTTGTTTTGCTTGAGACAGAGTTTCACTCTTTTTTCCCAGGCTGGAGTACAATGGTGTGATCTCGGCTCACTGCAACCTCTGCCCCCTGGTTCAAGCAATTTTCCTCTCTCAGCCTCCCGAGTAGCTGGGATTACAGGCATGCGCTACCACACCCAGCTAATTTTTGTATTTTTGTAGAGATGGGGGTTTCACTGTGTTGGCCAGACTGGTCTAGAACTCCTGACCTCAGGTGATCCACCCGCCTCTGCTTCCCAAAGTGCTGGGATTACAGGCATGAGCCACCGTGCCTGGCCGAAAGACCAGTTTTTAGGTACATAGTTGTCCTCATTATATATTTAAAAAATTAATGTAATTAAAAAGCTTGAATCCATTGCATCTTTCCTTTGTTGTAGTGGGTATTTATTTTATATTTTAAGTTTTACTCTCATGATTATATATACAAAGTTCAATAAAAGGGAACTTTAACTGCATTAGTCTGGCCATTATTATTAGTCATTGCATTTCTGATATGGTTTCGCTCTGTGTCCCCACCCAAATCTCATCTTAAACTGTACTCCCGTAACTCCCATGTGTTGTGTGAGGGACCAGGTGGGAGATAATTGAATCATGGAGGTGGTTTCCCCCATACTGTTCTCATGGTAGTGAATAAGTCTCACGAGATCTGATGGTTTGATAAGGGGAAACCCATTTCATGTGGCTCTCATTTTCTCTCTTGCCACTGCCATATGAGATGTGCCTTTCATTTTCCACCATGATCGTGAGGAACTGTAAGTCCAATAAACCTCTTTCTTTTGTAAATTGCCTAGTCTCAGGTATGTCTTTATCAGCAGTGTGAAAATGGACGAATACAATGATTATTACTAAAAACATTTTGTTGTAAATGGGGTATGTGTGATAAAAAGGAACCCACTCTGAGCGTGAAGTACATTGGGCACCCACTGCAGATGCTCAGACATGCCTCATGGATATCAGCAGAGGAAATGCTTCCTGGCTGCCTGCTACCTTCAGGGGACTGTGCTGAGTGACTTGCAGACATTGTCTCATCTAATCCTCAGAAAAACATCATTTTAGAAATGAGAAAACAGCTAAGAGAGCCATTCACTTGCAAGAGGAGAAGCTGAGACTTGAACCCATGCTAAGACCGTTCATTCACTGTCATCTCTCAGAAAGGCCTTGGTTTGTTGAAAGTGATGCGTTTTGATCCTGCCTGCCCAGAGCAGGCAAGGGCAAGATTCCTGGATGCAACTTCTCTGCTGAAGAGAACATTATCGGCTCCTGAGCTCGGACTGAGACACGCATGCTGACTCTCCCCACTGGCTCCCCTTGGATGCCTTCCTCCGGCCCCATCTGTACCCCTGCAAAGGCAAGACTTGCTTGGGAGGTTTTTGAATGTGCCTGCCTGCATGTTAGTATCAGAGCTCTTTCAGAGCTGGGACTGTGTGTGGTTAAAATGTATAACCCAGCAACTCTCAGGGTCCTTGGTACATAATATGGGCTTGAGAAATGTTTGTGGAACTTACCTGACTGGCTGAGTAAAAATTACAGGCTTAAGTGAGTGTTTGAGAATTCTCTGGGAATTTTGCTTAATAACATGACTCTCATCTCCCATGAATGATGATCGATTCCTTCCTCTGGCAGGAAGTAGTGGTTGGTTACTGCAGCCAGAGAGATTTTTTTTTCCCCCTGCAACCCGTGGGTGGATTAAAATGGAAGGAGCGAGCCAAGCTGAGCCAGGAAGGACAGCCAAGGTCAGCAGGGCTGATGGATCCCCGCACGCTGTCAGTAAGAGGAGAGGCTGTAGTCACTAAACCATCCACAACTATCCCGGTTCTTTTCTCCTTCTGGTTCATGGTAAAATTTTAATTCTCTGCATCCACTGAAATTAGCCCTGGCCACATGACTTGCTGTGGCCCTGAAATGTGAGCTCTGGGGGCTTGTGCGCAATTTGCCGCATTGCCTTCTTCTCGTGCCACAGTGATCAGGGACTCGGGTGTGGAGAAATCTTCATCAACCTGGGTCCTTAAGTGTTTGTAGAAATCCCCTGCCAACCCATGTTAGACATGTAGGACCAGCAAGAAATAAGCTTGACGCCATCCTCATATGATTGACAAGCATTTTGGATAGAAATATAATTATAATTAAGCATTAATCAGGATGCACTATTTTTTTTTCTGAGATAGGGTCTTGCTCTATTGCCCAGGCTGGAGTACAGTGATGTAATCATCACTCACTGCAGCCTCAACCTCCTGGGCTCATGTGATCCTTCTACTTCAGCCTCCCAAGAAACTAGGACCACAGGCAAATGCCACCACACTTGGCTAATTTTTTTTAAATTATTTTTTGTAGAGACAGGGTCTCACTATGTTGCCCAAGCTGGCCTCAAACTCCTGGGCTAAAGTGATCCACCCTCCTCAGCCTCTCAACATGCTGGGATTACAGGCGTGAGCCACTTCACCCAGTATCAGGCTGTCCTTTGACCCACTTCCTTATAAGGGAAAGTCACGCAGCAATGGATAGCGACCACTCACATCCCCGTTTTTCCTATACATAGGATCTCTGGTGTTAGAGTCAGAGGCTTTTGTTTAAGAATTCCTGAAGATGTTTTCCGATCCCAAATTTCAGTGGAACAACTGACACCAACCAGTCTGAAGACCCCCACAGAGAAGCAAAATCATCATGAGAATACAGCTTCTTCCTCTCCCTGTCCCATGACTTCACCTTGCACTTTTCTACCAATCAACTCTCTCCACACTTCAGCCCACTCTGAAACCCTTAAAAACACTAACTCCTCAGGGACATAGATTTGAGGGTTTCTCCCATCTCCTCATTCATCAGCCCTATAATTAAACCTCTTTCTCTGCTATGACCCAATGTCTTGGGGTATTGACTTGCTGCACACATGAGGCAATGGACCTGTGATGGTTACAAACTTATTGTATGAGGTCACTAACATTTGGGGGATGCTTGTTATTGCAGCAGCACCTAGCCTCTCCTGACTAGCTCAGAGGACCTGAGGCAGACATGAGGAGGCTGAGGAGGACATCAAGAAACTGAAGAGTTAAGGAAAAGAGAAACAGGAAATGTGGATTAGGGGGTCAGTGTGGACCCTGGAGCTGGGGTAGTTGCCTGTGGCTGGGCTGTCTACACTCTGTGCAGCAGGCTGGCTTCCTCTGAGGCTCCAGAAGGGGGAAGTAAGCACAGGCCATGAAGTGATGCCTTCCATGTGCGAAGGATGATTTTGTAGCATGTGCTGACTGTGGGTCACCACTGACTGGGGAAGAGGTGGAGGAAAAGGGTTGGGGAGAACGTGTATCATGCACCGAGCAGTATGATCCCAGAACGTTCTAATGCTCCTCAAGAACAAATGAGTCGGGCATCAACGAAGGAGGCCAACCTCAGACTTCCTGTGTGGGGAGCAGTGCTGAGCTGGCAGTGAGTTATCCGTTTATCCCTTGTGCACGGTGGCTAATGTACTTACTCTGCAGCCACTCCTACAATAGAAGACTTCCTCTAGGATGTTGGTCATTTGTTACTCATACATTCATTCTGCAAATATTTGAGCTCCTAGGCACTGAGCCTACCACAGTGAGTAGACAGGTTTCATGGACTTTATGGTCTGCATATGGCCAAATAATTAATAGCAATTTTCAATATGGATTGCTAAGTACTCTGACAGAGGTAAGTATAGGTTGCCTGGGAGAAGAGCATAGAAACTAGTCCAGAGGTCTACAAAGAATGAGGCTGTGAGTAACTGAATTGGGAGTTAAGTACATGCTTCTGCATAGCAAAAGCCCCCCACAATTACAGGTAAATAAATGCTACCCTTCCCAGCAAGGGCCAGGAAGTGCAGGAAAATATCAAGTTGCCTGAGGATCTGAATGCAATAGAAAAAGTTCTGAAAGTCAAAGGTCTTGCAATAGAACATTCAAGAGGTGAAGCCTTATGATTCATCAACTTGGGTTCACTCAGTGGTCAAACCAAAAAAAAAAAAAAAAAAAAAAGACAACTGAGGGAACCCAGGTGTCTGGAATGAATTAACTCTTTTTTTCCTCCTTTTTTTTTTCTTTTCTTTCTTTTTTTTTTTTTAAATGATGAAGGCTGCCAGAAACTCAAGGGACCTGAGGATATTAGAGAATTAGAATTTCACAATGATAATGGGACTGTGTCCATCTATAGTTAACTCTTCCCACTCCACAGAGTCCCAGCACATCATTCTTATCCCACTCCCTCCACTGACCAAATCTCATCCTTTAAGACCCAGTTTAAAATCCACCTCCTGGAATTAATTATACCAAGCCAACTCTAAACAGTGGTCACCTGTCGGGAATGGAAGTGCATAGGGGAATGAGGGAACTATTCATTTTTTACTTTTATCAATTTTTATAAGTATGTGTCATTTTGTTTAAATAAAGCCAAAATTAAGCTTATGAGGAAAAAGAAAATTCCACCTCCTCCACGGATACTTCTCTGCTTCTCTGTTGTACAGTGGCCCCACGCTCATCTCATTGCCATCTACCATTTACTGGTTTTTCACAACTAAGTCCTTTCCTCTACTTTGGACTCAGCCCCAGCTAGAGCCACCTGTAGAATGCACACAGCGTTGCTCGTATACAGGGGACTAAATGCATGGTTGGCGAAGGAATAAAAGCCTGTATCGTTGGCACCTCAGCTTACGGAAGTTGTGGGGAGTTTTCTGTGCTAGAAAGTCGTGCCTTTCACTGAGCCCCCAGCTTTAAGCAGTTTCATAAGTAGATGTTAACAACTGTGTTCCAGTCCCTGCTGGTTCCCACACACCCACGCCAGAAAGAGGCTGGCCAGATCATCTCCCCAGGAAACGTGGAATGATAGTACACGGGAGCTGCTGGGAGCTGGGGAAACTGCAACTCTTCCTCCTGTGAGGAAACAGGACCCTAAGTCGGCGTCCTGTGTCTAGAGAGCTTGCCCCAAATGTGCTCACCTGGAAAAATGGCTCCCCTCCCTCCCCTCCCTCCCCTCCCTCCCCTCCCTGGGCGCAGGGCATTTTTCCCACGTGGATCCACTAGATGGCCTGCAACGAACACGGTGACTTTGAGGAGGCCTGTGTTGGAAAAGGAAATACTTCCTTGCTTATCTGTTTGTTTGCTTTGTCATTCACCATTTGTCCTCATAAATCCTTTCAAGTGTAACTGATATTAAAAACCAATAACTTGCACATTCAAGAACAGGAAAAGGGCTGTGTCAGAATTGAATCTGTGGGTCTTCAGGCAGAGATTTCTGATAGTTGGCAAAATAATCAGAAATTGTTTTGCCAAATTGATTTCTGAGTGTTAGCATTTTGTTCATTACAACATAAACAACTCTGCATAGAAAGAAATGAATAAATAATTCTAGGGGCTTAATAAGTATCTTTTAAACTACTTCGAATAAAGAGAAATGACAAGACCTAGTACTGGTAAGTATGAGATAGAGCAGGCTCATATGCACATCACTGGTGCCCTACACATCACTGTGGTTTTTGCAAAGTAACATGGCCTTTGCTATAAGAGCAGTGAGATGGCTGGGAGTGGTGGCTCACACCTGTAATCCCAACATTTTGGGAGGCTGAGGCAGGTGGATCACTTGAGCTCAGGAATTAGAGACCAGCCTGGCCAACATGGCAAAACCCCGTCTCTACAAAAAAAATTTAAAAATTAGCCGAGTGTGGTGGTATTCACCTGTAGTCAGGAGGCTGAGGTGGGAGGATCGCTTGAACCTGGGAGGTGGAGGTTGCAGTGAGCTGAGATCATGCCACTGCACTCCAGCCTGGACAACAGAGCCAGACCCTGTGTCAAAAAAAAAAAAAAAAAAAAAAAGCCGTGAGATAACTCATACTCTTTAACCAGGAAACTTTCAGGAAATATCTAGAAGTTAGAGAAAAACAATCAGTATTAAAATGTGCAGATTGCTGCTATTTGTAGTAAGAAAAGCTTGGAAATAATTTGCAGAACAACAACAGGGGAATGACTTAGTCAACCGCAGTATATCCATATAATAGGTGAAATTAAAAAGGATGGTAAGTGTGAGCTCAGCCTGTACCTGTGCATGTAAAGCCATGTTTTTTTTTTAAAGGTCCAGGCTTATTATTTATTTAAAGCACAGGCCTGGCATGACTGCTCATGCCTGTAATCCCAGCACTTTGGGAGGCCCAGGTGGGCAGATCACTTGAGTCTCAGGAGTCTGAGACCAGCCTGGGCAACATGGTGAAACCCCTATCTCTACCAAAAAAAAGAAAAAAAATTACAGCACAGTTCAAAGTCACTAAATCATTAAATCTAGTACAAAAGAAATGGCTCCCATTTCCTGGATTGGCATCAGACATCCTACCAGCTGCAATTGCATCATTTTTACCTATCATCTGCTTTTCCTTTTGCGGGGGGGTAGGGTTGGGCTCTTATAAACGGGTCAAAGAGACTTCAACCTCAAAACCAAGGAGAAATCCCTGCTTGCAGAGAAACACAGGAAATGACTCTTTCTCTGTGAAAGGCAGTCAGGAACTCTGCTCCGGTGATGAGGGCTAACTGATGGTGTGGGAGAGTGATCAGGAAGAGAATCTTCCTGGAGGTGGCACAAAGTCAGCAAGAGCCCAGGAAATCACACTCCTGGGATGGCTGCTGTCACCACCATCACCCTCTCTTCTGTCTCCCCTCGGTGCCATCAAATTGAGTGAGGAACAAGGGAAAGTAACTACATGAAGAAAACCAAAGTGAACATGAATGTGGGTGATGTGAATATAAAAGGAGAAACTAAAAATGATCAAAAGTTTCTCCCGCCCTGTGGTGGAAATCTCTGATCCATGTCTTCATGTGTCTAACTTCCAAGGAGGGGGCTAACAGCACAGACATGGAACAAAAGGCCCATGTTGGCTCAGAGATCTAAACGGTGGGCCCCTCTGAGATGGTAACTGCAACCAAGGTGTCTGTGATGTCCTTGGTTACTCCACCTCCTGACCAGGGGTCTAGTTTGCCATTGCTGAAAATGATGTCCATGTGCGAACTCATGTTTTTGCCTCCACACACCGTAGTGATCCAGGAGGGCCTCTGTCTCACACCCCACTGTTTAAAACAGTTATCAGAAAACTCCTTCAAGTTCCACGAGTGAAGTTCAGACAAAAAACGCTATAAAAAGTTAGATGCATAAGGATAGCTCACCACTGCACGTCACCCAGTCTTCAGAGGTCTAGTCTTTCAAATGTCGAATGTCAGGAAGCCATTGCAAACTACCGTCCATATTTGAGAGTCGATTAATGGCATCTCAGGACCTACGGAGGTTCTCTGAACAATATGGACCACCTTTCTTAAAATCTGTAGTTACGATCTTCATAAATACACCACAAGGTACCAAATCCTTAAACTGCCAGATAAGGGCAGAAGTTGCAAGAGCTCCAACTACCATATGAGGGTATTTCATTCTGAACTAGGCTGCAAGCATGCCACCATAGGGGCCCTAGAGGGCCGTGACAGGGTGATTTTCAGCTCCTAGGACTGTTCTTTTCAAGTGTTTGATTAGCTCTGCAAAATCAGCCAGACCTTGCTCTGATGTCAGGAGATCCAAGTGTCCAGAATCCTTGAATGGGTCATCACAGGGCAGGGACTCTCCGCAGTATCGCTGTTCCGCATACACCAACATAGCTTTCAGTTCCTCAGCCCCATCCCACATGAACCACGTATTACTGCAGAACCAGATGATGTCCCCGTCATATTTCTTTCAGTATTTATTTGCTATTAGATACTGCTGTTAAACAGTTTTCACAGTATGAAATCCAAAATGATCAACCCTCTGTTGGAAGTGGAGAACCGAGTTGTTCTTGGCAACAGCCGGGTGGGACGTGGAGTTGGCTGGCGAGTGCAGGCTGCCGAGAGCCCTTAAGGCTGGCTGGAGGGCTGTGGTGGTCCAGGGCACCAGGAAAGCCAGGAGCAGGAGCAGGAGCAGGAGGCCCATGGCTCAGGCTGGTGGCTCTGGTGCAGGTCTAAAGCCATGTTAAATCAATGTTTTCTCTATTTAAAAAGTAATTTTCTAGTTTCGAGGCTGAGTTTAAGAGCAGAGTATTTTTCTCTGAGTAAGCCCTTAGACAACAAAGTATCACCAGATAAAAGTTAAACAAAAGCAAACTCAACAGCTGCCTTCCACCTAGAGCCAGGGAGGGAGTGGACAGCCCCTAGACTGGGGAGAATATAGGGCAGCTTTATGGAAAGCGGGGCTGGGAAATGTCTTAGATGGCTTGGGCTGCTATAACAAAATACCATAGACTGAGTGGCTTTAACAACAGAAATTTATTTCTCATAGTTCTAGAGGCGGAAGTCCAAGATGAAGGTTCTGGCTGATGTGGTTCCTGGAGAGGGACTGCTTCCTGGCTTGCAGATGGCCACCATCTCACTCTGTCCCCGCATGCAGAGGACAGGGGATCTGGTGTCTCTTACTCTTCTTATAAGAACACTAATACCATCCTCATGACCTCATCTAAACCTAATTACCTCCTAAAGGCCCCACCTCCTAATATTATCCCATTGGGAATTAGCGTTTCAACATATAAATTTGAGGGGGACACAAATATTTAGTCTATAGCAAGGGAGAATTCCACCAGCAGATGTTGGGCTGTGCACAAAAATAGTCCAGGCTGGGCCAGGTGCAGTGGCTCATGCCTGTAATCCCAGCACTTTGGGAGGCTGAGGCTGGTGGATCACCTGAGATCAGGAGTTCAAGACCAGCTGGGCCAACATGGTGAAACCCCATCTCTACTAAAAATACAAAAAATTAGCCGGGCATGGTGGCAGGTACCTGTAATTCCAGCTACTCTGGAGACTGAGGCAGGAGAATCACTTGAACCCAGGAGGCAAAGTTGCAGTAAGCCAAGATTGTGCCATTGCACTCCAGCCTGGGCAACAAGTGCAAAACTCCATCTCAAAAAAAAAAAAAAAAAGTCCAGGTTTGGGAGGCCCAAGAGCTGCTTCCTCTGCGAGTCTAGCTGGGAGCAGTCATGGCTGTGATGAGGAGAAGCTGGGCACTTGGGGCTGGCCCACACATGCACACATAAACCACAGTCAGATTGCATCACTAACAGCCATTCACACGCCTTTAATTCAGACCTAGCATTTGAACCTAAAATCAAACTACTGCACTATTACATGTTGCACCATCTTGTATACAAGGAGACTTCAAAAAGCTCATGGAAAACTACAATTAACAGATTAAAATAAAAAATATAAACTTTCTCAATATAGGCTCCATCAAGTTCAAGACACTTTTGTAAGTGATATTAGCCATCTAGTCAACCCTCAGAGAACTGAGGGTCCTGGGAATTTAACCATGTCAATACAGTCATTTTTACATTTATTAACTGAAGAAAAATGAGTGCCCTTTAAGAATTTTTTAAGATTAAGATATAAAATGGGGCCAAATCAGGACTATAAGGTGGATGCCTAATGATTTCCCACTGAAACACTCACCAAATTACCCTTGTTTGATGAGAGGAATGAGCAGGAGCATTGTTATGATGGAGAAGGACTCTCTAGTGAAGCTTTCCTGGGCATTTTTCTACTAAAGCTTTAGCTAACTTTCTCAAAACACATTCAAAATAAGCATATACTATTGTTCTTTGGCCCTCCAGAAAGTCAACTGACAAAATACCTTGAGCATCCCAAAAGACTGTTGCCATGATCCTTGCTCCTGACTGGTCCACTGTTGCTTTGACTGGACCACTTCCACTTCTTGGTAGCCAGTGCTTAGATTGTGCTTTGTCTTCAGGATCATACTGTAAAGCCACGTTCCATCTCCTGTTACAATTGTTACAATTCTTCAAAGAAATGCTTCAGGATCTTGATCCCCTTGTTTAAAATTTTCATTGAAAACTCTGCTTTTGTCTGCAGCTGATTTGGGTGCAACAGTTTCAGCAGCCATCAGTGGAAAGTTTTCTCAAGTTTAATTTTTCAGTCAGAATTATGTAAGCTGAACCAATTGAGATGTGTATGATGTTGGATACTTTTTCTGTTGTTAATCATTGGTCCTCCTCAATTAGGGCATGGATAAGATGAATTTTTTCCTCAAAAATTGATGTGGATGGTCTGCTGCTGTGGGCTTCATCTTCCATATCATCTTGTTCCTTCTTAAAATGAGCTATCTGTTCATAAACTGCTGACTTCTTCGGAGTATCATTCCTATAACGTTTTCATAAAGCATCAATGATTTCACCGTCCTTCCTACCCAAGAATCACCGTAAATTTGATGTTTGTTCTTGCTTCAGTTTTAGCAGAATTCATGTTGCTCTGATAGGGGTTCTTTTCAAAATGATGAAACCATTCTTAGTGCCTCAAACTAGATCCCGTTCAGACACGTTATAACAAGTTAGTACGAGTTTATTTTGGTGCAAAAAATGGAAACCATAGTTTCCATTTCCGTTTCCAATGCATAGTTCTTTCATTATATGCATTTTCCATGAGCTTTTTGAAGACCCCTCATATAGCTTGTGGCCTACAGTTAAGTTGAGCCACTTTAAGGGCTAGTCTGAAGACCAAAAGGAAGAAGTCATGAAATAAGGCAACATTTGATTGGATACTCAGGACTCACAAGGGGAATTTCCCTGGCATCCCCTTTGTCGTAGTAAAAATAGCAAAATATAAGACAGCACTAATTACTGCAACATGCTAATGTATATTCGAGGATAGATAAACATTGCAATTTTAAAAGGGTGACATAGAATATAAGATTTGTTTCCTTTCTCCTAGAAGATTGCAGACCCAAAAATAAAATTTTAGAAAGTGCTCCAGAAGAGTTCCTCGAATTCAAGGATAGCTTTCATGATCACATATTTAAAATATTTATTGACCACGTACTATGTTCTGGACCCTGTGGTAGTTTCTGAGGTTATGTCACTGAACAAGACAGACATTGTCTCTACCTTCACCATGCATAATCTAGTGGAGAAGGCACCAACACTTGCACAATTTATGCTGTCATACAAGTGCTGTGAAGGAGAATGTGACTGCTATGAGACTGAAATTGTCTTCGTTCGTTTAGTGTTGCTATAACAGAATATGGACTTTGTCTTAAGTCTGTTTAGTATTGCTATAACAGACTACCCAGGGCTGAGTTATTTATAAAGAAGAGAGATTTATTTGGTTCACAGTTGCAGTGGCTAGAAAGCCAGAGGGCTTGGCGCTGGCATCTGCTTGGCTTCTGGTGAGGCTTGTGTTGCATCACAGGATGGAAAAGAAGCAGAAGGGGAAGCAGGCATGTGCAGAGAGACAAAGCAAGAGAAGCAACATGGATTTGTAACAACCTATTCTTGCGAGAACTAATCCATTCCTGAGAAAACTCACCTGCTCTCTTGAGAAAGACATCAATTCATCTTAATGACTTAGTCACCTCTTAAAGGCACCATCTCCCAACATTATGATATTGGCAATTACATTTCAGCATGAGTTTTGCTGGGGACTCTCAAACCATAGCAAACATCATGGGGTCCTATGTAAATGGGAATGTGGTGTAGGAGTAGGGAATCAGAGATAATTTTTTAAATAAGTGATTTAATGGAGATTCAAAGGATAAAGAAGGGTTATCTGAATGTAGAGGAGAATAAAGAAGGATACTGGGGAGCAGAGGAAGCAGCAAGGGCAAAGGCCTATGGGCAAGGAGTGAAAGAATGCCCAAGGGGCTGGAATGGCAGGAACAAAAGCTAACCGGGGAAGAACTAGTTTACCCAGGGTCTTAGAGGCCAAGTTAAAGATTTTGTTCCCATCCTGGATGCAATAGAAAGTGCACCCACTGGAGTGTTTGAAACAGGGGGAGTGACAGTTGTTAGGAATAACGCTTAAAATCTTAAGGAAATTGAACACTCGAACAAAGGATTTTTAGCAAAGCAATTTTACTTTTGCGTAGAGGGGTGCCTCTTTGGCCAGTTGCCATGAGAGCACACTTGAACAAAGGGGCACAAGAGCCTTTACTTTTGACACAAGTCTTGCCCCTGTACCCTCTCCCCATTGGCTGGGGTCGGGTTGTATAATTTAAACTAATCTCGGTTGGCTAAACATTTGATTTTTTTTTTTTAGAAAGGGTGGGCACATAAAAGAAAGTGGAGATGAAGGGGAAAAGGGGTGTCTGTAATGAGCTAGAAGGTTGGTCTTTTTTTTAAATAAGGAAAGGAACGCGAGCTGGTATTGATAACTCCTGGTATTGTGGCATGCTTGGGCATTTAACAAAGGCAAAAAGGAAGAAAGGAGAAAAAAAAGAGAGGGTACTATGAATTAAAGAATAAAATATCGATCAGATTATTTTAAGAGAAACCTCATCATATCCCACATACTGAAGGGCAAGAATGAATATGAGGAAAGTCGTCAGGAGGCAAGAGACAACAGGGGCCTGGACTGGGGTGCTGGTCATGAAGATGGACAGAAAGAGATGGACTCGTGGTATGTTTTGAATATATAATCAACAGGACTTAGTAAAGACTTGGACGTGGGACATGAAGAAGGTGTCAAAGATGACTCTCCATGTGGTGTTCAACTTGAGCAACTCTACAGATATTGACCATTTACCACAGGGGCTTTGGAGGAAGGGTGAATTTGGAGGGGAAATGGTGAGTCCAGTTAGAATTCCAAGGATGACTTTGGACAAAAAGGAGAGGTCTGATTTGAAGGTACACATTTGGGAATCAAATGAATAGGATCCACTAAGGAGAGAGCACAGAGAAATAGAAAGCCCAGGACTGCACCCCGAAGAATGCCAGGATTTATAGGTTGGGTGGGGGAGGATGAGGCAGCAAAGGAAGCTGTGTAGTGGTCACTGAAACAGGAGACAAACTAGGAGAAGAGGATGTTTGTGGCAAGTGATGGAAGAGAATATTTTAGGAAGGTGATGATCAACACTATTGAATGTTGCTGCCAAGCTGAGAAGGACCAAGATGTCTCTGTTGTTGTTAGCAATTCCCATGCCCTTCCTTGGGTGAGGCAGATTTTCTGGGTTGTGAGATAGAAGATAGTATGCAGTGGGTTGAAATATAACTGGAAAGTGAGAAAATGTGACTTTAATGGGGAGAAGAAGTATGGTGTGGAGCTGGAGACAATGGGGCATTGAAGGACGGATACTAAAGATGGAAGTGACTTGATTGGGTTTCCACTGCTGATTAGAAGGATCTATTATTTGACAGGAGGAGATTCAAGATAGCTCCACTGGGAAGGTCAAATGGGATGGATTTAGAGCCATCTCTTAAAGGCGCCATCGCCCTGGGTTTAGAGCCCAGGAGTGAAAGGCTGACTGGACATTCTGTACTTGGGGAATGTGGTGGGGAGGTGGGTGGGAGTTGTTGACTGTTAACTTCTCAGTAGGGTAATCTGGCTGGGCCGTGTGCTGGGGGACCCCTGACATCAGTACTTTCAGGTTTCTCTTCCTGGGCCATCTAATTCCCCTGAGGAGAAGCTTCCAGCATCTTGCCTAGAGGGAGAAGATCTGCCTGCCTACATTCTGAGAGATGAGTGAGAGGAGGGGCTGCCCACCACAGCTTCCAGCAGACATAACTCATTTCATTCTCTTGTGCTTTTAGGAGCCTTACCTTCCGTTATACCTAATGTTCTCAGTCCTGAGACTCTCTGCTTTCTCCACAGACTTCATCTCCAGTCTCCTGATGGGGTTGGGGAGAAGCAGTGGTGGAGTGGGGTTGGGGAAACTGCAGAGCCAATTGCTTTACCTTCACTTCCAGAAGTGCCTTCTTGAGCTGTTTGCGCGTGCTGTGATGGAAATCACGTTAAGCTCAGCTTTCTGCACTGCCAGATTTGTTTTTCATCAGTTTTCCAACTTCCAGAACCTCCTTGTTCGCTCTCCTGTTCCCTCCTGTTCTCTCTTTACTGTGGTTTGGTAGGACTTCAGGAGAGGTCAGAATTAGATGCAGGTATTCAATCTGCCATCTTTATCCAGCAGTCAGTGTCAAAGCCTGTCTCGATTGTGGAGGAATATATAAGAAAGGAAAAGGCCCCAGTGTCCTGTCCCTTCTGATGCTGTGTGGATACCAACACCCCAAACAATGCCACCCACCCAGCTGTGTCAAACCAAACCAACCAAAACAATGAGCACACATAGATGGCAAACTGCAGGGTTTGCCGAGGCTCAGGCAATTCGTATTTGGAATTTGCCACATAGATGGCAAATTGCCGAGGCTCAGGCAATTCGTATTTGGAATTATTAATATATGGACCCAAAGCCTTCAACCCACTACATCGGCCACCAAAGACAAAATGAGATAAAATTAGGAACATGTTCATCTTCCTACTATAATGATTAATAAAAGGCCCTTTAAGTTCAGAGAAATGATTTCTTCTTTTTCGACGCCTACGAAGAAATTTCATTAAAAATATTAACAGAAATCCAAATAAAAGAGAAAAAGAACCTTATCGTAATCCTATCTGCTCAACACGTGGTTTGGTTTGATTTGGTTTGTTTTTTTCCAGGTTCTCAACCAGTTGTGGTCCATAGACATTCATAATTTGACAAAAAGGATCTATGTCAACTCTGATTAGTTTGTGAAAGTGGGCTTTTCCCCAAATCCTTCCAGTGCCTAAGCTGGGCCCCTTTGGGAAGAGCATTAACTGTTTTGGGTCACTAGCACACAGAACAGTGTTTTAATTGTCTAAAACCAGGGATAAGAGTATAATCCCCTCCTTATAAGGCACCCCGTGGTCAGGTGCTTAAGCACATGAGGGAGGCAGACACCGCTCTGGGGATGATTTGCAGGTTGGAGAGAACCTGGCTCCAGATTTTTCCTTTCAATCAGCCACAGGGCCTAGCTTCCCCCCGAGAAGTCTCTTTTTGGAAGTTGAAGACATTGTGTCTCATAGCAGTACTGACCCGGAGGGTTAGGAAGAATCTTCGAGGCCCTCTGGCCAGCACCCCTGATGAGTGGCTGTCTGTCCTCTGCTGCACACTTCCATGGCTTGGAAACTCACTACTGGAAGGCTCCAGTGACTTTCGGACACATATCTGGGACTAACTACAGTTGACACTTGAATACCATGGAGGTTAGGGGCACTGAACCTCCCCCACCCCTTGCACAGTCAGAAATCTCTGTATAACTTTTGGCTCTCCGAAAATATAACTACTAATAGCTTGCTGTTGACTGGAAGCCTTACTGATAACATAAACAGTTGATTGGTTAGCACATATTTTGTACGGTACACACACGCACACAGACACACACACACACAGAGTATTCTTACAATAAAGTCAGCTAGAGAAAAGAAAATGTTTCTAAGAAAATCCTAAGGAAGAGAAAATATATTAACTATCCATTAAGTGGAAGCAGATCATCATAAAGGTCTTCATCCTCATTTTCTTCACGTTGAGTAGGCTGAGGAGGAGGAGGGATTGGTCTTGCTTTCTCGGGGTGGCAAAGGTGGAAGAAAATCTGAGCATAAGCAGGCCTGTACAGTTCAAACCTGTGATGTTTAAGTGTCGGTTGTGATTCATTAAGCCCTTAGTCCCCCTCCCACCCCCCGCCTTTACAGTTTTGAGCAGGGAGCATGGCCAAGAGAGGCCAGGCTGGACTGGGCACTGCAGTGGGGATTGGGGATACCCAGATGGAGCTTGGGTTCCGAGTGGGCTTCTGGAACCAATCCCCCACAGATACCAAAGGAACAACACACATGCATATACACACACGTGTATATGTATACTTATATATACACACACATATATATCCATATATACACATACATATATGCATGCATACACATACATACATATATACATACATATATACCCACATATACACATACATATATATACACATACATATATACACATGCATATATGCACATACATGCCTATACATATATGCCCATACACATATGAACATACATGCCCATACATATATACACATACACATATGCACATTATATATACACATACATATATACCCATATATACAAACACATATATGCATACATATACATACATATATACATACATACCCATATATACACACATATATATGCATACATATACATACATATATACATACATATATACCCATATATACCCATACATATATACACATACCTATATATACCCATACATATCTACACATACATATATACACCCATACATATATACACATACATATATATACCCATATACGTATATATGCTACATCTTATCATATATTATATATTTTATATAACATAATATGTATTATACCCATATACACATATATATGTGTTATGTATTATACCCATATACACATATATACGGGTATAATACATATTATGCAATATAAAATATATATATGCCCATACATATATACACCCATACATATATACCCATACATATATACACATACATATATATACCCATACATATATACACATACATATATATATCCGTACATATATACCCATACATATATACCCATATATATACACATACATATATATACCCATACATATATACACATACATATATATACCCATATATATTATATACACATACATATATAATACCCATATATACATATATATTTTATATAACATAATATGTATTATACCCATATACACATATGTTATATACCCATATACACATATATGGGTATAATACACATACACATATGTTATATACCCATATACACATATGTTATATACCTATATACACATATATAGGTATAATACTTAGTATGTTATATAAAATATATATGTGTATATGGATATTATATATGTATGTGTATATAATATATATGGGTATATATATGTAGGTGTATATGGTTATATGTATGGGTATATATGTGTGGGTATATATATGTATGTGTATATATGTATGGGTGTATATATGTATGGGTATATATGTATGGCTATATAAGTATGAGTATATATTTATGGGTATATATGTATGTGTATATATGTATACATATACACATTTATTGTTTATGCATACATATGTGTGCATATGTGTATGCATATACACGTGTATATGCATACATATATATGTATGTGTATATGTATGCATATACACATGTGTATGTATATGTATGCATATACACATGTGTATGTATATGTATGCATATACACATGTGTATGTATATGTATGTGTATATGGGTTTATATATGGGTATATATATGTATGTGTATATATGTATACAAATACATACCCATATATACCCATACATATATAGGTGTATATATGTATATATATGTATATGTATATATGTATGGTGTATATATATGTATGTGTATATATATGTATATGTATGCATATATGTATGTGTATATATGGGTATATATGTACGTATATATAATGTGGATATATGCATGTGTATACATGTATGTGTGTATATACGTGTGTGTATGCATGTAAACACATATATACAAGTGTAAATACACATATGTACACATGTGTATTATACACATAGGTACACATGTGTATAATACACATATATCCACATTATATGTGTGTCTATATATGAACATATACGTGTATCCAGACAGTGTGTACATATATGTGTGTATATGCATATACAGTCATCACTTGGACTCGTGGGGGATTGGTTCCAGTAGCCTCCGCCCATGCCTAGATCCCACAGGATGAAGTCCCTGATATAAAATGTTATAGCATTTGCATACAAACTATGCACATCCTCCCAAATATCTTAAATACTTTAAATGATCTTTAGATTATTTATAATACCTTATACAATGTAAATAGTTGTTATACTGTATTGTTTAGAGAATAATGACAAGAAAAATATCTGTACATGTTCCATACAGACACTTTTTTTTTCAAACATTTTTGCTCCATGGTTGGTTGAATCCAGGCATGTGGAACCCATAGATAGAGAGGGGCTGGCCAGGCGCAGTGGCTCATGCCTGTAACCCCAGCATTTTGGGAGGCTGAGGTGGGCAGATCACTTGAGGTCAGGAATTCGAGACCAGCCTGGCCAACATGGTGAAACCCTGTCTCTACTAAAAATACAAAAAGTTAACTGTGTGTGGTGGCACGTGCCTGTAATACCGGCTACTCAGAGGCTGAGGCAGGAGAACTGCTTGAACTCGGGAGGCAGAGGTTGCAGTGAGCCGAGACCATGCACTGCACCCCAGCCTGGTGACAAAGCTACACTCCATCTGAAAAAAAAAAAAAAAAGATAGAGAGGGCCTAGTGAGCACGTTTGTGTGTATATGGTCTCAACATCAGAACAACCTCAGATCTAGCATTATTCTTACTTTGGAAACAGGTTGAGAGTCAGAGAATTGAACAACTTTCCCAAGGTTTTGTAGCCTGTAAATGGCAGAACCAGGATTGAATATAAAATTTCTAAATCCAGAGACTTTGTTCCTTTCTACACTGGCATCCAAGGTAGTCCTCTGAGACATATGTAACTGCTATGCTTGAAACCTGCATTTCCTTCCACATGGCATCACACTCTCCTTAGACACTAGGCTTCACGTCACGTCCAGTTTCTAAGATCCTCACGGTTCTATGTCTGTTTGGCAGCAGGGTCATCTGAGAAGGCCTGCAGTGTGGGCCAGCACTTCACAAACCTTCATGTGCGTGTGAAGCCTGTGGTCTGAATGCAGATTCTGATTCAGGAGTCTGGGGTGGGGCCTGGGACTCTGCCTTTCTCACAATTGCCCAGGTGATGCCACAGCTGCTACGGGTCCCCGGACCACTCTTTGAGTAGCAGGGGCGGGGCAGTGTGGCATCTCACTCTTGGTTTTGAATTTCATCTCAGCACAATCTGGGGTCACTTATTTAACTAACGTAACTTCTCTGGGGCTCAGAATCCTCATCTGTGAAATGGGAACAATAATATCAGCCCCACTGAGGAATTTAAATGAAAGGAGATGATACATAACACAGATCAGCTTCTCACTTGTTTTGGTTAGAATTGGAGGTGATTCCTTCATTGACATAAAACACGAGGCTGTTATCCAGACAGAGCTGTTAAACTTTGGGTTGGGTTCCAAATCATTTGGGTTATAATGTCAGCTCTCCGCATCACTCCAGAAAAGTGATCTTAGTAAGATCCTTCTAGTCATTTTGGTTGAGACTTGTTTCAGGTGGTCTAGAAGGCCTATTTATTTATGGCTATAGTTTTTTTGTTTGTTTGTTTGTTTGGAGACGAGTCTCACTCTGTCCATGCTGAAGTGTAGTGGCACAATCTCAGCTCACTGCAACCTCCACCTCCTGGATTCAAAAGATTCTTATGCCTCAGCCTCCCGAGTAGCTGGGATTACAGCTACCCGCCACCACACTCAGCTAATTTTTATGTTTTTAGTAGAGATGGGGTTTCGCCATGTTGGCCAGGCTGTTCTCGAACTCCTGACCTCAGGTGATCTGCCCACCTCAACTCTACCAAAGTGCTAGGATTCCAGGCGTGAGCCACCGGCCCGGCTGTGGCTATAGTTTTAAATGCTGCCTAGACTCCAAATTGCTGCACACAACCTGTCCCCAAGTCCGTGTGTGCACATCCATTATCTGGGGTTTCAGATGTCTGGGGTTTCTATGTCTTAGGAGTTGCCCCCTAAGTGTGGGAGTCCAAACTTTCCCTACGACAGAACTGGAAAAAAACAAAAGCAAAAACAAAAGAAAGCTAGTTCCACTTTTATCCAGAGAGAACCGAAAGATAGGATCACATTTCCTCAAACTTCTAGTAAAGAAGTCAGGCACGGGTCTGGGCTCTGGAGCCTGGAGCCAGCTGTAGGGCCGGCCGGTGGCCTGGAAACAAACAGTCCCACATAGGCCGGGAGGAATATGCGCGCACTGCCTGCCTCCATTGTTTTCTTTCCTGGAATAGCTGCTTGTTCTCATCAGCTAGTGTGGTCAGCATTTCCATTCAAGATCATATTGTCAGGGCTTTATTTTTAAGTCAGGCATGAAAATGGGCCTTGAGCTGAAACTTGGAAGCTGGGCAATTAGCATATTTGAAAGGAAGCCAACTGGTCTTTTGTTATTCCGTGGGGCAGAAGGGGCTTTTCCATGCTCTTCTAAATGACAAAAAGGGTTTGTGTTTGGGGCATTTTAAAACGAAGCAGTAGGCATGGACTTGGCTGTTTACACACAGAAGCTCACAAGAACATTGTCTCTGGGCTGCCTGGATGATGTCTGTAGGGGCTGCGAGACCCCAAGGATGTTCTCTGCTGACCAGAGGAACTGGAGCACTTTAATGTAGAAATTGGAAGCCAAGGAACTTTGTGTTTAAAGTAGAACTGCTGGAAGTGGCCAAGTCCACGGCTGCTTTCCAGAATGCCCTTAAAGAAAATGCTGACCCGCCAACTGGCAAATACGTCCTGAGTGCCTTCTCCCCACGAGGCACTAGTTTGGCAGAAATTTGGAGCTGGGCTGGGCAGTGATATGGAAAGAAGTATGCAGTCTAAGTAGGAGGGTCATCTGTATCTAGAGAGATAAAAACACAAGGTTAGTTAATGCCTCTTGCTGCAAGAGGAACCAGACGTGAAAGGGATAGGGAAGCCCAGGAGGGGAGGGACCATGAAGGATTGAGAAAGATTGCTGCGTACGTGTTAGGGGGGTAGGGAGGGCAGGTGGAAAGAACGATGGCTTTGGAACCCCTGACTCACTGTGTGACACTGGCAAATTTCTGGGCCTTGGGGAAGTACCAGAAATTATAAGAAAACTAGGAAAAATAGTACCAGGACAGAGCTGCTGTGGAATTGTTTAATGAGATAATGCATGTCAAGTGTTCAGCACATAGCAAATGGTAATTACCGTGTTTAAATGATGGGTATATTGGTTTTTGGAGTTAAATAATCTGAGCAAACGGATCTGGTCAGAAATCCTTGAAGGTCCGGGGAGCCGGTGGGATGAGTCTGGTGCACTGATTCCATAGCACAGGGGCAGGACCCTCTGTAATCCCCCCGCCCCCCATTTTGTGCACACTAAACACATAATTGCTGGCTAAGTTTTTCATAATGTACATAAACAGGACAAACGTATTTTCCCTATATTTCAGATGTAGAGATCAATATAAGTAGTGGTGTCAGATGAATCATAGGCTGTCCCAATGGGGCATATTTTTATTAAAAATTATTTATACTAAAAAGTTGTTGGTTTTTATCTGAAATTCAATTTAACCGGGTGTCCTGTAGAGAGAGAGAGAGTGTGTGTGTATGTGTGTTTGTGCGTGTATGTGTGTGTGTGCATCCACGCACGCCCTAAGTCTAGAGACCCTATTCCTAACACCTATGTACCCAACACTCAGAGTTAATAAGTATCAATACTTTGCTATCTTACCTTGAGTTTTTTAATGTTTTAAAGAGAAAGTTACAGACCACAGTTGGAATCTCCTTGTCACACACATACCAACATCATTCTTCTCCAAAAATGCCCAAAATTGATTCTATTCGTGTGTATCCTTATGTGGCTGTTCTACTTTTTCTATATGTGTATGTTTCCAGAAACAAAATACACTCTTGTTTTCTGTGCTTTATAGATTTACATAAATGATATCTTAGTGTATTTTTCTTTCAGCCATATAATTTTATTTTAAACATGAAATTTTTGATAAAAAATATTATATGTGATATACACATTGTCATCACCATAATACAGCCAACGCCTGTGCATCCATTACCCAGCAGAAGTGCCGTCCATTACCCAGCTGATGTGCTGTCCATTACCCAGTGGAAGTGCCGTCCATTACCCAGCAGAAGTAGAACGTCGCCAACGCTTTTGAAGTCTCTGTGCCTCCTTCTGAATTGCATTCCCCCTGACCCCACATAGAAGGTAACTGCCTCCATGAGTGGAGTGCTTATTCTTTATATTTCTTTGTATTTATTTATTGATTTTTATTTATTTATTTTTGAGACAGGATCTCACTCTGTCGCCCAGGCTGGAGTGCAGTGGCACAAGCTCTGCCCACTGCACCCTCGACCTCCCAGGCTCAGGCAGTCCTCCCACCTCAGCCTCCCCAGCAGCTGGGACTACAGGAGTGTGCCAGCATACCCGGCTAATTTTTGTATTTCGTGTAGACACAGGGTTTCACCACGTTTCCCAGGCTGGTCTTGAATTCCTGGGCTCAAGCGATCCATCTGCCTCAGCCTCGGCCTCCCAGAGTGCTGGGATTACGGATGTGAGCCACCGTGCCTGGCCTTTCTTTATAGTTTATCATAATATATGTAATTCTGAATGACAGTGCTCAGTTTTGAGTGAGTTTAAACCATGAACGGAAGAGAACATTGTGCTGTTTATGTTCTTCTGGAGCTATGCTCTCTTGACTTCATATATTTAAGAGGTTCATTTCGTGTTGGTGAGTGTAACTATGGTTCATTGTTTCTTTTCACTGCTGTTTACTATTCTATTGGATAAACACACTGCATCTTGTATTGCTACGGGACATTTGAGTTGTTTCAAGTTTTTGCTACTACAAACACAGCTGTTATGAACATTATTATACTTTTTTCTGGTATATATATATATATATATATATATATATATATATATATATATATAAAATAATTTGTCTGTGGTAAAAATACCTGAGTGGGATCTCTGGGTCCTTGTATTATTACCATCATTTCTCAAAGTGGTTCTACAAGTTTATACCCTCACCAGAGTCTTGACCAGTTTCTACCTCTACCAGAAGCGTATAAGTGTCTTGGGTGTTTCACAGTCCCTCCCACACCTGCCAAGCTCCTGGGGACAAAATGATGTCTTGCTATGGCCTAAATTGTCTTTGCCAGATTATTAATGATATTGATCATCTTTTCATATAAGTATTGGCCACTTTCAGCTCCTTTTCTGTGAAGAGACTGTTCCGGTCATCTGTTTATTTTTCTATTGGGTTTGTCTTTTTTCTTATAGATTTGTAAGAACTCTTCATATATTCTTGTTACTAACCCTTTGTTGGTTACATATGTTGAAAATATTGACTTTTAGTTTGTGGCCTGCCTTTTCATTTTTTATGATATCTTTTGAGGAAGAAACAGTCTTAATTTTAATGTTGTCAAATGTATCAGTCATTTGCTTTTCTGGTTACCACTTTGGGTGTTAAGAAAATTTCCTTCTTTCCTTCCTTCCTTCCTTCCTTCCTTCCTTCCTTCCTTCCTTCCTTCCTTCCTTCCTTCCTTTCTTCTTTCTTTTCCTTCCTTCCTTCCTTCCTTCCTTTCTTCTTTCTTTTCCTTCTTTCCTTCCTTTCTTTCTTTCCTTCTTTCTTTTTCAAGGTCTTACTCTATCACCCAGGCTGGAGTGCAGTGGCACAACCACGGCTCGCTGTAGGCTCCAACTCCTGGGCTCAAGTGATCCTCCTGCCTCAGCCTCCTGAGCAGCTGGGACTACAGGCATGTGCCACCATGCCTAGCCAATTTTAAAATTTTTTCGTAGAGATAAATTGTTTTTGCTATGTAGCCCAGGCTTGTCTTGAACTCCTAGCCTTAAGCAATCTCCCTGGCTTGGCCTCCCAAAGTGTTGAGATTACAGGAGTGAGCCACAGTACCCAGCCAAGAAAACTTTCTTTATGCTGGCATTATAAAAATATTCTTTTATATTTTTCTCTTAGAGTTATAAAGGTCAGCTTTGTTATTTAAGCATTTAATCTACCTGAAATTGATTGTTGTATATGGAGTAAGGCAGTGATCCAGTTCTGTTCTTTTACCTTATGGATAACCAATTGTTCCAGTGTCATTTACTGGGAAGTCTATCTTTTTCATCGATCTACAGTGCCATTCTTTTCCATACATGCATGGCTTTATTTCTAGGTTTCTTTTGTTCCATCAGTCTGTCTGTCTATCCCTGAGAGTTCCATACTGTCTTAATGACTATAGCTTTATAACAAGTTTTAATGTCTGGAGAAACAAGAGTTACTAACTTCTTCACAGCATCTTATCTATTCTCAGTTTTTAACTTACAATATAATTTTTGATGCAACAAACTTTTATAGGATTTGTCTATGTAAGTATATATTATTTGTCATTAATTTAACTGCCATTTATTTGTATTTACATTATACATATGTATTCCATTTATAAATGCCACAGTTGACTGTCCATTGCCCCACTAATGGACATTAAGTGGTTTCCCACTTTTTCCTTAGCACCTATTAGAGGAATTGTTGGATTATAGAGTATGTGCATCTTCAAATTTACTATATAATGCAAAATTGCTTTCCAAAGTGTTTAAACCAGTTACACTCCCACCAGCTGCGTAAGAATTGAAGTTAATCTGTCTCTGCTGAAACACTTTTTATTTTTTTAAAAAAAGGAAGGATGTGCAATGTTATCTCAGTGATGTTATATTTTCCTCTTTCCATATGCGTTTTTCATATGTGTTTATTAGCTATTTAATTTCCTGTTCATATCATTTGCTCATCTTCCTGTTGGATTGTCTCTATTCTTACTGATTTGCTCATAAGTCATTTTATATTCTAATTACTAAACCTTTGTTGTTTATAGTGGTTGAAATTATCTTCTCGAATACTGTGGATCAGGGGTTGGCAAACTATGGTCCTTGTTTATGGCCTATTTTTGCACATCCCAAACTAATTTTAATGTAATCTAATGTCTTTACATTTTTAAAGATTGCAAAGAAAGAAGAAAGCAGCAGCAGCAGCAGTGGCAACAGAGATGCATGTGGCCTGCAAAGCCGAAAATATTTATCATCTGGCTATTCACAAAAAATTGCTAACCACCCCCCGCAACCCGCTATGACTGTTTTCTAACTTAGTTTCTATTTTTGTTGTCATTGAAATGTTTCATTTCAATGTAGTATAATGTATCATTTTAAAGATTATAATATTATAGATTATATGACTCTGCTTCTAGCTCTCTGATTTCATTGTTCTATTCATATATCAAAATGCCAATACCACTTTTAAATTTACTAGTGTTCCAAAATAAGTCTGATATCTGGTAGGGCAAATCTGTCCCCTTCCAACCCATTTTCTCTCTTAAACAGTTCTGATCCAACAACCTCCCCACTTGGTCACAATGACCAAAGTTGATTCAATGCATGCATTAATTTTATATTTATACCTTTCAACTGCCAGTATATAAAATTCAAAGTTGTTTCCGCCCCTACCCCCCGCCAGCTGATTATTGTTATTGCTATTCCTGAAAGGGGGTATTTTTCAATCCATGGCACTTGTGTGCATTAGCAATAATTAGATAACTTTGCTCAAAAAATCCAACTCATTTTGAAGACATCTGTTTGACTTTCTTTGCCCTTCTGCTGGCTTCTGGTGCAGGAGCTGAGCTCTTAATTAATTATTGCTTATATCGGGTAGTAATACCCCCTGAAAAGTGAAGCAAGCTTGCGCTAAAGGAAGCATAGAAAACAGTACATTTCTGTAAACAGACGACAATGTTTACTGAATGCTTATTTCTTTAAATGTCATTGGGTATATAAAACCAAGCTTCTTGGAGTTCTATCCACTAAACTCACCGAATCATTCCAAATTCTAACTTAATTTCAGCAGTAGAGATGATTCATAGCAAAGCAGAACCAAATGGGCTGCAGTTGGATTTTTAGGTTTCTGTAGTTCGTGTTTTCAAGTTTTTAAACAGCTTTATTAATAAATTTCTTTATTTGTTTGTCTGTTTATCGGGCAGACTCCCAAGCCAGAATAGGCTCAGGGAGACTCCTTAAACAGCTTTACTAAGGCATAATCTACCGACTTTTAAATTCGCTCATTGTAAGTGTTCAATTCAATGATTTTTCACAAATTTACAGAGTTGTGCAGCTATCACCATGACCCAGTTCTAGATCATTCCCTTTAACCCAAAAAGTTCCTTCAGACTGGTTTGTAGTCAATTCTCCCCACCCCTTGGCAATTGCTAATCTGCTCTCTGTCTCTGTCAATTTACCCTTTCTGGATATTTAATATAAATGGAATCATACAATATGTAGCCTTTGTGTCTGGCTTCTTTCACTCTGTTTTAGCAGACTATTTTTGAGGTTCATCTATGTATCAGTAGTTTTTTTTCTTCCTTTTTATTGCTGAAAAGTGTTGAAGTCAAATAAAATATAGAGAGATGAATTTCTTTTCTTTTTTTCTTTTCTTTTTTTTTTGAGACAGAGTCTCACTGTGTCGCCTAGGCTGGTGTGCAGTGGAGCAATCTCGGCTCACTGCAAGCTCCGCCTTCCAGGTTTACACCATTCTCCTGCCTCAGCCTCCCGAGTAGCTGGGACTACAGGCGTCCGCCACCACGCTTGGCTAATTTTTTGTATTTTTAGTAGAGACAGGGTTTCACTGTGTTAGCCAGGATGGTCTCAATCTCCTGACCTCGTGATCCGCCCGCCTCAGCCTCCCAAAGTGCTGGGATTACAGGCATGAGCCCGGCCCTCGAATTTCTAAAAGTAGCATTTTCTTTGGGAAGAAAGAATTGCAATTTGAGACATACGCACAAACTGGGTTGTCTTTGGTATGTCCAGAGAACAAGAAGTTTAGAGGTTTTATTTTTTAAAAAGAGATATGTTACGTGTTGCTCTTTGAGAAAGTTCATTGGCTCTACTAAGGTTTCAGGGAGCTGGCAAGCTCTAACCGGTAAGTGATGGTAGTGGGTAAAACTAGTCTTAGAATTGCAGCAAGTTATTTCAGCAGCTGTAGATAAAACTGGTTTCAGTTTACAGCAGGCGGTTTTAGCAACTGGGCTTGCAGAGAATTACAGTTTTGGAGAGATGGTATGTGTCCCCAGGGCTTTTCCCTCCTGGTTTCTCAACTCTGTTTTAGTTGAGTACGACAAGACTTTCACAAGAGTATTTCACTGTGTGCATAAGACACACTTTGTTTATTCATTTACCAATTAACAGACACTTGGGTTCTTTCTAGTATTGAGCTGTTATGAATGATACTGCTCTGAGTATTTGCAAACATGTCTATGTGTGGACATGTGCTTTCATTTATCTTAGGTAGATTACTAGGAGTGGAATTGCTGAATCAAGCGGTTAAGTTTAACTTTCTAAGAAAATGCCAGACTTGTCTAAAGTGGCTGCATTCTTTTAAATCTTCATCGGCAACATGTGATGGTTAAAATTTCTCCATATGCTCATCACACTTGGTATTGTCTGTTTTTTGATGATAGCCATCCCAGTGAGCGTGTAGTTGTAGCTCAGCATGGTTTTAATTTGCATTTCCCTAGTAACTAATGTTGTTGAACATCTTTTCAAGAGCTTTTTAGCCATTTGTATAATTTTTTGGTGAAATGTCTATTCAATTCTTTTGACCATTTTTATATTCGGTTATTTGTTTTCTTATCAATATATGTTTGGAGAACTCTTTATATAATTTGTATATAAGTCCTTTATCAGATTTGCAAACATTTTCTCTGAGTATTTGGCTTATCTTTTTATTTTCTTAGTGGTATTTTTTAAAGCATGAATGTTTTCAATTTTGATGGGGTCTAATTTATAAATTTTTTTCTTGTATGGATCTTACTTTTGGTGTCACTCATAAAAATATATAGCCTAATCTAAGGTCAGAAAAAATTGTCTTCTATGTTTTCTTCTACAAGTTGAATAATTTTATCTCTTACATTTATGTCTATGATCCATTGTGGATTAATTTTTCTGTTTATGCTGTGAAATGAGAGCCTAAGTTCTTTCTCTTTTTTTTTTTTTGGCACGTGGTTATTAAATTGTCCCAGCAATGTTTTTTGAAAAGATAACCCTTTCATCATTGAACTGAGTTTTCTGGAATCTTTTTAGAAAATCAGTTGGTTGTAAATGTGAGGGTTTGTTTCTAGACTTATAATTCCACTCCACTGATCTATATATCTATCCTTGTGCTAATACCATATAGTCTTAAAAAGTGTAGTTTTAGAGTAAGTTTCATATTGAGTAATGTCAGTCCCTAATTTGTTCTCTTTTAAAAAATTGTTTGGCTACTCCAGATCCTTTGCATTTTTATATAGATATTTTTAAATTAGGTTATCAATTCTCACAAAAAAAGCTTCCTGGGTGTTTGATAGGGATTGTGTTAGGTTAATAAATCAATTTGGGGGAGAACTGCCATCATGATAATATTGAAATCCATGTGCACTTGGGATATCTCTCCATTTATTTAGCTTGTTTTTAATTTTTCTCAACAATGTTTTGTAGTTTTCCACGTATGAGTCTTGTATTTTCTTTACTAATTTATTCCTATTTTATTCTCTGTGAGGCTATTATGAACAGAATTATTTTCTTAATTTTATTTTTAATTTTCATTGCTAGCATATAAAATTACAACATTTCTTTTATACTGATCTTGTGTCAGACAACCTTGCTAAACTTGTTTATTTGTTCTTATTAGTTTTAGGAGGATTCTTTGGCATTTTCTACATACATGACTCTCAAAAATCATCTCTTCTGAGAATAAATCCAGTTTTACTTATTCCTTTCCAATCTGAATGACCTTGTTATTATCGTTTTGTTTTTATTGTTGTTGTTATTGTTTTGTTTTTGACTATTTTCCTGGCTAAAACCTCCAGTACAATGTTTAAAAAAGTGACAAGAGCCGGGTGTGGTGGCTCATGCTTGTAATCCCAGCTACTCGGGAGGCTGAGACAGGAGAATCACTTGAACCTGGGAGGCGGAGGCTGTGGTGAGCTGAGATCACACCATTGCACTCCAGTCTGGGCAACAAGAGTGAAACTCCGTCTCAAAAAATAAATAAATAAATAAATAAATATAAATTAATTAATTAATAAAAAATAAAAAGTGACAAGAATAGACATTTCTACCTTGTTCTTGATTTTAGGGGGGAAAGCATTAATTTTTCCACTAGCCAGTATAACGTTAGCTATGGGTTTTTCATAGATGCTCTCTATCCAGTTGTGGAATTTGCCTTCTGTTCCTAATTTATTGAGAGTGTTTTTCATAAGAGGGTGTGAGTTTTGTGTGTGTGTGTGTGTCAAGTGTTTTTCTGCATTTATTGAGATAATCATGTGAATTTTGTTATTTATTCTATTAATATGCTGTATCATATAATTGATTTTCAAATGTTAAACCTACCTTGCATTCCTGGGATAAATCTCACTTTGTCATATCGTAGCATCCTTTTTATATTACTGGATTCATTTTGCTATTATAATATCTTATTAAAGAATAATGCATCTATGAACATTAGAGAAATTGGTTTATAGCTTTTTCTTAAAATGCATTTATCTGGCTTTGATATCAGGGTAACACTGGCCTTCAAATAAATTGGGAAGTGTAGCTATTCTTTGAAAGAGTTTGTGAAGGGTTGATATTACATCTTCTTTAATTATTACATAGAATTCACCAGTGAAGCCATCAAGTTCTGAAGTTTCTCTGTGGAAAGTTTTAAGCTAATTCAATTTCTCTACTTCTTAGAGCTCTATTCAGATTTTCTATTTCTTCTTAAGTTTTGATATTTTTTGTCTTTCTAAATATTTGTCCATTTTTTGGTCTAATTAGTTGGCATAAAGTTGTTCGTAATAACCCTTATAATCTTTTTCATTTCTGTAGGATCAGTAATGATGTCCTCTTTCTCATTCTTGATTTTGGAAATTTGTGTCTTCTTTCTTTTTTCTTCACCGGTCTAGTTAAGCATTTCTTAAGTTCATTGTTCTATTCAAAGACTAATTTTCGTTTCATTGATTTTTCTCTGGTTTTTCTGTTTTCTGTTTCATTGATTTCTCTTGTAATCTTTATTCCTTCCTTTCTTCTATTTGCTTTGGACTTAGATTAGTCTTCTTTTTCTATCTTCTTAATGTATAAAGTGGGTTATTGATTTGGGGTCTTTTCTGTTACAGGCATTTAAGCACTCCTTTAGCTGAATCCTATACATTTTTATATGTTGCGTTTTCATTTACATTTAGCTTAATGTATTTTCTAATTTCCCTAGTGATATCTTCTTTGACCCATGAGTTATATGAAAATGTGTTGTTTAATTTTCAAGTATCATGGGATTTCCCAGATTTACTTCTTTCACTGGTTTCTAAATTAATTCCATAATAGCCACAGAGCCTACTTTATATAATTAATCTATTTAAATATACTGAGACTTGTTTTGTGGCCTAACATATGGTCTAAGGGAATGTTTCATATACACTTGAAAAAAAATGTATATTCTGTAGTCAGAGTGATGAGTATATGTCAGTTAGATTGAATTGGTTAGCAGTGTTGTTTAATTCTATATCCTTTTTGATTGTATATCTAGTTTTTCTATCAATTATTGAGAGGTAGTAATGAAATATTCAAGTATTTTATGGATTTATTTAGTTTAACTTCAATTCTGTCAGTTTTTACTTTATATATTTTGAAGCTTTGTTTTTAGGTATGTATAAATTCGAAATTGTTATACTTCCTGTTGCATTGACCCTATTATCATTAGGAAATATTCTTATATGTCTCCGGTAATATGTCTTGTAGTCAAGTCTATTTTGTCTGATGTTAATATAGCCACTTGAGCTCTCTTATGGATGCTGTTTCATATGTCCTTTCCCATTATTTTACTTCTAGTCTCTTTGCATATTCAAGTCTGTGTCTTCTATCTCTTGTAGACAAGATGTAGTTGGATCTTGGTCTTTGCTTTTTTGGTTTTTGTTGTTGTTGTTGTTTGTTTGTTTTTTTGAGATAGGGTCTCACTCTATCACCCAGGCTGGAGTGCAATGGCCTGAACATGGCTCACTGCAGCCTTGCCCTCCTGGGCTCAAGTGATCCTTCTGCCTCAGCCTCCTGAGTAGCTGGTACCATAGGCACCCGCCACCATGCCCTGCTAATTCTTAAAAAATTTTTTGTGGAGATGAGGTCTTGCCATGTTGCCGAGGCTGATCTCAAATCCTGGACAGAAGCGATCCTCCTGTTTCAGCCTCCCAAAGTCCTGGGATTACAGGTATGAACCACCACACCTGGCTGGATCTTAGTTTTGTGAAAAGGAAATAAAATCTTGGGACCCCAAACTCATTACGCCAAAGGGAAAGTTAAGCTTGGGAACTAAGTCACATAAAAACTGCCTTCCTTTTCTTTTCAGATAGCTGAAATTTCACATGCTTGCTTTATCTTATGTAAAATGTACATGAACGCATAAACTACTTTCCCCGCACTCCTCTCTTTTCACATGTCAAATGTGGATTCAGTGAATGCTAATCAAAGCCTCACAAGCATCTCCCTTTCTTTGTTTTTTTTTTTTTTCTTCCTTCCTCCTTTCCCTCCTTCCCACTCTTTCCCCTTTAAATGTCAAAGTCCTCAAAGCCCTGTTTGGAAGAAGCACAGGCCATAGGTCCTACTTTAACTTGTGTTTTTTTTTCCGAGGCACATCCTCAACCTTGGCAAGACTGACTTCTAAATCAATTAAGATCTGTCTCAGACACTTTTTGATTTACAGTTTTCACTCCAATATGATAATGTCTGCCTTTTGATTACAGGGTTTAGACTTGACACAGGCTTTGCTTAAGAACCTCAAATTAATAAAATTTCTGCTGGTGTATCTGTGAGTGGGCAGGGGACACATTAAAAATTCAGGTCATTTTTAAGCAGTTTTCAAGCTTTTACTTTTTACCTGCATTCCCTCTGTGTCTTGTGTACAGCCTCATGGTTGACCATGAGTGTGTGGCTACCTTGTGATGTCTTCAGTCTCTTCTGCACAAACACACAGATAACCAGAAATATGCTTGCCCCAATCAGAAAGGCAATCTCAGGCTACTAAAGCCACCCCTTGCCCACTGCCAAGATGGTCATTTCCAGACCATCTTGGATGTGGGTGTCCTCCACTGCTCCAAATGAGGCAAGCCCCTTTCATGGTGGCAGTGAAGCTGCTGGACCACATGGTCCACCTGCCCTGGCAGAACATTCCCTTCACCTCTCTGGGGAGGGGAAATGGAAGCAGCCCCAGGCAAGAATGCCACAGAATCCCACTGTTAGTAGTTTTTTTGTGCACAAATGCTTCTTAGATTGTTAGATTCCTTTGATCAATTTGCAGGGTACTGAAATTGTTGTTTCTGCCAATTTTGTTCAGTTTTATAGTTGCTTTTTGAGAAGAGGATTTTTTGACCTCTTCACTTGGCTGTAGCCAGAAATCTCACTAACAGAGGCTGGGGGCACTGAAACCCATCTCCTTCAGGACAATTGGAAGCTTCAGTATTGAATGAGGCCTTTTAGATCCCAAAGGCTGCTCTCACCTCACTTATTATAGAGCAGAGTTGCACAATACCAGTTTGTTTGTGATGCCATTCTAAGGAAGCTTAGTTAATGAAATGGTAAAAGACCTTCACCAAGGGGCATTTTTCTCAACACAGCAATCCTCAGTGGAGACTTGTAGGTGGTGTTCCAATGTATTAGTAGATATATTTTTGTGTTTTAACATTCATGACTTGAAGTTTTACAGTATCCCCAAGTAAGAGATGGAAAGCAAGATTTTCCATGACCACTTAAAACTGGCATAACTGTGTTTTTAAACAATGACTAATAATAACACATGTTAAGTGCTTAGGTACTTGGCATTGTACTAACTGTTTCCCCTACATTAACTTTGAATTAGGTATTATGATCAGCCACATTTTATAGCTGGGAAAGTAACCTACTAGGAGTTGCTATCCAATAACTGGTCTTTGAAGCCAGAAGTCCTTATTAATATACTCTATGGCTTTGTGGCCTGGAAGTGACCTTTCACAACTAATCAGAAGAAGGATGGTGAGTCATGCCCATTTCAACATTAAAGAAATGAACAAGGAGACAGTGTTTATACCCAGATCAGACATTAAAAGTATAACTATCTTGGTATAACTAATTCATCCCTAAGTGCTTGACTAGAGCCGTTGATGATGACTTTAAGCAAGCCCAGCCCCTGAAGTGGTCCACACTGAATAGGATTGTGGGGTTGGGGAGGAAAGCTCCTCCAGGCACAGCACCTCCTGCCTGTGGGTAAGCTGAGCAATCTTTCCTCATTTTAACGACAAGAAAATTGAGGCCTAGAAACATGAAATGACTCTTCCCTAAAGACCCTGAAGGCCTAGTTCAAACACCACCTCTTCCCTGATGCCTTCCCTGTCTCTCAGTTACTCTAGTGTGATTCATATGCTTAGTGCAGAGAACCTGCTCTGGTTGGCTGAATGGTTGATTCTCATGAGGTAGGTTAGATCGAAGCCATAACTGAGCAGCTACCTGTGGCCAAAGAAAAACTGCTTTACCACATGAGTGCAAGGCACGGCGGCAGCCCATTCTGCTTCTGCAGAAACATCTCAAACATGGAGCCTTCGAATTATGAGCATACTCTTCCACTTACATGGCCATATATAATACTTTCTTCCTTTTCCTCTCTCTCCAGCTCATAGAAATATTGAGACAAATCAGATTATGGGCTAAAATAAAAGCTTCCCCAAACTGAGCCTTACCTCATTGTGGCATTGGAATGAGAGAAGTTAGCCCTTCCCAATCCTTCCCTTTCTGGCTCTTCACTCCATTTTTGAATTGAGAATGGGCCATTATGGGCATCTTTTCGAGGATGGAAAAAGCCCAGGGAATGAGAGAGGGCAAAAGCAAAGAATAGGCAGAAATAGTTTTGTCCATAAACCTTTTATGTCTTCCTAAATGGTACATAATGTGGAAGAGGCACCCACACTTTGTCCATGTGTGTTGCAAAGTATGAAGGTCAACCAAGGTGGTTTGTGCCTTGAGACAGAAACAAATTGGGCAAAAATACAGTTACTTAAAATGAAGTCTGAGTTGGATGGGTCAGTAGCAAGGAGTCATTGCAGAAGGAGAAACTTAAAGTCAAATATTGTTTCGTAAAATGTTTCAGGAATAGAGGCTCATTGGGTGGAGAATGTTCTGGATGAAATAGCAAGAGAAGGGTGCACTTGTCCAGGTGCCAGCAGCACATTTCGGATTAAAGGATTACAAAATATCTGGGTTTTGGGTGGGGGGAATGCATAATATAGTTGGATCTTATGTTTTTGTTTACCCAGTCTGAAAATCTCTGCCTTAAATTGACCTATTTAGACCATGTACATGTAATATGATTATTGATATGGATGGATTTAAATCTATTATCT
The DNA here is from genome assembly GCF_000001405.40 of Homo sapiens. NCBI lineage: Eukaryota > Metazoa > Chordata > Mammalia > Primates > Hominidae > Homo > Homo sapiens. Next base: position 101,547,980 of record NC_000002.12, read on the forward strand.
TGCTACATATTTTATATCATCTGTTCTTTGTTCTCTCTCATTTTCCATCTTCTTTTGGATTAGTTGAGCATTTTTAAATAATTCCATTTTATCTCCTTTGTTGATTTATTAGCTAAAACTCTATTGTGTTTTAATGGTGATTGCTTTATGATTTAGCCTATCACAGTCTATCTTCAAGTAATATTATGTCACTTCAATAATAGCATGAGAAACTTACAACAATATATTTCTATTTCTCCTCTCCCAGCCTTTGTGCTATCGATGTCATACATTTTATACATGTTTAAAAGTACACAATATAATATTATTATTATTATTATTATTTTTTTTTGAGACGGAGTCTCGCTCCGTCGCCCAGGCTGGAGTGCAGTGGTGTAATCTCGGCTCACTGAAAGCTCTGCCTCCCAGATTCACGCCATTCTCCTGCCTCAGCCTCCTGAGTAGTAATTGTGGGACAACTTAAAAAAACCCCAATGTACGTGCAATTACTGTCCCTAAAGGGAGTAGGGGACAGAAAAAATATTTAATAAAATAATGGCCAAAATTTTGCTAAATTTGATGAAAACTATAAAGACACAAATTTAATCTTTCCTGTAGGTTCTCAAGCATATGAAACATAATTATAATAACTGTTTTAATGTTTTTATCTACTAATTCTATCATTTGTGTCATTTTGGGGTAGGTTTCCATTAATTACTCTCCCCTCATATTTTTCTCCTTCTTTGTGTGTCTGGTAATATTTAACTGAAGGGCAGACTTGAAGTTTACCTTTTGCGTTTTGGATATTTTTATATCCCTGTAAATATTGTTGAGCTTTGTTTTGACATGCAGTTAAGTTACTTGGAAATAGTTTTTCCCTTTCAGATTTTGCTTTTAAGATTTGGTAGGTAGGACTAGAGCTTTGGGTAGTCTAGTGATAATTTTGTCCCACTACTACCCTACTGTCCTACCCAACGATATATGCTCCACCAATACCCACTAACTTGACATTCACTCTTTCATCCAACAAGTGTTTATGGAGTGCATATGGGGTACCAGGCAAAACTCTTCTAAGTTCTCTATCTGATACTCCGTGAACCATGAGGTTTTTCACACTGGCTGGTGGGAACAGAAACTTTCCTGGCCCTGTGTGAGCTTAGAAGACTGTTCCCTCTAATGCTTCTGGGTAATACGCACCTGGCTTCTGGTAGTTTCCTTATATCCACATGCTGATTAATACTCAGTTGAAGACTTGTGGGAGCCTCCCTGCAGATTTCAAGAGTCTTTTTCATGTGCAGTTTTTTGGTCTTCAGTACTCTTCCCTGAAAACTCAGTCACCTTGGCCTCCCTGGACTCCCAGTTTCATCTACTCAACTCATGGAGATTATGGAGCCCCGCCTGGCTTCCCCTCCCTGTGCTACAGCTTGGACCCTCTCTGAAGGCAGTAAATTGGGGCACGTTTGTTTGTTTTTCCCTCTCAGTGATCCCTGTCCTTCATTCCTTGATGTCCAATGTCTTGAAAACATACATTTTGTTCAGTGTTTCAGTCTTTTCAAGTGGGTGGATAAGTCCAGCCTTGTTACTACATTTTGGCCAGAAGCAGAAGTTCATCTGTGTTTCTGGATGTGTTCCATCCATGAGGCTCACTCTGCTTGGTTTTGAGTGAGAAACAGATGAGGTTTCTTGACTCTATGGGTAAAGAACCTCAACACCCACTGCTAAGCAGGGCTAGAGAACACAGGTGCTTACATGAACAGGCCTGGAAACCTATTCTCTGTTCTATTTCTAATCTCAGTGATCTGACTGCTTCTCCAAGCCCAAACTAGCTTACTTGGCTCTTATTCTATATCTTGTTATAGCTTCTGGTAAACCACATTTATTTAACATTTTCCTCGTCCTCCTAGAGAGCAGAAAATCTCTTGCTAAAACCAGTCTCTACTGTCCTATGCAACAATATATACCCCATCAATACCCACTAGCTTGACATTCACTCTTTCATCCAGCAAGTGTTTATGGGATGGCTGTGGTGTACCAGGCATTCTGCTAAATATTAGGAATATAATTGTAAGCAAATGTAGACACTACCCCTGCTTGCATGGAGTTATTTTAGATGTTTTCTCATCACAATAATCAATAAACATTGAATTTTACACATTTGGCCTATCTGATTCTAAATATAACCATAATGATTACTGTATATAAGCACTTTACTCTCTGTTCCATTATTTAGTACCCTCAGTTGGAGTGAGACCCTGAACATTTAAGTTAACTTTAAAGACTGTTCCAAACCATGGCATTTCCTGGGCATATCAATTTACTGCAAAGGCTATCGGGGCTCAGTTATCCAATTTTGCTCATAGATCTTGAACTAGAAACTGGGTTTCCTTGTCTAGTTCCCATGTTTTGAAAAATCCCCACTGAGCTTTAATTTCACCACTCAGGATCTGTTTAGGCATCTACTCAGAAAAGCTGTAACATGAAAGGCCATCACTCAGTCATTGAATTGAAACAATAAATAACTCAGCTGATACCAGCCATTTCTTGGCCTTGTCCCTCCACCAAGCTTGTGATTCCTAGGGTGGAAAGTTTGAGTCCTTATTTTCTTTTTTTCATTCCTTTGTCCTGAACCATCACAGCCACCTCACACCTACCCCACCCCCTAATATGCACCCACTTATTAGGAAGGAACATTCCTACCCCACTCCTCCTATTACCTGTGAGTTGATGTCTTCTTGAGCAGTACTCCTGGTCTGTTACTATCCCTTACTCACTCTTCCGCAGGCTACATGATTCATGAGTGACAGCAATTTGTCCATGTCCTCCACTGGGAGGATCTAATCTGTTAAAAGCCTCTAAGCCCTGAAGTATCAACCTCTCTTCTTCCCTGTCTGCCCCAGGCCAGTGTGAAGTACGATCTTGGCTTAGAGGGTATGCTTGCAAACGCATGCTTCTCCTAAGTGGACTTTCCACTGGATCTGGGTGTAGGGATGTGTGTGATGGAGTGATGGAGAGTGTGTTAGCAAGCTAGCTTGGGTTGATTACCTATGCCACATCCTCCATCCTAGTTTTTATCAGTAATAAATCTGCCCTGTTGATCTCCAGCTGCTGATCCCTTCATCTACCATTCAGTTGAGTCTACACTCAAGAAAAGAAGGAAGCATTTCTCCTGGAGTCTTACCTACAAGTGGACAGGTGACAAGTGGCAGTAACTGGACAGGGAAAGATCGCTTACACAGGTGACAACCACTAGGACACATGGTCTGCATGAATGAATGAGGGGAGTCAACAAAATCCAGTGCCCCTGACACTGAAAGGCAGCAATGCACACACAAAATGAGCCCCTTGTTTGCTGGTGGCTGCTCATCCTCACACTTGCTCTGAGTTGAGGACAGGGGTGTGGATGGCGGGGACGTTGGGAGTTTGGACGGAGCAGAGATGGAGCTGCTATCCAGGAAACATCTTGACCCTGTGATCCCACTCTGCACTTACAGGCTCGGCTTCCTGGATGCAACATGAGGGATTCTGTGTGAAAAGTTAAATACAACTTTTGGTTTAGTGTTTCTGGACAGGAAGTGCAGTTTGAAAGTGAGGAAGATGAAAAACATATTGACAAAGGAGACACAATCATGAAAATTGAGCCCAAGGGAAAACCAGAGCCTTTATTCTGAACACTGAGAAGACTATTGAAGGTATGGTGTTTTGTGGTGATGGTTGTTTCTGGTTTTGTTTTAGGGCAGCCTGAAACAGGATGTGATGCAGGACTGGAACAATCCAAACTTCAGTTTTCTCTGAGCAAAACATCACCCTTGACCTAGGGAGAAACTGCAGAAACAGAGTATTTAACGATTTCTTATAACTTTTGCTGCATATGCTGGGGATGGCTTTTTCATCTTTAAATACCAGCACATTAATTTTATTTCAAACACCAATACTTGAAGGCTTCTGATGGTAATGGAGGTTAAATGGCTTTCATCTGTCATGAAAGACAATGGGTTTCTTTTGTTGATAGCCTTATTGCCTGCTTTCTGTATGTCCACACTGCAGAGTGTGTGTCACAGAGACCTAGAAACAAACACAGTTCTCCTGTTTCCATTTGGAATCTATGTGCCGTTTCCCTAGTTCTGTGCATGTGCCCAGTTCCTCATTAGCCCTTCACACAATGAGCCAACACCAATTCATACTCCAGACGTGAATCAATAACTTTATAGCCTTGGTTCTTAAACTTTATACCTTGGAAAATGTCAAATATATACCAAGCCAGAGAGGAATCTCCCACTGAACCGCCACGTGTCCATAAGCAGCATCTACAATGACCGTCTATATCCCCACCAGCTCCCCGCTGCCTAGTTGATTTTGAAGCAAATCCCAAATATCACATCGTTTCATCTGTAAAGATGTCATTATGCATCTTAAAAATACAAGGACTCTAGGCCGGGCGTGATGGCTCGCTCCTATAATCTCAGCACTTTGGGAGGCCGAGGTGGGCAGATTGCCTGAGGTGAGCAGTTCAAGACCAGCCTGGCCAACATGGTGAAACCCGTCTCTACTAAAAATACAAAAAATTAGCCAGGTGTGGTGGCGGGCACCTGTAATCCCAGCTACTTGGGAGGCTGAGGCAGGAGAATTGCTTGAACTCGAGAGGTGGAGGTTGCAGTCAGCCAAGATTGCATCACACCATTGCACTGCAGCCTGGGTAACGAGCAAAACTCCATCTCAAACAAACAAAAAATGCAAGGACTCTTTAAAACTACCCAGAATACCATGTTCACACCAAAAATCTTAACAATAATTTCTAACGTTTCAAATGTCTTCATTGGATTGTTTTGAAGCAAATGACAGGCATCCTAACATTTCATCAATTAATAATTCAGTCTGTCTCTCTCTAAAAGACCTACCTTTTTTTTAAGGCAAAATCACAATATCATTATCATGCTTTAAAAAACCATTAATCCCTAAAATAATCAAATGTTCAGTCAATATATACATTTTCCTGATGTTCTCATAAATGTTATTTTAAAGTTGAGTTGTTTGAATCTGGATTCAAATTAATTAATTAATTAATTAATTTATTTATTTATTGAGATGGAGTTTTGCTCTTGTTGTCCAGGCAATGGCACGATCTCAGCTCACCACAACCTCTGCCTCCTGGGTTCAAGCTGGGATTACAGGCATGCAACACCGTGCTTGGCTAATTTTGTATTTTTAGTAGGGACGGGGTTTCTCCATGTTGGTCTGGCTGGTCTCAAACTCCCAACCTCCGGTGATCTGCCCGCCTTGGCCTCCCAAAGTGCTGGGATTACAGGCATGAGCCACCACGCCCATCTTATTTATTTGTTTATTTATGTCTCTGTCACCCAGGCTGGAGTACAGTAGTGCAATCTCAGCTCACTGCAACCTCTGCCTCCCGAGTTCAAGCGATTCTCCTGCCTCAGCCTCCTGAGTAGCTGGAATTACAGGCGCCCACCACTACGCCCATCTAATTTTTGTATTTTTAGTAGAGACGGGGTTTCACCATGTTGGTCAGCCTGGTCTTGAACTCCTGACCTCAGGTGATCCACCCACCTCAACCTCCCAAAGTGCTGGGATTACAGATGTCAACCATCGCTCCCAGCTTGAATCTGGATTCAAATAAATCTATGTGTTGCATTTGATAGGTAGGTCCCTTACATTTCTTTTGATTTGTGTGTTCTCCTTCCCTCTCATTCCATCAAATAATTGATTTGTTGGAAAACATGTCCATAGTTGGATTTTTAAAGATTACAGTCCAATAGTGGTTTTTTCCCCCTTATCTTACCTTTATTCTTTTTATTAAAGAAAGCTTTATTGAGGCATGCTTGACATACAATAACTGCACATATTTAAAGTATATCATTTGATAAGTGTTGACATATATATGCACTGAAAAACCATCAGCAACAGTCAAGGTAATGAAAGCATATGTCACCCCCAAATACAAGGTAATGAAAGCATATGTCACCCCCAAATACATGTAGCTCTCTGAGTTTGGGCACACGCTTAGCTTCTCCCTGACTCAGTTTCTTTTCTGTAAAATGAGTGCATGTAAAGGATGAGTATATGGAACTAGATGATCTTTAATGCCCCTTGCTTGTCTAAATATCTATTAATCTTTCCTCTTTGGCTCATCACTCCATCAGATATTAGGAATAGATACATGTGAGCCCAAAGTTTTAGCTCTGTAAATAAAATCCACAGCTGAAAGCTATAGGTTAATTCAGTTTTTTGTATCTCATAGGTCTTTTCTTTAATTAAAAGAAAATAGGAGGCTCTCTAGCTGCTTTCTCTCCAGTATACCAGAAAGATGTATAAATTGGTTACTCATTGCTGAAAACTGGCATATTTCTATTTCAGTTCTAGCATCGCATGGTTTCCACCCTGAGCCTTTTCGAAGCATTGCCTTTTTTGAAAATAGAGTGAATGTAACGTGGGTTCACGACCCTGGAGGCTCTAATCATTCTCCAACACAGGAAAGCACAGAGACGAAGAATCAAACTCCTCCCAGTGAGAAGTTCAGGTGGTGCTGATTTTAAAACATTCAAGGGATGATCAAAATGAACACAGCAGGAGAGTATGTAAGGCCGATGAAACAGAAGCCAAGGCTGTTTGAATAAAGTGATATTTATATATATTAAGGTCTAGGCAGAGACTGGTGACAGGGCATGAGCAAATTTGGACCTACAGTACTAATAAAAAGTGATGAAGGCCAGGCATGGTCATTCACGCCTGTAATCACACCACTTTGGGAGGCTGAGGCAGGTGCATCACCTGAGGTTAGGAGTCCGAGACCATCCTGACCAACATGGTGAAACCCCATCTCTACTAAAAATACAAAAATCAGCTGGGATTGGTGGCATGAGCCAGTAGTCTCAGCTACTCCAGAGACTGAGGCAGGAAAATCACTTAAACTCGGGAGGTGGAGGTTGCAGTGAGCCGAGATCGCACTATTGCACTCCTGCCTAGGCGACAGAGTGAGACTCTGTCTCAAAACAAAAACAAAAACAAAAACAAAAAAACAAAAAACAGTATGCTGAAAATGTCCCTGGTGAACTCTAAAGCCTTGTTAGTAATATAGTGGCTTGTTTATTTACTCACACACTTGGTGCCAGGTAGCTGGTAGGTCTAGGAATACTAAAATACACAATCCATGGCCACAAGGAACTCATTTTCTTAAGGTGGATAAATGTGTACTTGAATCTCTAAAAAACTAAGCAACCTGTACTTCGGGCTCAGTTTACCTCCCTGAGAGGGTTAGACTTCAAGATCTCAAAGACAAAATACCCAGACAATTCAGATGGAAGCTAAAAGCTTCATTTTATTGCAACCTTGAGCATATCTGTCTTTACTGTAAGGGTCTTTGATTCAAAGATGTCACATTGAGGCTGGGCGCGGTGGCTAACGCCTGTAATCCCAACACTTTGGGAGGCTGAGGCGGGCAGATCATGAGGTCAGGAGATCAAGACCAGCCTGGCCAATGTGGTGAAACCTCATCTCTACTAAAAGTACAAAAATTAGCTGGGCATGGTGGTGCATGCCTATAATCCCAGCTACTCAAGAGGCTGAGGTAGGAAAATTGCTTAAACCAGAGAGTCAGAGGTCGCAGTGAGCCGAGATCGCACCACTGCACTCCAGCTTGGCGACAGAGACTCCATCTCAAAAAAAAAAAAAAAAAGATATCACATTGATAATTCATCATTCATCCATCCATTCATTTATCCATCTCTTCATTCATTCATTCATTCATTCTTCTAGTGCCTCCAGCCTTCTGGAAACAGTTCCGTCTCCCTGGAAATCTTTTCACATTGTTTCCCTGCCTAATTTCTACTCGTGTTCAGATGTCAATTTAGGCATCTCTTGCTCTGGGAGGCCTCTCTGACCTCTAAGTCTTAATTAATACTCTTCTTGATTCACCCATCACCACGCTGGTCAAGTGCCTGTTACTCCTTAGTAACCACCCAACTGCACCATGCAGTAGGAAAGTATTAATAATTGCAGGCTATATCACTTAGCTGTTTCTGCATTTTAAAAAAATCCCCAAGTGAATGCCTTAGAACGACAACCGTCTACTGAGCTCAGAACTCTAGGCTGGTCGGCTGGTTCTGCTGTGTGCTGGCCTGACTGGTCTTACCGGGATCACTCATGATCTGTGGTCAGCTGGGAGCTGGGTGATCTAGGGGCCTCATCCCGGTGGCTCGGCTCTGCTCTGTGTGGTCTCCCCACCCTGCAGTCAGGCCTGGGAGTGTTCTCAAGGAGGTCATGTTCCAACAGAAGCAGAATGGCAGCTGCAGGCCTCCTGAGGCCCTGGCTCAGAACATGCACTGCCTCCCTCAGGCTGTCTGCTGGTTCCAGGTCGCAAGGTCATTTCAGATCAAAGGGCTCAGGAAACAACTTCACCTGTTGATGGGAGAAGATGCAAAATACTGTGGCCACTTTTGCACTCTACAGCTCTGATTTAAAAACCGAGATTGTATTCCTCAGGGAAAGAGCTGTGCTTTGTAAAATAAGGAAAGGAATCCTCAGGGAACTGTCACGATAGGCTGGGATGAGCAAAGAGAATTAAGTTGCTTGGAATAAAAATCTTATAAAAATTTTGTTTTTAATTTTCATTGATGGCCGGGCAAGGTGGCTCAAACCTGTAATCCCAGCACTTTGGGAGGCTGAGGCAGGTGGATCACCTGAGGCCAGGAGTTTGAGACCAGCCTGGCCAACATGGTGAAACCCCGTCTCTACTAAAAATACAAAAAATTAGCTGGGCATGGTGGTGTGTGCCTGTAATCCCAGCTCCTTGGGAGGCTGAGGCAGGAGAATCCCTTGAACCCAGGAGATGGAGGTTCCAGTGAGCCAAGATTGTACCATTGCACTCCAGCCTGGGTGACAGAGCGAGACTCCGTCTCAAAAAAAATTTCCATCGATCGTGGCCAGGAAGTGGGAGAGCCCCGAGGAGCAAGAAGAGGGCTGAGAACTCCAGTGAGTCCTCCGTGAGGGCTGGTGCATGCCTCACACACTCAAATACCTTCCAGCGGATCTTGACCAGAGTTTCCCTGCACAGCCAGGCCTGGGACACTTGGGAGAAAAAACGGAAACGGAAGTATCAGGCAACGTGACAGGAGGTGGCAGAGGAGACTTGAGGACATCCAGGAACCTACACCTGTGCTGCCCCTGATTTGTTCCTTTAACACAGCCAGTTTTGGGGGACATTTCTGGATTCTATATTTTTGCTTTAAGCAGTGCTGTCTTTTTTGTCTTATCATGCAAAATCTCAAACATGTACATAAGTAGGCAGAACCTCATAAATCCTCATGCACTCAAATCCCTGCTCCCACCATGTGTAATTCAAGGCTCTCTTGCTTCATCTGTGCACCCATCTCCTGCCCACCACATTGTTTGAGGCAAATCCAGGATCTCTTCTCTGTAAACATTTCAATATATCCTTCTAAAAGAAAGGCAAATATTTTTAAAATGTGTAAACACAATACTGTTATTACAACGTTAAAATTTGACAATGGTTCCTTAACATAATCAAATATCCAGTTAATGTTCAAACCTCCCATTGTCTCCATAATAAGGTCTGAACATTGCAAGTGATTGATGTTTGAAGTCGTTAATAGAATGACCCTCTGATATTCCCGCCCCCACTTCTGTACTTTCTAATATACTTATTGAAGAAACTAGGTAATTTGTCCAGAGTTTCCCGTGGTCTAGATATTGTGAGTGGCAATTTTTTGCAGCCATTTAACATGTTCATCTGTCTCCCGGATTTCTTGTCGATGGGTGATTGTATCCAGAGGTTTGATTCACTTGTTTTGAGAGAACAATTTCATAGGTGATGTTAAGGACTACCCTGTTTTTCTCAATTTTATTTTCAAAATTCTTACCCTATGAAGGGGTGCTGATAAATGCTACCCCTTTTATTTTCAAAGATTTTCCCCCCAGATTCATGGCTTTAAAATCCTGTGCCTCAAAAATTCTGTGCTTCAAATTTGTTAATTGGTGGTGGTTTTTTTTTTTTTTTGAGACGGAGTCTTGCTGTGTCGCCCAGGCTGGAGTTGGAGTGCAGTGGCATGATCTTGGCTCACTGCAAGCTCTGCCTCCCAGGTTCACACCATTCTCCGGCCTCAGCCTCCCGAGTAGCTGGGACTATAGGCACCCACCACCACACCTGGCTAATTTTTTGTATTTTTAGTAGAGACGGGGTTTCACCGTGTTAGCCAGGATGGTCTGGATCTCCTGACCTCGTGATCCGCCCACCTCGGCCTCCCAAAGTGCTGGGATTAGAGGTGTGAGCCACCGTTTTTCAGACAGAGTCTTGCTCTGTCACTCAGGCTGGAGTGCAGTGGTGCTATCTCGGCTCACTGCAACCCCCGCCTCCTGGGTTCAAGCGATTCTCCTGCCTCAGCCTTCTGAGTAGCTGGGATTACAGGTGCACACCACCACACCCAGTCAATTTTTTACATTTTTGGTAGAAACAGGATTTCACCATGTTGGCCAGGCTGGTCTCGAACTCCTGACCTCAGGCAATCTGTCTGCCTTGGCCTCCCAAAGTGCTGGGATGATAGGTGTGAGCCACTGCGCCTGGCCTGGTTTCTTGAATAAATAAAATGTTCACAATCTTTTCCTCCCAATTAATGAACGATTTTTAGCTTTTCCGCGTTAAAATAGGGAGTGAAGAATACACATGATTTTTGAAATGCCACAGCAATAAATTTCCAAATCAGTTTAGTTTGGAAGAGAAATCAGTGTGCATGTGATCTAACTTCCAGCACTCAGCACTAAGCCTTTATGAGAAGACCTCGGGAAAGGTCCAACACACTGGTGTGAGCAGTTAACTGGAAACCACTGGTTAAAGGGAAAGAAAACTGCAGCCACAGGGAGATGTGGATACTGGCCAAGGAAAGAGTGAGAGAAAGACGCTTGTCAGAAACTTCTGGCATCCAATGTCAGCATCAGCCATCTAAACAAGATATTTCTGTCTCTGTTGGCCATGAGTAAATATTCGGGTTAGCTAGCAGCTATTCATGAGCTTATTGTTAGTTAAGAGTTAGAAACTTAGACATGGCATGTGTTTGTAAACACATGTGCGGTCATAGTTTACATCATCTCTTTAAATAGAATCGTGTTCCCTATCTGAACTATGCAGCCATGAAGGCTGGGAAAGCAATCCTTTTTTATTCTGCACTTCAAGTAACAATCTGAAAAAAAAAAAAATTCCATGACTTTGGAACTGGTTCTAGCACCAACTATGAAGAGAGAAAATGCAAACTAGAGCAGCCCCTTCTTATCAAAATTCCCATGGATGTGCACCTAGCAGCGTGGAGCTGTCCTCTGGAGAAAAGGCCAGTCTAACTGTCGTGCCTATATATAGAAGCCAAGAAGAGAAAGTGATCCGTGGGCCTTGATCTGAAGGATATCAGAAGGCAGTCCTGAAATTTAATATGCCCTCAGCCTCTCCCTCCGGGTCTCTTTGTTTGATTTTTATGAGAATCTGTATGAGGGCTCTATCTCATTCTCTTTTTTCATTCTTCTTTTAAAAGAAACTATAGTATTGTCTTATTTTTAGGATATAGGAAGCAATAGGCAGAGGTGGCTTCCATGGAGAAGCAGTAAAAGGCTGCATTTTAACTTGATACTATGAAAGTTTGGAAACTAATGACACTGCTGTTTGATCGCTGATTCCTGCTTAAAACAGCCCCAGATTAGGTGTGGTGCAAATGAAAATGCCCTCCAGCCACCTCTACTCCTGCCAGCCACAGTTGGAGGGTGGAGTGTACAGAAGAATTGTAGGGCAGTGGAACTCTGGGCTGGGAGCCTGCATTCCTTGACCACGAACCGGATGTGTGAGCTGGACTTGGGTTTCCTCTGTCGTAAAATAGGGGGTTGAACCAGGTACAGTTGGCCATCCGTATCCACAGCTTCCGAATCCAGATTCCACCCACTGCATATTGAAAATACTCAGAGTTCAGGCACAGTGGCTTACGCCTGTAATCCCAGCACTTTGGGAGGCTGAGACAGGCGGATCACTTGAAGTCAGGAGTTCAAGACCAGCCTGGCCAACATGGTGAAACCCTGTCTCTACTAAAAACACACAAAAAAATTAGCTGGTGTGATGGCACACACCTGTGAACCTGTGATCCCAGCTACTTGGGAGGCTGAGGCAGGAGAATTGCTTGAACCCAGGAGGTGGAGGTTGCGATGAGCCAATACCGCACGGCTGCACTCCAGCCTGGACGACAGAGCAAGACTGTCTCAAAAAAAAAAAAGGAGCCAACCTGTATGCACAGAGGACATATGAGTCCTCACAAGATGGGGGGCCTCTGTATCACCTTCAGGAGAAGCAGACACAGCCTGACCATGGGTGAGGCCCACGAGTAGGAGAGAAGAGTTGTTAGAACCTCCCTTCCCCTCCATTCCCAGTGTTTCCCTGCTGCACTCCACCGTGCAAACCGTGTGGTTTCCATGCTGCTTCCATGGTAGCAGCAAACCGTGTGGTCCTGCTGAGAGAGTAGAGAAATAGGTCACAAAACAACTAGGATTCATCCATCTGCCCCTACAACTCTGGCATGTGTTGAGTTGAATCGTGTCCCCCAAAATTCCCTTGTTGAAGTCCTAACCCCCAGGATCTCAGAATGTGGCCTTATTTGGAAATAGTGTTATTGCAGATGCAATCAGTTAAGATGAGATCATACAGGAGTAGTATGGTCCCTGGTCAGTCCCTACTCCAATATGACTGAAGCCCTCATAGGAAGGGGAAGTGTGTGTACACACACACACACACACACACACACACACACACACACACATGCAGGACACTGTGTAAAGACTGGAGTTCTGCTGCCAAAGCCAAGGAAATACTAGAAATGAGGGAAGACTCCTGGAACACATCCTTCCCTAATGCCTTCAGAGGGAGCCTGGCTTAGCCGACACCTCAGTCTTGACTTTCTGGCCTCCGGAACCATGAGTCTCATTGTTCATTCCCATGGTTCTAAGCCACCCAGTTTGTGATGCTTTGTTACAGCAGCCCTGGAGAACTAATACAAACTTCAACCCATTTTGCTTGACTTCCTGTGAAAGCCAATGTTTTTCTGAAGACAGAAGAAACTTCCAGTGCTGCAGGAAACACCACCACTGACTAACAGTTTAACCACTCTAAACCCCAACTTCCTCATCTGTACAAAAGAGAAGACAGGGCCTACTTGATGGAATGGATGTGAGGATAAATGTAACCTTGACCGTAAAGCATCTAGCCTAGGCCTGGGCACACTGGAAGTTCTCAGTAAATGGTGGTGGTTTTGTTAGTCTTAGTTCACGTATGGATATGGGTGTGCTCGGTTAGTGGTCGGAGCTGGGTGGAGCACCAGGCACCAGGGGAGGGGCCTGGGTTGGGGGCTGGAAAAGTAGGAGAAGCCAGATGATAAAGCTGAGGAGGATGCTGGTGGAGCCTCCTAGCCCAGCACCCCTTCAGGGGTCCCTGGCTCGTCTGTGTCCTTGCCTGCCTCTGCCTCGTCTTCATCCCCCTTTCCTGTTGACTGTTGTGCTGAAGAGGACAGGAATGTATGTGTATTGTAGTTCATGGCCATCCTATTTATGGGCAAAATAAGTTGTATCAAACCACCCAATTGGTAGGACCCAGCTTATAATAATATTTGTTGAACAAGTGAATGAGTGAATGAGCAAATGAATGCATAAATGTGTATCTCTTGGCTCCATGGACACAGATATCTGATCCCAGCAACCTGATGAAAAGTAGGATTGTCTTGGCCAGGCACGGTGGCTCACGCCTGTAATCCCAGCACTTTGGGAGGCCAAGGCGGGTGGATCACAAGGTCAGGAGTTCAAGACCAGCCTGGCCAAGATGGTGAAACCCTGTCTCTACTAAAAATACAAAAAAATTAGCCGGGTGTGGTGGCACGCGCCATAGTCCCAGCTACTCGGGAGACTGACGCAGAGAATTGCTTGAACCCGGGAGGCGGAGCTTGCAGTGAGCTGAGATCGCGCCACTATACTCCAGCCTGGGTGACAGAGCGAGACTCTGTCTCAAAAAAAAAAAAAAAAAAAGTAGGATTGTCTTGACCCCACTCATTCAAATGGTAGCTACTCCACCTTCCAACTCAGATTTGAGAGGTTTTAGCAGTGACATGAGGAGAAATCATGTAAACATGAGAAGAATGCCACCCAACTTAAGCCTCTTACCACATGGACTATTTTAATAGCTCAGCATAACTTTCTAGGCTGACTTGTAGGCCCTCGAACGCTGGCTGGGTTTCCCCTCTCTCCCTCATGCTCGTCGGCCTCACGCCGCCAGCTCACCTGAGGATTCACCATGCTGCCTGTCCACACATTCGCTCTCTCAGTGTAAATCCTGGAAGTCAGCACCCCTTGACATCCCCCGTGCTTGCCACACAAGGAAGAGGCATAAAAATAACAGGAGAATCCCTCCCTCCCTTCAGATCAGATTCACTTTGATGGCTTTTCCTCTCCATGATGTTAAACTTAAACTTCGTAATTCCACATCCCTGCCTGCTTGGACTTCCAGGCCTGTTTGCTCCATCCTGGCTCACCTGTAGCCCATGCACGTCAATGGCACCTGCAGATTTCCCGCCTGTGTCCCCATGCTGTAGTTCCAGAGCCCTGCTCTGTTCTCCTATAATCGGACTCTCCCAACCCAGCTGCCTATGATTCCTGGGGCCCTCATTGCCCCTAGGACACTCAGGCTGCTCTGTCTTTTTGGCATGATCCCTCCTCTTCCCCAGTCTTGCTCTTCACTCATTTCAAACACCTGCAAAACGTACCCTCTCCACTTCCCACTTCAGCTCACACCTCTGTTCCATCCCGGCCTGGAGTCCACTTGCAGTGGACTCAGACGCATTTATTTATACAGAACCCAGAGGGTCAGCCCCTATTTTCCCATTAGGATTATCTGCATCTTCAGAAGACACATTTTAACTCTGTTTTCAATTATTTCATGTCTTTGTGCTTAGTAGAGAAGAATCTAAATTGATCAATGTATGCAAAGTACAGCCAGGACCAGTTATTCTATCACTGGGATGGCGAATAAATTTCCACCTGCATGCCAACCCCGATGGTTAACAAAGGTGCTGCAGTGCTGAGTGTTGGAGATTAGAAGAGTCTAGGTTCACATCGAGGCTCGGTGGGGAAGACTGTGACCCCCTAGTGACACCCCTCGGGCCACAGGGGAAGGGAGCTGCCTGCAGGTCACATGTTTGCCAACCCCTGTCCACTAGATCTGTCTCCCTTCATGAGCTCACTTTAGGAAAGGGAGATTTTTGTGGCTTTTATGGGTTGGAAGTTTCTGGAGTTGACAGGGAACCACAGGAGTTGCTTAGTTGAAAATAATCTTTGTCTCTAATGTTGAACTTGCTCTCATCTGAGATCCAGGGCTGGCTGGAAAGATGAGTAAAGCAGGGGGCAAAATGAGAGCCCTTGACCCCTGCAAGAGCCATCATTTACTCAGGAGCTTTTGAACACAGTAGCATTCTAGCAGAAATGAGCCTTGACAAGTTGGTTTTTTTTTTTTTTTTTTGAAATGTAGTTTCACTCTTGTCGCCCAGGCTGGAGTGCAATGGCGTGATGATCTCAGCTCACTGCAACATCTGCCTCCCAGGTTCAAGTGATTCTCCCACGTCAGCCTCCTGAGTAGCTGGGATTACAGGCACCTGCCACCATGCCCAGCTAATTTTTGTATTTTTAGTAGCGATGGGGTTTTGACATGTTGACCAGGCTGGTCTCAAACTCCTGACCTCAGGTGAACCGCCCACCTTGGCCTGACCAAAGTGCTGGGATTACAGGCGTGAGCCATCATGCCCCGTTGACATGTCGGATTCTTTAAAGAGAAATTGTCTCTAGACAGCAGAATATGGACTGCCCACTCAGCCCAGATATCTCTCAATAATAATAATAATAATAGAAGAAGAAGGAGAAGGAGGAGGAGGAGAAGGAGCAGAAGGAGAAGGAGAAGGAGAAGAAAGGAGAAGGAGAAGGAGAAGAAGAAGAAGAAGAGGAGGAGGAGGAGGAGGAGGAGGAGGACGAAGAAGAAAAGGTTCTTTAAAGTGAGACCTTAAGGAAGTTATGACTGACTGACCCTTACTATGTAGACCCGCTTTTTTTTTTGGAGACAGTGTCTTGCTCTGTTGTCCAGGCTGGAGTGCAGTGGCGTGATCATAGCTCACTGCAGCAATGAACTTCTGGGCTTAAGTGATCCTCCTGCCTTAACCTCCTGAATAGCTAGGACTACGGGTGCACACCACCATGCCCAGCTAATTTTTTTAGTTTTATTTTTGTAGAGATGGGGGTCTCACTATGTTCCCCCAGGATGGTCTTGAACTCCTAGCCTCAAACAATCCTTTGATCCTCCCTCCTCAGCCTCCCAAAGGGCTGGGATTACAGGCATGAGCTGCTGCTCCCTTAGAGACCTGCTTTTTCACATAAATTTTAAGTTCCTAAAACAGACTGTCCGGCTCCTCAGGTAGCTCTTAACCTTGAGTTCCTCCAGTCACCTTGGGCTAGCTCTGGTCCAGCCCCAGCCCTCTTCAGCAGTGCCCTTGACCTTGTCTCTCACCCTTGTCTCCTGCGTTCTAGAGGTCCTGGGCTATTCACTCCTGGCTTCAACCCTTCCTTACCCTTGACTCTGGCTTACTCACAACCAGTGCTATCCATAAGGAGTGAATCCCTATTGCTTTATTTCTACAAAATGTTGCTGCCTTTTAAAGGCCTCTGCCAGCTCCTGGCTGCAGCATGGGTAACTGGAGTTCTGTCATTGAGTAGTCAATGTCCACATTCTTACCCAAAATGCTATTCTGGGAGGGGGTGTGGAAACTCCTCTGGAGAGGGATGGTCATTTCCTGTTTGGAAGGGGAGACTGGTTGCTCCATGTAATACTTTCTTTGCCATGCAATGAATATCCCCTCACCCCACAGTACCCTTCCTCATAAGAGAGCCCTTTTCCATCACTTCCTGCCTAGAAGCCTCTATCTTACACTTGGAGGCATCATTTCGTGCTCCCTGTTGCCAGAAATGGGTCCTGGTGGCATCTGGAAAGAAGGAGGAGGAGTTAACCCATAAGAACCCTAGAGAGTGGGAAAACAGAAAAAGGAAAGCTCTCTTTCCCAACCTTTTAAACTCTTAAATGGCAAGGAAGAATAAAGAACGCTCACCCTGTGATGAAACAGCTCTTCTCAAAGATCAAAATTTCTCTTTTCCTTTGAGGGTTTTTAATCAAACACTAAAAATAAATGGATCTCTTTAGTTATATTTAGGCAAATATCACACAATGCCTCCATTTCTTTTCTTTTTCCATTTTCAAATGAGGATCTGTAAAGAAAAAAGGAAAAGTAAAAATTCCCCTAAACCTGAAGCAAAGATTTATATCAACATGTTTATCAGAGACCAAGCTAAAATCAATCATATATGTAATCACACTAACATATTTGTAACATCTTGATTTGACTAATTAAGAAAACTTTTGGCCGGGCGCAGTAGCTCACACCTATAATTCCAGCACTTTGGGAGGCCAGGGCAGGTGGATCATGAGGTCAGGAGTTTGAGACCAGCCTGGCCAACATGGTGAAACCCCGTCTCTACTAAAAAGACAAAAATTAGCTGGGCATGGTGGCACATGTCTGTAATCCCAGCTACTCAGGAGGCTGAGGTAGGAGAATTGTCTGAGCCTGGGAGGCGCAGGCTGCAATGAGCTGAGATCATACCACTGCACTCCAGCCTGGGTGACTGAGCGAGACTCCGTCTCAAAAACAGAAAGAAAAGAAAAGAAAAGAAAAGAGAAAAGAAAAGAAAACTTTTAAGCAATTTCATTCCCCTTCACTCCCATATACCTGTATTTTGGAACAGGTATATATCGTCTCCACTTCAACTTTTTATTTGAGTTTTAACCAATCACGAGCACTTAGCATTCTTCCATGGGCTGCGTTTGTCTGAGATCAGCTTCGCAATGCTCTGCAGGGAGACTGAGTGTCAATGCTCTCTGATGCACCTGCCTCATGGGAATGGATTTTTCCCCCCTTTGAACAATTCCTGAATAACCTAGAATTGGAAGCTTGTCCTGGGGAAAGCAGATGACTAGTCATTAGCAGAGGTTAAGGAGAAGTTCTCCTTCCTCCAGCTATCTCAGCAGCTGCCCAAAAGGCAGAATAGATTGACCTCCACCAGTCTTCTCCCAGCATTACACGTACACCTGCCGTGGTTCTTGACATCACTCCGGGCTTTGGTGAGGCCCCTGCTTAGTTTTATCTGTTGATCATAAACAAGTGGTAATTCCACTTCCAAGCACTGAAAAACAACTTCCTTTTCCAAATTTTTCAGTTGCTATTTCCCAGGATGGAGTTTAAAAGGAAATGGTTGGAATAGTCCAGGTTTGAGCTCAAATCTTGGGTACCCGTGCTGATGGGATGGCAGGGTCTAGCCTAGAGGAGTTATGGAAGGTGCATATTTGCACTTTTGATTGTGAGCAAGCAGTGCTGCGTTGGATGAACAGAAAGACATTGCAAAACCAAAATATCTTAGATGAGTAGTGATTAGAATTCACAGGCACTGAGAATGTGTATGATTTCTCCTCTATTGTTAAAAAGGAAGCTCTCAATCTTGGAATATTGCATTAGTAGGTCCCAGGAAGGAGGTGTGATAAAACCCAAAGGATAGAAGTTAACTCTTCCTAGAGATAGCACTGAAAGCACTAACCTAGTGCTATTAAGTGCTGAAATGCTTTCTGTTTAGACTTCAAAGAGGCTCAAGGACAGAGCAGCTGTGCCCTGGCAGCATCTCCTTTGATAACCAGACCCCTCACCCCAGTGCGCCAAGGGCAAGCCAACAACCTGTGTGCAGAGGGAAGGGAGAATATCACTGATAAAATGCCTTCCGGACAACAGAGACTGTGGACAAATATGAAAGATCAATACCTAGGTTCTATCTGATACGGGATCAAAGCAGCCAGACAGTTTACACACAAGCAAATATAATGAATCAATGCATAGCCGCAATTTCAGAAATGTAAATATACATTTTTATGATAGCCTGAAGGACCTATAAAGCTAGCAAACAAGAATGTAAATATCCAGCTTAGTCAAATTCTAAGTCGGTTTGATCATTCAGGACAACAGTGTGGCAATATGCATAATAAAGAACTGTCAATGTGATTCGTGACCTCTAGCCCAACACCCTACTTTGGGTAGGTATTTTCTCCTGTTTACACTGCAGAAAAAAATTATTTATTTACAATTGTAAAAGATAGGGATTCTTTCAGATGCTCAAGAATGGGGAATTGGTTATATAAATACAGACCCCCAGTAAAGTGTTACCGGCAAGGATTCTGTAACGGTCTGCAGCAACCTCAATTTTTGCCTCCTCAGAAGAAATAATCCAACCGAGGGGCATAAGTCAGAGTTAGAGACTGAGGCAAGTTTTAGAGCAGGAATGAGAGTTTATTAAAAAGCTTTAGGCCAGGCGCGGTGGCTCAAGCCTGTAATCCCAGCACTTTGGGAGGCTGAGGCAGGTGGATCACCTGAGGTCAGGAGTTCGAGATCAGCCTGACCAATATGGTGAAACCCCGTCTCTACTAAAAATACAAAAAAAATTAGCTGGGTGTGGTGGTGTGCGCCTGTAATTCCAGCTACTTGGGAGGCTGAGGCAGGAGAATCACTTGCACCTGAGAGGCAGAGGTTGCAGTGAGCCGAGATCGTGCCACTGTACTCCAGCCTGGGCGACAGAGGGAGACTCTGTCTCAAAAAAAAAAAAAAAAAAGCTTTAGAGCCAGAATGAAAGGAAGTAAATTACACTTGGAAGAGGGTTAAGCCGGGAACTTGAGAGATTCAAGTACATGGTTTGATCTCTGACTTGCGGTTTAATAGGTTGGCATGCTTCCACCGTCTTGCGTTCCTTCTTCCCTGATTGTTCCCTTGGGGTGGGCTTTCCGCATGCCCAGTGGCCTGCCAGCACTTGGGAGGGGAGCATGCGCAGTGTTTTTACTGGAGTTGTACGCATGCTCACTTGAGGCATTCTTCCCTTACCAGTCGAATGTTCCTAGGAGGACACATACCAGTTAAACTCTACCATTTTGCCTCTCAATGCACATGCTTAAGCCCACTCGCCCAGCTCCTGAGATCTTACTGGGAAGCTGCTGATCACCAGCTTCAGGTGTTTCTGTTTATTGGGAGACTGCCTTTCCCTCGTGGTGGCTGCAACCAATTATTATTTTAGAGAGACAGTTAACAACCGCCTGACCATCACCTAATGGTCACCTGACATTCCTGGTGGGGGTTGGGGGAACCTCTCCTGCCCTGCTCATGTCTGACTAGCTACCTACTGTAACAACTCCTCTATGGCACCTTAACCTAAAAGCATGGAGACCTATACCATTATTTTATACATGAGGACACTCAGGAGACGTTAACTCTACGATTGCAAATAGTTTTCACCTTACATACGAATTCCCTGGATTGGAAAATGTGTCCCGAATTTAAAAGAGTCCACCCCACTCACTACCGCTAAAGAATGATTTTCTCATCCCTAGGATGTGACATTATCTGGAAAGAAATATAGCTTCAAATAGCCCAAGAAATAGAGGTCAATGTCACTGGCTGTTTTCAATGTACCATAATGTTTTCTGGGACTGCCAAAGTTTTCATGATTCATTGACTAAAACCCACTGACAAAAACATAACTTCTTTCAGATTTGATGTATATTTTTCAAAGTAGTGGTTAAAAACTATTTTTACAAGTATTATGAGGTATTTACTCAAATAGGCAGATATTTAACTTTGTTTTATTTTATAAGATGATAACCTTTTTTACCTCCTAAAACCAAGAAATAAATGATATACTAGCAATTATTAAGCTTTTGGCATTATCTACCTTTCATTACATGCATAGTAAATATTCGGTTATGCTGTTTCTGATTTAGAGATTCATTCCCCCCAAATTCTGCCTTTTATGTTTCATTAGCTATTAATATTGATAACATATTTCTGTTGTCATGATCAACCATGTCCTAAAATAATAATTACATTGAAAACTCAATCTGGAAGAAAAGTGAATACTTAGACAAAAAATTGTGAATGAAATATTAGGTGAGAAAAGAAAAACAAAATAATATTGACACATGTTACAGCTATACAAAACTGTTTACTAGTTAAACAATTTCTGGACCAATGTAAATAGCTTAGCATTCCTGTTCTTTTCTTTTGAAAAGTTGCTTAAGACAAAGACAGCAAGTTGGAAGAAAAGAAGGGAGAGAGAGAGGGCGCCTGTGCTGAAATGGTAAAATTCCAGTTTCCATGCATCCATTTTGTATGGTAGGATAACCAATAAAACACTTCTATGTAGAAATATGGTATGAAGAGAAAAGCTATGGAGAAAGTGAATTGGAAATACCAGTTCAAGAAGAAAACACTACCTTAGTTCATTTTTTAAATGAATGTTGGTGAGTTTAGAATTATTATAGTTTTGAAATTCTATTGGAAACTTTTTAAAGAGCAACGTAACAGTTCTATTTTTGATGTTTAATACTTTTTTGCATCTATTAAACTTATGTAAAAATTGTAAATATCAACTTAAAATATCCAACAAGTGAATAGTTTCAAAACCCTTTTAGGAGGTATGTGACAAAAATCTTTGTAAACGACTAGTCTTCAAAGCTTCTCCTGTTAAAAATGCCTAAAAATGCCTCACAAAAAGAATTATCTTTCTCTTTTTTTTTTTTTTTTTTTTTTTTTTTGAGACTCTGTCACCCAGGCTGGAGTGCAGGGGCATGATATTGGCTCACTGCAATCTCCGCCTCCCAGGTTCAAATGATTCTCGTGCCTCAGCCTCCTGAGTAGCTGGGATTACAGGCACCCACCACCACACCCAACTAATTTTTGTAATTTTGGTAGAGACAGAGTTTTGCCATGTTGCCCAGGCTGGTCTTGAACTCCTGGCCTCAAGTGATCCACCTACCTCAGCCTCCCAAAGTGCTGGGATTTCAGATGTGAGCCACTACATCATGATAGGAGGGAAGAGAACAGGCTCAGAATATCGCCTTCACTCCAAGAAAATGCATTGTCAGCCTAGCTTCCTAAATAAGGACGTTGTTCCTTAAATAACAAAGTCTGAAGTCGTCTATGCTTGATTATCTGAGATTTTACTTATCTAATTGCAGATTATCTATATTATCCACATATATACATGGCCTCAGCAATTATCTCCTATTCTACATGTTCTTTTTATTATTATTATTATTGAGGCGAAATTCACAGATCACGTAATTAACTATTTTAAAGTATACAATTCAGTGGTATTTAGTAGACTCCACAATGTTGTGCAACCACCCTCTCTAGCTAGTCTCAAAATGTTTTTATCACCCCATAAAAGCGTCCCATACTCATTAAGCAATCATTCCCCTCTTTCCCTTATCCCCAATTGCCTGGTAATTTCTAATCTGCTTTCTGTCTCTGTGGATTTGCCTGTTCTAGATACTTTTTTGAGGATTTTTATATCTATATTCATAAGAAATATTGATCTGTAGTTTTCTTGTATCTTCGCCTGGCTTTGACATCAGGGTGATTCTCGCCTCATAAAATGTGTTAGAAACTGTTCCCACTTCTTCTATTTGTTTGGAAGAGTTTGAGAAGGATTAGCGTTAATTCTTTTTTAAATGTTTGGGAGAATTTACCAGTGAAGCCATCTGGTCCTGGGCTTTGCTTTGCTGGGAGGTTTCCGATTACTGATTCAATCTCCCTACTTGTAACAGGTTTGTTGATTTTTCTATGTCTTCTTGAGTCAGTTTCAGTAATTTGTGTGTTCCCAGGTATTCGTTCATTCCATCTAGATTATCTAATTTGTTGTCATACCACTCTTCATAGTACTCAGTTATAATTCTTTTAATTTCTAGAAGATCAGCTGTAATGTCCTTGCTTTCATTTCTGATTTTAGTGATTTGCATCTTCTCTTTTTTTCTTTGTCTAGCTATAGGCTTGTCAACTGCGTTGATCTTTTCAACGAACCTGCTGTTGGTTTCCTTGATTCTGTTGTTTTTCTACTATTTCATTTATCTCTGTTCTAATCTCTGCTGCTGCTTCTCCACTTCCTTCTTTACCTCACCTACCACATAAAAGAATTGCCACAGAAGGCCGGGCGCGGTGGCTCACTGCTGTAATCCCAGCACTTTGGGAGGCCAAGGCAGGTGGATCACGAGGTCAGGAGATCGAGACCATCCTAGCTAACACGGTGAAACGCTGTCTCTACTAAAAATACAAAAAATTAGCCGGGCGTGGTGGCGGGCGCCTGTAGCCCCAGCTACTCGGGAGGCTGAGGCAGAAGAATGGCGTGAACCCGGGAGGCGGAGCTTGCAGTGAGCCGAGATCGCGCCGCTGCACTCCAGCCTGGGCAACAGAGCGAGACTCGGTCTCAAAAAAAGAAAAAAAGAATTGCCACAGAAAAGGTGAAGATGTGTTTGTTAAATCTTCAGACCCTTTCGTCTTATTTACTAGTCCTAAAACTAAGAAACTGAAGGAGGTACAAAGAGTTCCAATACCCTAAAGAAAACTTTCCTGAGACTTTTGGAAACATGTCACATAATCAGCTAAATTAATCATGAAATATAAATTATGATTTTAGTTTTTTCTTGAAAGTGATAAAATTAGAAATTATTTTTTAAGATAAAAAACAAAGAAAAAAAGTCTGTAAACTATGACATTCAGGGAGGTTCTTTGTCCTTCTGCCCTCATGACCACTAGTCAAACAGCCCCTATGCATGCGTATATGTATGTATGAGGGTCTTCAAAAAGTTCACAGAAGGCTGGGCACAGCGGCTCATGCCTATAATCCCAGCACTTTGGTAGGCTGAGGTGGGTGGATAGTTTGAGGCCAGCCTGGGCAACATGGCGAAACCCTGTCTCTACAAAAAAAGTACAAAAAATTAGTTGAGTATGGTGGCACGTGCCTGTAGTCCCAGCTACTAGTGGGGGCTGAGGAAGGAGGATTGTTTGAACCCAGGAGGTAGAGGCTGTAGTGAGCCAAGAGCTTACCACTGCACTCTAGCATGGGTGACAAAGTGAGATGTTGTCAGAAAAAAAAAATAGTTCATAGAAAATGTGTATTATGAAAGAACTATGCATGGATTTCAAAAAAATTTTTGCACCAAAATAAGCTCATGTTTATTTACTAGCTTGTAATAACATGTCTGAATAGGATCTAGCTTGCAGCCCTAAGAAGGATGATATCAGCTTGAAAAAATCTTGTATCAGAGCAATATGATTTCTGCCAATATTGAAGCAAGAACAAACATCAAATTTATGGTGATGTTTGGGTGAAGAATGGTAAAATCGCTGATGCTTTATGAAAAGCTTACAGTGATAATGCCCTGAAGAAATCAGCAGTTTACAAATGAATAACTCATTTAAAGAAGGAAGATGATATTGAAGATGAAGCCCACAGCAGCAGACGATACACATCAATTTACGAGGGAAAAATTCATCTTGTCTGTGCCTTAATTGAAGAGGACCAATGATTAACGTCATCAAAGACCAAGAGTGAGAAACAATAGCTAACACCATAGACATCTCAATTGGTTCAGCTTACACAATTCTGACTGAAAAATTAAACTCGAGCAAACTTTCCACTTGATGGCTGCCAAAACTGTTGTGCCCAGATAATCTGCAGAAAAGAGCAGAGCTTTCAACGGAAATTTTAAACAAATGGAATCAAGATCCTGAAGCATTTCTTTGAAGAACTATAGCAGGAGATGGAACATGGCTTTACCAGCACAATCCTGAAGACAAAGCACAATCAAAGCAATGGCTACCAAGAGGTGGAAGTGGTCCAGCCAAAGCAACAGTGGACCAGTCAGGAGTCAGGAGCAAAGGTCATGGCAACAGTTTGGGGGAATGCTCAAGGTATTTTGCTTGTGGCGTTCTTTTTTTTTTTTTTTTTTTTTTTTTGAGATGTAGTCTGGCTCTGTCGCCCAGGCTGGAGTGCAGTGGCACGATCTCGGCTCACTGCAACCTCCGCCCCCCAAGTTCAAGCAATTATCTGCCTTAGCCTCCCGAGTAGCTGGGATTACAGGCACCCACCACCACGCCTTGCTAACTTTTTTGTATTTTTAGTAGAGATGGGGTTTCACCATCTTGGCCAGGCTGGTCTTGAACTCCTGACCTCGTGATCCACCTGCCTCGGCCTCCCAAAGTGTTGGGATTACAGGCGTGAGGCACTGTGCCCAGCCACTTGTGGCTTTCTTGAGGGCCAAAGGACGATAACATTTGCTTATTATGAGAGTACTTTGAGAGAGTTAGCTGGAGCCTTAGCAGAGAAACACCTGAGAAAGCTTCACTTGCGAGCCCTTCTCCATCATGACAATGCTCCTCATTCATCTCATCAAATGAGAACAATCTTTTGAGGGTTTTAATGGGAAATCAGTAGGCATCCACACTACGGTCCTAATTTGGACCCTTCTGACTTCTGTTTATTTCCTGATCTTAAAAAATCTTTAAGGGGCACTCATTTTTCTCCAGTTAATAATATAAAAAAGATTGTGTTGACATGGTTCAATCCCCAGGATCTTCACTTTTTTAGGGATGGACTAAATGGCTGGTATCATCACTTACAAAAGTGTCTTGGACTTGATGGAGCCTATGTTGTAAAATAAGCCAAAGATGGTGGCTTGTGCCTTTAATCCCAGCTACTCAGGAGGCTGAGGCGGGAGGATCACTTGAGCTCAGGAGTTCAAGACAAGCCTGGCAACATAGTGAGATGTCATCTCTATAAATAAATAAATAAAGGTTTATATATTTTACTTTTTCTTTTAATTCCACTTTCCCACAAACTTTTTGAAGTTCCCTTGTATGTGAGCATCCATACATATGTGTGTGTGTATGCATGCATGCACATGTGTATGTATGTGTGTATGTAGTGTATGTATGCATGCATGTGTGTATAAATGTGTGCACATGTATGTGTTTGTAGTGGATGTATGTATGCATGCATGCATTTTATATTTTGCACTGCCCTAGGCCCATGGTGCTGGTGAAGTCATGAAAGACCAGGAGTGAGGAAACTTAGTCCTGTCCTGTCTCTGCCATGGTCACTGTGTGCAGTAGTTATAGCAGATGTCTCTGGGGTGCCAGCACAGCTCCCAACCATTCTGCCCTTTGCTGTGTGCTATTTCTTCTCATCCCCTATCCCCACATGCCACCAAGTTTATATTATATGAGTCCCCTGCTCCCAGCAATGGCGAATTCAACTGAATTGGACAATTGTCCCAAACTGTACCAATCAGATTCCTTCCTCCAAAAACTTGGGCTAGGGACTAAAAAGAGCCAACCAGATTCTTTGTATGACAGGAATTGGAATGTGCCTGTGGGTGCTCTCTAAGCAGCAGAGAGCCAGGGCCAAAAACACCAAGCAGACACCAAGAAATGTCAGGTGAAAATGTAAAGAGAGAATTCCCTGGGTTCTCCATGGCTTTCTGTAGCATTATTTCCAGCCCAACTCTATCTTTCCCTTTGGACTTCATGGAATACCTCTGAATCCTTATAACAAATTCTATTTGTTTGTTTGCTTGAAATAACAGGGATCAGCTGCTGTTTCCAACAAAATATTCCTTACTGTGCCACCTTGGACAAATCACTTACCTTCATTTTCTTTCCACTTCTTCACCTCCAAAATAAGGAACTTTGGCCAGATAGCTTCCTACCTCTAATTTATATTAAATGACACCTTCCTGGGGCCTGCCTCCCAAATGAAGCTAGGTTTTTGCTTACCTGCAGCAGAGAGACGGGAAAAGACTACCGGAAACTTTCTCTGTGTGAGTCAGCTCCCTGGGAGTTGACGCTGAGGTAAAATCTCCCTTCCTCCAGAGCATATGCCAGCTAGAAAGACCTCATCTTTAGATACACCAGATAACGGCTGTGCTCACCAAGATAAATGAAAGTCTCTGGTGGGAGGAATCTTTGAAAACAGAATCTGGATAGAACATTTTTCTAGAAGACAATTTGCGTCATGACCCTATAAACATAGAAACATTCTGGTCGCTATCTCCTTTCTATACTTTCAGTCAGTCCCATACAATTATTTATTACACACTGAATTATAGACTTTTTATATTATTAAATATGGTTTTATGATCATAAATCTTGTCTTCCTTATTAGATTAAATGTTTTTCAAGAGTAAGGGTGAAAATGTGTACACGCTGTTCTGAATCCCCATTTTATCCAACCCTATTTTTGGTATTTGGTAGTTACTTTTGAAAAATTAGTTTCATTCACCACTTAAATAAATAATTGCTTAAAGATGCTCTTCCTGATGTCAAGATTCTTAAGAGGGGACAGGTGTAGTGGCTCACGCCTGTAATCCAGCAGTTTGGGAAGCCAAGGAAGGTGGATCGCTTGAGCCCAGGAGTTCAAGACCAACCTGGGCAACATGGCAAACCCTGTCTCTACCAAAAAAAAAAAATATACAAAAATTAGCTGGACATGGTGGCACGCACCTGTAGACCCAGGTATTTAGGAGGCTGAGAGGTGGGAGGATGTCTTGAGCCCAGGAGGCAGAGGTTGCAGTGAGCAATGATCATGCCACTGCATTCCAGCCTGGGTGACTGAGTCAGACACTGTCTCAAAAAAAAAAAAAAAAAAAAAAAGGCCAGGTGCGATGGCTCACGCCTGTAATCCCAGCACTTTGGGAGGCCAAGGCGGGTGGATCACAAAGTCAGGAGATCGAGGCCATCCTGGCTAACATGGTGAAACCCCATCTCTACTAAAAATACAACAAATTAGCCAGACGAGTGGCAGGCGCCTGTAGTCCCAGCTACACGGGAGGCTGAGGCAGGAGGATGACATGAACCCGGGAGGCGGAGCTTGCAGTGAGCCGAGATCACACCACTGCAGCCTGGGTGACAGAGCAAGACTCCATGTCAAAAAAAAAAAAAAAATTATTAAGAGGAACAATTGATTTAATAATTAATTGCAAATTAATTGAATGGAATAAATGAATGATGCCAAAAAATATTCATTGAGTTCATGCTAAGCATCAAAGTGCACCCACCTACCCCTCTCTTTTGCACACGAGCTCAGCTATCCAAGAGCAAGGAAGGAGGACATGGAGGTCAGCTGCTCTCCCATTCCTACTGACAGAGGTTTGCTTATTGAATGTGTCACAGAAGAATAATTTGTACACACTAGATACTATGTTAATCCAGGTCATTGGAGAAGCATATGAGATTAAATGTGCAAGAATTTTATTAGGGGAAATGCTTGTGTGAGAGAAAATAGGAGAGAAGCTGGAAAAGGCTGAGAAAGTCATCGGATCATGATACAAGTCTGACTCTGTGTGAAGGAGAGGGAGGGAAGGTTGGTGAAATTCTCCTGGGCTGCCACGCGGTACAAGGAAGGAGCCAGAGGAGTCCCAGGGCTCCAAGAACAGCCCTGCCTTAGTGCTCCTGCCCTTCTCAGGCACTGACTGCGCAGCCCATAGGAGGCATGGCCTTGGCACAAACTAATGATGGATTTTAGAGTGGAGCAGAAGAGGTCCTTGATCAATTACACTTCCTGTAGCTGGTGATCTGCAAGGCATGACCACCGCAGATGTTCAAATATTTGCTTCATTAAATTGTCAGTCTTACCTGAAAGAACCCACACTCCTCCTCTTTTCTTACTATGTCCATTCTCACCATGACACATAGGCTACAGATCCCAAGAGGTTAAGTGACTCTAGTCATTCAATTATATAGTTTGGCAAATTTCCGTAATTTCAGCCCATTAGGAGGCTTCTATGATCCACATTTTTTTCACTCTCAGAGAGTTCAGATTACTTGACAAACACCTCATTTTTTTAATATAGTCCAAGATTTATTCTCCAAAAACACAGGATAAAATAGGAGTTGTGTGTGTGTGTGTGTGTGTGTGTGTGTGTATGTGTGTGTATCAGAGAGACAGACATCTGGCTGATTCAGAATTTGCTCCAGCTGAGCTTTGATTCTGAATATTTTAGTACTTACCTCCTTTGATTAAAATGAAAAAGCAGAGATAATGCAGCCAAATCCACTTAATATCAAGTCATCAATTTAAAAATCTGTTTTATTTTTTTCTCCTGACTCCAAGCAATTTGGCAAAATCGCAATACAACTAGCCAAACACTCACTGACATCAAAACACCCTCAAGGTTAGGGCTGAGTAAAAACCATTGCTTTCTGAAATAAAAAAAAAAACTTTCTATCAACCCAAGCAAACAAAAATTAATTGTTTTAATAGATAAAATATGCCATTTTATGCCTCCTCTCTGGGTACACACAGCAGCAATATTTGAGCAGACCAGAATAGTAACATCAATTCTGTAGAATTAAAGGCTAGAAACTTGGCCTGGCTTTGGATGATGTCATTTTCTTCTACTTTTGTTTTTAGAAAACCTTGTTTACATTACTCTAGAAGAGGAAATCTAATCATATTAAAATCGCATTTTCTAGTAGTTCTTAGAAGATTAAACCAGACTTGCAAATGGCTTGAGAAATAACAAGTTCAATATTATTTGTGAAAGACCTATGTTTGACTGGAAATAACTAGACTCAGTCCGTGTTCACATCTGACCTTCCTACACAACCATAGCAAGAAAAATAGATTTTGTTCAGGGAAAAGCCATTTGGCTAATTTCCTTGGACCTGCATGTTCTAATCAAATTTGGTCAAACACAAAGGACATAAGAAGCCAAGCATTATTTAGATGTATTGCTTAGATTGGCTTCAAAAATGATCTTTTCTTCAGAAGTCCCCCTAAAAATAAAGGAAAACCTCTTCCCAATTTCTATGATTCCTATCAGCACTTTCTTCTTGAACATTTCTTTATTCTGTTTCTTCTAACATCCACTGATTAATACATGCCTATCATTCTGCTAGGGTCTGTGGAGGATATACAAAATAGAAAATGCATCTTTACTCTCACAAGGCTTTTATTCTGGTTGGAGAAATAAAACACCTGCATATATACCTACAACACATAACCATATACAATCAGTAAAAGGTAAGTTTAAGATGGTGAGATAGGAATATCAGCCTTGATTGTGGGGTGGCATTTGAAGTAGAGATTGTGAAAGATGTGTCAGCTGAAAAAAGGCAAAGAATAGACCAGAAAATGAGAAAACCGTGAGGAGAGACAGGGAGGAAGGAAAATAGAAAGCATGCTCTTGGCTGGGTGCCGTCTCACACCTGTAATCCCAGCACTTTGGAAGCCAACATGGGTGGATTACTTGAGGTCAGGAGTTTGAGACCAGCCTGGACAACATGGCGAAACCCCATCTCTACCAAAAATACAAATATTAGCCAGGTTTGCTGGTGCGTACCTGTGGTCCCAGCTACAGAGGAGGCTGAAGTGGGAGGATCACCTGAGTCCAGGAGGTCAAGGCTGCAGTGAGCCATGATCATGCCACTGTAATCACTCCAGCCTGGGCGACAGAGTGAGACTGTGTCTCAAGAAAGAAAGAAAGAGAGAAGGAAGGAAGGAAGGGAGGGAGGGAAGGAGGGAGGGAAGGAAGGGAAGGAAGAAAGAAAAAGAAATAAAAGAGAGAGAAAGAAAGAGAGAGGGAGGGAGGGAGGAAGGAAGGAGAAGGAAAAGGAAGGAAGGAAGAAAAAGAAAGAGCAAGCATGCTCTGTTTTGTTGAAGGCAAGGCCCATTTGGGGGAGCAGTGAGATATCAAACTGAAAAGGGAGGAGGGCCCAGCATTATTAATACCAGGGAGGGCATCCAGCTGTATTAGGTAGGCACGGAAACCACTAAAGGCTTCCAACTGAGGAGGAACAAACACATTTTTGGAAGATAGGAGCCTGGTAATGACAGAGTGAGACTCTGTCTCAAGAAAGAAAGAAAGAGAGAGAAAGAGAGAAGGAAGGAAGAAAGGAAGGAAAGGAGGGAGGGAGGGAAAAAGATGGAAGGGAAGGAAGAAAGGAAACAAAGAGAAAGAAAGAAAGAAAGACAGGAAGGAAGGAGAAGGAAAAGGAAGGAAGGAGAAGGAAAAGGAAGGAAGGAAGCAAGGAAGGAAGGAAAAGAAAGAGAGCAAGCATGCTCTGTTTTGTTGAAGTCAAGGTCCATTTAGGGGAGCAGTGAGATATCAAACTGAAAAGGGAGGAGGGCCCAGCATTTTTAATACCAGGGAGGGCATCCAGCTGTATTAGGTAGGCAACGGAAACCAATAAAGGCTTCCAACTGAGGAGGAACAAACACATTTTTGGAAGATATGAGCCTCGTAGTGACATGCAGATTCCTGGAAGAGGCCAAAACAAGAGGCCAGACACCAGGAGGGTCTCACAGGAATCAGAGCCTGAAGTGAGGGAGTCAGGTTGGGTTGTGGCAGTGGGAATGGAAAAGTGAGATCAAAAGGAAGAGCCACTAAAAATGAAGACTGGACAGGATGTGACCCTTCGAATGATGAGGAACGCAAGAGAGATGAAGACCCCATTCCAAGCCTGGGTGATGGGAAGTGGCTGTGCAACCAGTGAAAATAATGATAGGAAAGAGAGAGATGCTGGCATGGACGGAGGGCCGTAGAGGAAAAGCAAAGATTCCAAGTTTCGCCTTACTCATAAAGAGTTTGCAGTGTGAACAGTTTGTCCGCACAGTCACTTGGCAGGAATAGGGATGAGAATTCAGGACAGAAAATACGGGCTTGTGATTAAAATCTGGGATTGAATAAGAGGGAGGCAGAGGTTGATTCCATGGGTACATATGAGCCCATGACAAGCAGATAACGTGGTAGAGAGGAGAGGGGGTTCAGGGGAGCAAAAGGGGAGCAGAAAACAGAGTTCAAGCCAGAATTTAGGAAGTCTGTCTTCCTTGTAAGGCAACTTCCTGTAATGTCTTTGGGGTGCAGTGCAGTGTGGTTGCCCACCCTGTCCCATCCTCCCTGTCAGCATCTGCGCCTCTGGGTCTCCTGCCCTTCCTCAGCAGGATCCACCTGGGTGGGGTGGGGATGACGCAGAGATGGCACTAGTCTTCTCTGTGGGCTGCCCCTGATTTATCCCCACAACCACTCATACACAAGGCTCTAGAGCATGGCAAAATTTTTATTAAAGCTTTGGGAATACCTGGAGGAAATTATAATGCACAAAAGAAGAAAACTGAAGTCCATATGCTTAATATAAATATTTTATCCTAGAGTCCAGGAGAAGAGGAGAAATGCCAGCGCCTTCACAAAGCAGACTCGACTTCCTAGTCTTGCTTTCATGACTTGAGGCCCATTCTTCTCTTCCCCTGCTTAAGAAAAGCCTGTCTTTTTATTATTATTTATTTATTTATTTATTTATTTTTGCTGTGCCAATCTCCACATCTCTCTTCTGGACCCAGTGGGTCCTCTCACACGGAGCCACATTCTCACTCCACACAGGCATGTATTCCAGGAAACGCAGTAACTACTAGGACATTTCCCAGCATGTGAGTTAATCCATCCAGAGCCCCAATGCAGGTGGCTTCGGGAGGACAGTGCTGAGGCCTCTCCCACGCAGGTTAAGTCCCTGCCCAGGTGTCTCCATGGTGGGAGGTGAGGGTAGCCTTCCAAATTGTCCTGCAGATAACATGAAAATACAACCTCACACACTCCTTTCAAGGACAAACAGTCATTCTCAGAAACAGTGTAGTCTAAATACACATTGAAGGAAGAGAAACATTTTCCTAAAGGCGATACAACCTGCAAAATATTTCCCAGCCCATCACCGAAAGAGCTTTTTATATTTTTAGGCAGAACCATCTGTTTCTC
The DNA here is from genome assembly GCF_000001405.40 of Homo sapiens. NCBI lineage: Eukaryota > Metazoa > Chordata > Mammalia > Primates > Hominidae > Homo > Homo sapiens. Next base: position 101,580,702 of record NC_000002.12, read on the forward strand.
TTTTCCCCCATTCCCTGCTCTAGGACATGCCTAGGGCCCAGCTGTGAGATGCTTGGCTTTGCAACAACAGAACCATCCATCCGCCCGAAGACCTTGCAGCAATTCTGCAATTAAACTTGTTTTATGAGGAATGTGAGAAGAGAAGCCCGCTAAAGTGGGAGAGACATATGGAATGAAAGGTAGAGGGATGAGGAAAATAGAACTACAATTTAGGCCAAGGGAAAGAAGAGATGTAGGGAATAGTAGGCCAGTTTCATGTACTCCAATTAAATCAACATAGAAGAGTGACCCCCCCAAAATTGAATTTCCAACCTAGATGTTATTGGTGACCATCTACAAAGGTGTTTCAACAGAATGAGGGTGGGAGTGGAGCAGAAACCACAGGTTTTCTTTTCAAGAGAAGATAACAATAAGAAAAAAAAAAGATGAGATGACAGACCAAGATGGCAGGAGATGAGGGGTAAGGTTTCCTGAGGTGAGAAATACCTGGGAATATTTGTAAGCAGAATGGAAAATCTAGGGATAAGGAGGGATTGAAGTCTGTCTCTAGTTGATGAAACAGCAGTGTGACATGGGAACTGGGGAGGTGGGAGACAGAAAGCTGAGGCTCTGTAAACAGTGCATCTTTATTTATTTTTTATTTTTTATTCTTTTTCGAGATGGAGTCTTGCTCCATCTCCATCTCCATCTCCATCGCCGAGGCTGGAGTGCAGTGGTGCAATCTCGGCTCACTGCAACCTCTGCCTCCTGGGTTCAAGCAATTCTCCTGCCTCAGCCTCCCTAGTAGCTAGGATTACAGGCGTGTGCCATCATGCCTGACTAATTTTTGTATTTTTAGGAGACACGGGATTTTGCCTTGTGGACCAGGCTGGTCTTGAACTCCTGACCTCAGGTGATCTGCCCGCCTTGGCCTCCCAAAGTGCTGAGATTACAGGCATGAGCCACCTCACCCCCCATCCCCACCTAAACAGTGCATTTTTAGAAAGAAAGTACACAAATAGATATAAAGATACAAAAACAATCAAACAAGAAACTACAACAATACTGAGGCAGAAAGGAGATTATTGGGGAAGATTGACTTCCTCAATGAGGTAAAAGCCAAGTCAGGTGTTGAGCCTGAAGAACTGAGTTTGGGAGCTTGAACATTGCAGTGAACGATGCTCACACAGCTCCTGTATGGAATTCAAGAGGCAGCAACAGAAAGAGTTGGGGGAAAGACACCAGACCTCCTTTTCCAACAACTTAGACCACCCTTCCCAATGTGCACAACTCAAAAACTAAAAGAAAGAGAAGCAGCAGCTAGCTGATGATGATTAAAGGCCATGAGAAATCCCCAGCCGGCTTTGGAAGAGAATCACCCAGAGAGGTGAGCCCGGCGTGCAGAGTCCTTTTCCCTCGAGAGCGTCTGCCAGTTCCTGCGGAGGCATCTGAGCAGTGCTTCTGACAGCCTTATGGAGCTGGGAGACTACATGGTTTTGACTTTTATGAAGTCCAGTTAATTTTTCTAATAATAGTAGAGCCACCCCTATCTTTTGCTTACTATTTGCATGGACTGTCTTTCTCCATCCTTTCACTTTCAACCTGTTTGTGTTGGAAGCTCCTACATCGCTGGTGGGAATGTAAAATGGGCAGCAGGTCTGGAAAACAATTTGATTATTCCTAAAAAGCTAAACACAGGATTACCATATGCCCTAGCAATTCTGCTCCTAGGTATATACCCCAAAGAATTGAAAACAGAGACTCAAACCAGTACTTGTTCGTGAATGTTTATAGCGGCATTATCCGTATTAGCCAAGATAAAAACAACCGAAGTGAGCAAAGGAATGGATATGTTAGTCAGTGTTCTCCACAAAAACAGAGCTCTCAGTGTGTGTATAAATTAACCATCACAATGGGTAAAGAAACATCATACAGATATGTTTTGCTCAGAAGAAGAAATGAAGTTCTGAATCATGCTACAACATAGATGAACCTTGAAAACATTGTGCTAAATGATATAAACCAGACAAAAAAGGACAAATATTGTATGATTCTACTTACATGAAATATCTAGGATAGGCAAATTCATAGATAGAAAATAGATTAGAGATTATGAGGTGCCGGGAAGGAGGTAAATAGTGGGAGTTATTGCTTCATGGGTAGAAAGTTTTCGTTTGGGGTAATAAAAACATTTTGGAGTTAGACAATAATGATGGCATGTACATAATTAATGATATTGAATTTGTACACTTAAAAATCAAAATGTACAAATAGCCTGGTAAGTTTTACATTACATATATTTTACTGCAATAAAAAGAAATTGATTAACATACCTGATCATGTAACTACAGAGAAAAACCATATGGTCTTCTCAATAGATGTAGAAAGTCATTTAATAAAATTTAAAATTCATTTATGAAAAATACTTTTAACAACTTAAAAACAGGCCAGGGGCAGTGGCTCACGCCTATCATCCCAGCACTTTGGGAGGCCGAGGCGGGTGAATCACTTTAGGTCAGGAGTTCAAGACCAGCCTGGCCAACATAGTGAAACTCCGTCTCTACTAAAAATACAAAAATTAACTGGGTGTGGTGGCAGGCGCCTGTAATCCCAGCTATGCAGGAGGCTGAGACAGGAGAATCACTTGAACCCAGGAGGCAGAAATTGCAGTGGGCTGAGGTTGTGCCACTGCACTCCAACCTGGATGAAAAAGCAAGACTCTGTCTCAAAAATAAAAACAAATAAACACAAACCTAAAATCAGAGGAGAACTTTTTTCACCTGATAAAGAATATTGTGCCAGTTATCAGTTCACTGCCTCTCAGCTCCAAATTCACCCTTCACTAGCTGCTCTGTGATGAACTAGATTCATTTAAGCATTTTCCGCTTACAGTCAGTACACGGAACTTTGCCTAAAAAGGGTGCTGGAGAGATGTTGTAAGACAAAGGTGGCTTCTCTTCCTGGTTCCAGTGTGCAACATTTTGTTTTGTTTTCCTTTGTCTTTTAAAAAAATTGATATTTAATAATTGTACATATGGGATACATGTGATATTTTAATATATGTATGCAATGTGTAATGATCAAATGATAGGATATCCATCACATCAAACATTTATCATTTCTTTGTGTTGGGACTATTTCAAATCTTCTTTTCTAGCTATTTTGAAATATACAATAAATTATTATTAACTATAGTCACCCTATCATGCTACCAAACACTAGAACTTATTCCTTCTCTCTAACTGTATGTTTGTACTCAACCAATCTCTCTTCATCCTCCCCAATCACCCTTCCTAGCCTCTGGTAACTTTACATCATTCTACTCTGTACCTGCATGAGATCAACTTTTTTAGTTCCCATGTATGAGTAAGAACATGCAGTGTTTGTCTTTCTGAGCCTATCTCATTTCACTTAACATAATGTCCTTGAGTTCCATCCATGGTGCTGCAAATGACAGGATTTCATTCTTTTTAATGTCTGCTTAATAGTCTGTGGTGTTTACATACATGTATTCTTTATCTGTGCATTCATTGATGGACACTTAGGTTGATTCTTGGCTATCATGGATAGTGCTGCAATAAATGTCAGCATGCAGATATCTCTTGGATGTAATGATTTCCTTTCTTTTGGAAATATACCCAGCAGTGGGATTGCTGGACCATATGCTAATTCTATTTTTAGTTTTTTGAGGAAACTCCATACTCTTTTCTATAATGGCTATACTAATTTACATTTCCACAGGCAATGAACTAGAATTCTCCATCTCCACACCCTCATCAGCATCTGTTATGTTTTGTCTTTTTGATAATATCAATTTTAACTGGGGTGAGATGGTATTTCATTGTGGGTTTCATTTGCATTTCCCTGATGATAACTGATGTTGAGCATTTTTTTCATATGCCTGTTGGCCATTTGTATGTCTTCTTTTGATAAATGTCTATTCAGATCATTGGCCTTTTGTTTGTTTGTTTGTTTGCTATTGAGTTCTTTGCATCCCTTATATATGCTGGTTACTAATCCCTTATTAGATGCATAGTTTGCAAATATTGTTTTCCCATTCTGTAGGTTGTCTCTTTACTCTGTTGATTGTTGCCTTTGCAGTGCACATACTTTTTAACTTGATATAATCCCATTTGTCTATTTTTGCTTTTTTTCCTGTGCTTCTAAGTTCTTACCCAAAAAGAAATTTTGCCCAGGTCAATCTCCTGAAGCATTTCCCCAAAGTTGTCTTCCAGTTGTTTCATAGTTTCAGGTCCTACACTTAAGTCTTTAATCTATTTTGAGTTAATTTTTGTATGTGATAAGAAATAGTAGTCTCATTCCATTTTTCTAAATATAGATATTCAGTTTTCCCAGAACTATTTGTTGAAGACACTGTCCTTTCTCCATTGAATGTTGTCAGCTATAAATATGTGGATTTATTTCTGGGTTCTCTATTCTGTTCCACTGGTCTATGTGTCTGCGTTTATGCCAGTACCATACTGTTTTGGTTACTATAGCTTTGTAGTATATATTGTAGCCAGGTAATGTGGTACCTCCAGCTTTGTTCTTTTTGCTCAGGATTGCTTTGGCTACTTGGGCTCTTTTGTGGTTTCACTGAAATTATAGAATTTGTTTTCTAATTCTGTGAAGAATATAATTGGTATTTTGATAGGAATTGCATTGAATCTATAGATTGCTTTGGGTAGTATATCATTTCACAATATTAATTCTTCCAATTTGTGAACATAAGATGTCTTTCCATTTTGATGTAACATCTTCAGTTTCTTTTTTATCAGCATTTCATAAGTTTTGTTTTTTTGGAGAGATCTTTCACCTCTTTGGTTAAGTTTATTCTTAGGTATTTTTTTTTAGTAGCTATTTAAAATGGGATTGTTTTATTGGTGTCTTTTTGCACTGGTTTGTTGTTGGTACATAGCAATATTATCAATTTTGTATATTAATTGTGTATCCTGCAACTTTACTAAATTTTAAAATCACCTCTAAAAGTTTTTCTGGTGGAGCTTTTAGGGTTTTCTATATATAAGATCATATTATCCAAAAACAGGGACAATTTCATCCTTTCCAATTTGGATGCCTTTTATTTCTTTCTCTTGCCTAATAGCTCTGGCTCAGACTTCCAGCACTATGTTGAATAAGAGTGGTGACAGTGGCCTTCCTTGTGTTGTTCCACTTTTTAGAGGGAAAGTTTCAGCTTTTCTCCATTCAGTATTAAGTTAGCTGTGTGTCATACATGGCCTTTATTAGGTTGAAGTATGCTCCTTGTATACCTAGTTTGTTGAGGACTTTTATCATGAAGCAATGTTGATTTTATCAAATGCTTTTTCTGCATTTTTTGAGATGGTCATATGGTTTTTGTCCTTCATTTTATTGATGTAATGTAAAATATTCATTGATTTGCATATATTGAACCATGCTTACATTCCTGAGTTAAATCCCACTTAATCATAGTAAATGATCTTTTTAATATACTACTGGATTTGGCTGGCTTGTTTGTTGATCATCTATGTTCATCGGTGATATTGGCCTGTAATTTTCTTTTTCTGTGGTGTCCTTATCTGGTTCTGGTGTCAGGGTAATGCTGGCTTTGTAGAATGAGTTTGGAAAAATTCACTCCTCTTCAATTTTCTGGAAGAGTTTGAGAAGAATTGGTATTAGCTGTTTGTTTTTTAATGTTTGGTAGAATTCAGAAGTGAAGCCATCAGGTACTTGACTTTTCTTTGGTGGGAGACTCTGTATTTACTGACTTGATGTTGTTACTCATAATTGGTCTATTATGGTTTTCTGTTTTTTCTTGGTTCAACCTTGGTAGGTTGTATGTGTACAGAAACTTATCTATTTCTGTTAGGCTTTCCAATCTGTGGATGTGTAGTTCTTCATAACAGTCTCTAATGATCCTTTGTATTTCTATGATATCAGTTGTAATGTCTCCTTTTTTGTTTCTGATTTTATTCATTTGGATCTTTTCTCTTAGTCTAGCTAATAGTTTGTCTACTTTGTTTATCTTTTCAAAAAAACAACTTTTCATTTTGTTGATCTATTGTATTTTTTTTATCTCAATTTTGTTTATTTCTGGCCGGGCAAAGTGGCTCATGCCTGTAATCCCAGCACTTTGGGAGGCTGAGGCAGGCTGATCTCCTGAGGTCAGTAGTTCGAGACCAGCCTGGCCAACATGGTGAAACCCCGTCTCTACTAAAAATACAAAAATTAGCCAGGTGTGGTGGCGGACACCTGTAGTCCCAGCTACTCGGGGGACTGAGGCATGAGAATCACTTGAACCCAGGAGGTGGAGGTTGCAGTGAGCCAAGATCGCACCACTGCACTCAAACCTGGGTGACAGAGCGAGACTCCATCTCAAAAATATATGAATGTATATATTTGTTTATTTCTTCTCTGATTTGTAAAAAATTTCTTTCCTTCAACTAATTTTGTGTGTGGTTTATTCTTTCCTAGTTCTTTGAGATGCATCATTAGGTTATTTATTTGAAATCTTCCTACTTTTGTGGTGTAGATGTTTATTGCTATAAAATTCCCTCTTTATGCTGCTTCTGCTCTATCCTGTAGGTTTTGGTATGTTTCGTTGCTATTTTCATTTGTTTCAAGACATTTTTTTACTTCCTTCTTAATTTCTTCATTGACTCATTGGTTATTCAGGGGCATGATGTTTAATTTTCATGTATCTGTACAGTTTTGAAAGTTCCTCTTGTTGTTGGTTTCTAGTTTTTTCCCATTGTGGTCAAAAAAGATATTTAATATGATCTCAATTCTTTTAAATTTGTTGAGATTTGTTTTGTGGCCTAACATGTGGTCGTTCCATGTGGTGATGAGAAGAATATGTATTCTGCAGCTGTTGGATAAAATGTCCTGTAAAGGTCTGTTAGGTCCATTTTGTCGAAAGTACAGTTGAAATCCAATGTTTCTTTGTTGATTTTCTGTATAAATAACCTGTTCAATGCTGAGAGTGGGGTGTTGAAGTCTCCAACTGATGCAGGACAGGCAAGCCCCCAAATTGTGACTTAGTCCTGGAGAGTTCTTGGCTTCACCCATGAAAGAATTCAAGGGCATTTGGTGGTGTTGGACAGTGGCAGTGTACAGCGGCAGCAGAGGTACCCCATAGGGAGTGTACCCAGAGCAGCAGCTCGGAGGCAGTTCTGCACTCATATTTATACCCACTTTTAATTATGTGCAAATTAAGGGGCAGATTATGCAGAAGTTTTTAGGATGTGGGTAGTAACTTCTGGGTTGTCAGATTGTTGCCATGGAAAGGGGCAGTAAGTTCCAGGTATTGCCATGGCAATGGTAAATTGACATGGCACATTGGTGGACATGTCTTTCTTTTTTGAGATGGAGTCTCACTCTGTCACCCAGGCTGGAGTACAGTGGCACAATCTCAGCTCACTGCAAACTCTGCCTCCAGGGTTCAAGAGATTCTTCTGCCTCAGCCTCCGGAGTAGCTGGACTACAGGTGCATGCCACCATGCCTGGCTAAGTTTTGTATTTTTAGAAGAGGCAGAGTTTCACCATGTTGGCCAGGCTGGTCTCGAACTCCTGACCTCAGGTGATCCACCCGCCTCAGCCTCCCAAATTTCTGGGATTATTACAAGCGTGAGCCACTGCGCCTGGCCACTGGGCATGTCTTATAGGTAGGTGCTTCCACCCCCAATCTGTTGTGTTTTTTATTTTATTTTATTGAGATGGAGTCTTGCCGTGTTGCCCAGTCTGGAGTGCAGTGGTGCGATCTCAGCTCACTGCAACCTCCATGTCCCGGGCTCAAGCGATTCTCTGTCCTCAGCCTCCTGAGTAGCTGGAATTACAGGCACCCACTACCATGCCTGGCTAATTTTTGTCTTCTTAGTAGAGACAGGGTTTCACCATGTTGGCCAGGCTGGTCTTGAACTCCTTACCTCAGGTGATCCACCTGCCTCAGCCTCTCAAAGTGCTAGGATCACAGGTGTGAACCACTGCACCTGGCCAACCCCAATCTGTTTTAGCAAGTCCTCAATTTGGTCTAGTGTCCAACCCCTGCCTTCAGAGTCTAGTCTTGCCTCCTACCTTACAACTATTATTGGAATACAGTTTGTCTTTCCCTTTAGATCTAATATTTGCTTTATATATCTGGGTGCTCCAATGTTGGGCACGCATATATTTATAATTGTTGTATTTTCTTGCTGAATTGATCCCTTTATTATTATGTAATAACCTTCTTCATCTCTATTTGCAATTTGTGATTTAAAGTTTGTTTTATCTGATATATGTATAGGTACTTCTGCTTGCTTTTGGTTTCCATTTGCATGGAATATCTCTTCCCATCCCTCCACTTTCAGTCTATGCTTGAATTTACACATGAAGTGAGTTTCTTGTAAGCAGCATATATTTGGGTCATATTATTTTTATCCATTCTGCCAGCATATATCTTTTAAGTGGGGAATTTGATTCATTTACATTCAAGGTTGTTATTGATAGGTGAGCACTTACTCTGTCATTTTGTTAATTGCTTTCTGAGTGTTTTGTATTTCCTTTGCTCCTTAATTTCTCTCTTATTGTTTAAGTGTTTTTGCTTTTTCTTCCTCCTGCTGCATAGATGGTCAGAGGTGTAAGTGTGCTGGGACATTTGATAATGCTCTACTCCAGCAATGTACCCAAAGTATGTAGTCCACAGCATCTTTCAGCATTAACCTAGGCCTAGTAACTAACTTCCCATGACCCTTACAAGGTTCCTGGCAAGCAATTCTCAGTGGCAGCCTAACATCTTCTATACACCCACCCACTCACCCACCAGCTTTGGATCCTAAAGAGTGGTTTCCTGCTTGCCCATTGACTATGGCCCAGTTCTAGCCTGTGCAATCCAGCAAATTTCTCCACCAACCAGAGTGCTACAACCACATTGTCTACATGAGAGCTGAACCCCAGCCTTTGGAAGACAGCCACTCTTCCAAGTTTGTACTTCCTTGTGTACTCTCCCACAACACTAGGGTATCTTTTAACATTCTCTTTACATCTTTATAGTTACCATCCTATCTTTGCTCAGTGATTTTTTATTCTGAACTTTTCCTGTTTAAATTACTATGTGGTTTCTGATGGATCCGATTGAACCCAGACTGATACAAGAATCTACAAAATATCTATAGTAAATGTTGTACTCAATGGTTAAATGTTGAAAGTGTTCCCTTTGACATCAATAATAAGACAAGAATGTCGGGCTGGGTGCTGTGGCTCATGCCTGTAATCCCAGCACTTTGGGAGACCGAGGCAGGTGGATCACCTAAGGTCAGGAGTTCGAGACCAGCCTGGCCAACATGGTGAAACCCCGTCTCTACTAAAAAAATACAAAAAATTAGCCAGGCATGGTGGCAAGCACCTGTAATCCCAGCTAATTGGGAGGCTGAGGCCGGAGAACCACTTGAACCCAGGAGGTGGAGGTTGCAGTAAGCCAAGATCACACCATTGCACTCCAGCCTGGGCAACAAGAGTGAAACTCCATCTCAGAAAAAAAAAAAAAAAATAGAATGCCTACTATTACCACTTCTATTCAACATTTAACTGAAAATCCTGCCCATTGTAGTAAGACAAGAAGAAAAATTAATAAAATGCATATGGATTGGAAAAGATGAAAGGAAATTTTTATTATTCACAGATTATAGTGATAGTGTACATTAAAGCATCCAAAGCAATTTATTCAATTATTATAATTAATAAATATAATTAGCAAGATTCCTGGACACAAATAACATTCAAAAATCAATCATATTTCTTTAAACAAGCATGAATAGTTAGAAAAAGAAACTTTAAAAAAAACACAAAACATCAAAAATATTATTTGGCAGCAAATGTAACAAAAGAGGTGTGAAAAATCATAATACATTACTGTGAAAAATTGAAGAGCCCTAAAAATGATATGCATGTTCATGCAATTACCAATTCAATATTGTCAAGTTGCCAATGCTCCTTCTAGACTGGTGTCCAGAGGCAAAACAATTACAATTAAAATTTCTACAGGTATTTTTTGATTATATAAAAAAACTGACAAAAGTTTTTTTTTCTTTGAGACAGAGTCTCACTCTGTCACCCAGGCTGGAGTGGCATGGTACGATCTCAGCTCACTGCATCCTCTGCCTCCCAAGTTCAAACAATTCTCCTGTCTCAGCCTCCTAAGCAACTGGGACTACAGGCATATGCCACCATGCCCAGCTAATTTTTGTATTTTTAGTAGAGACAGGGTTTCACCATGTTGGTCAGGCTGATCTCAAACTCCTGACCTCAAATGATCCACCTGCCTCGGCCTCCCAAAGTGCTGGGATTAGAGGCTTGAGCCACTGCAGCCAGCCTATTTTTAACATTTATAGGCATACCTTGGAGATATTGTGAGTTTCGTTCCATACCACCACAATGGCAATAAAGCGAGCCACACAAACTTTTTGATTTCCCAGTGCGTATAAAAGTTATGTTTACATTATACTGTAGTCTATTAAGTGTGCAATAGTACGATGTTTAAAAAACAATGTATAAACCCTAATTAAAAATACTTTATTGGCCGGGAGCAGTGGCTCATGCATGTAATTTTGGGAGGCCAAGACAGGTGGATCACGAGGTCAGGAGTTCAAGACCAGCCTGGCCAAGATGGTGAAACCCCATCTCCTAAAAATACAAAACTTCGCCAGGCATGGTGGCAGGAGCCTGTAATCCCAGCTACTCGGGAGGCTGAGGCAGGAGAATCGCTTGAACCTGGGCGACAGAGGTTGCAGTGAGCCGAGGTTGTGCCACTGCATTCCAGCCTGGGCGACAGAGTGAGACTTCGTCTCAAAAAAAAAAAAAAAAACTTTATTGCTTAGAAATGCTAATGATCATCTGTGCCTTTGGTGAGTTATAATCCTTTAGCTATTGGAGCAGCCTGCCTTTGTGTTAATGACTACTCACTGATCAGAGTGGTGGTTGCCAAAAATTGGGATGGCTTTGGCAATTTCAAAAAATAAGACAATGAAATTTGCCCCATCAATGACTTTCTTTCATGAAGAATTTCTGTGTAGCATGTGATTTCACCCACAGTTGAACTTCATTCGAAATTGGAGACAATCCTCTCAAACTTTACACTGCGTTGTCAACCAAGTTTATGTAATATTCTCAATTCTTTGTTGTCATTTCAACAATATTCACAGTATCTTCACCAGGAGTAGATTCTGTCTCCATAAAACATTTTCTTTGTTTATCCATAAGAAGCGCAACTTCTCATCTGTCCAAGTTTTCTCGTGAGATTGCAGTAATTCAGTCACGTCTTCAGGCTCCACTTCTAATTCTAGTGCTCCTTCTATTTCCATCACATCTGCATTGACTTCCTCCACTGAAGTCTTGAACTCCTCAAAATCATTCATGAAGGTTGGAATCAACTTCTTCCAAACTCCTGTTAATGTTGATATTTTGACCTCCTGACATGAATCATGAATGTTCTTAATGGCATCAAGAAGAGTGAATTATTTTTAGAAGGTTCTCAATTTACTTTGCTCATGTCCATCAGAGGAATCATTCTCTGTGGCAGCTATAGCCTTATAAAATGTATTTCTTAAATAATAAAACCCAAAAGTTGAAGTTACTCCTTGATTCATGGGCTACAAAATAAATGTGTCAGCAGGTGTGAAAACAACCTTAATCTCTTTGTACATCTCCATCGGAGCTCTTGGGTGACCAGATACATTCTTAAGCAGCAGTAGTTTTTTGTTTTTTTTTTTTTTTTTAGTTTTTCTGTTTGTTTGTTTTTGAGACAGAGTCTCACTCTGCCTCCCAGGCTGGAGTGCAGTGGCACGATCTCGGCTCACTGCATCCTCAACCTCCCAGGCTCAAGAGATCCTCCCACCTCAGCCTCCCAAGTGGCTGAAACTCCAGGCATGCACCACCACACTCGGCTAATTTTTTTTTTTTTTGGAGAGATGAGGTTTTGCCATGTTTCCCAGGCTGATCTCAAACCGAGCTCAAGCAATCTGCTTGCCTTAGCCCCTCAAAGTGTTGGGATTACAGGTGGGAGCCACCACACCAGGCTGAGCAGTAATATTTTGGTTTGTTTGTTTCTTTTTGAGATAAGGTCTCATTCTGTCGTCCAGGCTGGAGTGCGGGGGCGTGATCCTGGCTCACTGCAACCTCTGCCTTGCGGATTCAAGTGATTCTCATGCCTCAGCCTCCCGAATAGCTGGGACTACAGTTGCAAGCCACCACACCCGGCTACTTTTTGTATTTTTAGTAGAGACGGGGTCTCACCATGTTGCCCAGGCTGGTCTCGAACTCCTGCGCTCAGGCAATCCATTCGCCTCAGCCTCCCAAAGTGTAGAGATTACAGATGTGAGCCACTGTGCTTGGTCTGCAGTAATATTTTGAAAGGAATTTTTTTCCTAAGCAGTAGGTCTCAGGAATAAAGAGTAGACTTAAAATGTTTTGTAAATCATGCCATAAACAGATGTGCTGTCATCCAGGATTTGTTGTTCCATTTATAGAGTACAGGCAGAGTACACTTAGCTTAATTCTTAAGGGCCCTGGGATTTTCAAAATTGTAAATGAGCATTGGCTTCAAATTAAAGTCGCCAGCTGCACTAGCTCCTAATGAGAGAGTCAGCCTGTCCTTTGAAGCTTTGAAGCCAGGCATTGACTTCTCCTCTCTAGCTATGAGAGGCCTAGATGGCATCTTCTTCCAATAGAAGGCTGTTGCATTCTACATTAAAAACCTCTTGTTTTGGCCAGGTAAGTGGCTCATGCCTGTAATCCTAGCACTTTGGGAGGCCGAGGTGGGTGGATCACCTGAGGTCAGGAATTCGAGACCAGCCTGGCCAACATGGTGAAATCCCGCCTCTACTAAAAATACAAAAATTATCCGGGTGTGGTGGTGGGCACCTGTAATCCCAGCTACTCGGGAGGCTGAGACAGGAGAATCACTTGAACCTGGGAGACAGAGGTTGCAGTGAGCTGAGATCATGCCATTGCACTCCAGCCTGGAAAACAAAGCAAGACTCTGTCTCAAAAAAAAGGTAAAAAAAAAAAAAACCCTCTTGTTTAGTGTGGCTACCTTCATCAATGATCTTAGCTAGCTCTTCTGGGTAAGTTGCTGCAGCTTCTTCATTAGCACTTGTTGCTTCGCCTTGCAGTTTCATGTGATGTAGATGGCTTCTTACCTTAAACCTTGGGAACCAACCTCTGTTAACTTCTAACTTTCCTTCTGCAGCTTCCTCACCTCTCTCAGTCTTCATAGACTTGAAGAGAGTTAAGGCCTTGCTCTGGATCAGGCTTTGGCTTAAGGGAATGTTGTGGCTGGTTTGATCTTCTATCCAGACCACTAAAACTTTCTCCATGTCAGCAATAAGGCTGTACTAGGGAAGCACTTTTAATTTCCTTTAAGAACTTTTCCTTTGCATTCACAATTTGACCATTTGGTGCAAGAGGCATGGCTTTCAGCATATCTCAGCTTTCAGCACACCTTCCTGACTAAGCTTCATCATATCTGGCTTTTGATATAAAGTAAGCAATGTGTGATCCTTCTTTTCACTTGAAAACTTAAAGGCCACAGTAAGGTTATTAATTGGCCTAATGTCAATATTGTTGCTTCTCAGGGAATAAGGAGGCCCGAAGAGAGAGAGAGAGATGAGGGAATGACTTTGCTGGGGAGTAGTCAGTTTGCTGTCTTACACGGGCAGTTCATGGCATCCCCGATTACAACAGTAACATCAAAGATCCATGATCACAGATCACCACAGTAGATATAATAATAATGAAAAAGTTTAAACTATGGTGAGAATTACCAAAATGTGCCACAGATCTGAAGTGAGCACATGTTGTTTGAAAAATACAGCCAGCCAATAGACTTTCCAGATGGAGGGCTGCCACACGCCTTCCATTTGTAAAAAATGCAACATCTTTGAAGCATGATAAAACAAAGTGCAGTGAAACAAGATGTGCCTAACTACGGATGTGAAAAGGTCATTAAAGAGTCAAGACGCTTTTGAAGAGGAAAACCAAGTAAGAAAAACTTGCTTTACCAATTATTTGCAAATATAATGCAAATAATTATGCAAATAATTATTGCCTTATAAAGGTGCAATAATTCAAACAGTGTAGCATTAGCATAAGCCTCGAGATGAATGGAACAGAATACAGAATGCAAAACCAGACTCGTGCATATATGGACATGACAAATTGGCACTGCAGAGAGTAAGTGAACCAGAGTATTTTAAACAGATTATGCTGGAAAAATTGAATACCCATGTGGAAAAAAATGAAACTTGGCCACTACCTCACTCCATATAAAAATCAGTCTTAGGCCCAAAGCGATGGCTCATGCCTGTAATCCCAGCACTTTGGGAGGCCAAGGCGGGTGGATTGCTTGAGGTCAGGAGTTCGAGACCAGCCTGCCCAACATGGCGAAACCCTGTCACTACTAAAATACAAAAATTAGCCAGGCATGGTGGCAGGTGCCTGTAATCCCAGCTACTTGGGAGGCTGAGGTAGAAGAATCGCTGGAACCTGGGAAGTGGAGGTTGCATTGAGCCAGAATCGTGCTACTACACTCCAGCCTGGGTGACAGAGCAAGACTCTGTCTCAAACAACAACAACAACAACAAAAAAACCTCAGATAAATTGTAGATTTAAATGTGAAAGGCAAACAATAAACAAAATAATATTCAGTAATAATAATAAAGCTTCTAGAAGAAATGTAGGAAAATATTGTTATGACCTCAGGTAGTAGGCTAGGGTAGGAGAACATTTTTTTTTTTTTTTTTTGAGATGGAGTCTCGCTCTGTCGCCCAGGCTGGAGTGCAGTGGCACCATCTCAGCTCACTGCAAGCTCCACCTCCTGGGTTCACACCATTTTCCTGCCTCAGCCTCCCAAGTAGCTGGGACTACAGGCGCCTGCCACCGTGCCCAGCTAATTTTTTGTATTTTTAGTAGAGACGGGCTTTCACCGTGTTAGCCAGGATGGTCTCGATCTCCTGACCTCGTGATCCGCCCGCCTCATCCTCCCCAAGTGCTGGGATTACAGGCGTGAGCCACCGTGCCCGGCCAAGGTAGAAGAACATTTTTTCCCCAGGTTATAAAAAGCACTTGCCAAAGGAAAAGACCGATGATCAGGATTACGTGAAGACTAAGAACTTCTGTTTATCAAAAGATGCCACTAAACAGTGAAAAGTCAATGCATGTTATGGACGATGATATTTGCAACTCGTGTAACCACTGGAACTTCTAAAATTCAAGAAGAAAAGATAGACAACTCAAAAGACAGGGACAAGAGCTTAACAAAAGAGGATATCCTGTGGCCCAGAAACATATGCGATGAGGCTGTACCTCATGAGTAATCAAAGAAATGCAAATTAAAACTACAATGCAATACCACTCCACCAACAACTGGAGCACTGGAACCCTCACACACTACTGCAGGGAGTGTAAGTTCCAATAATAAAATTACAGCACTTTGGGAGGCTGAGGTGAGAGGGTTGCCTGAGGTCAGGAGTTTGAGACCAGCCTGGTCCACATGGCGAAACCTCATGTATACTAAAAATACAAAAACTAGCCTGGTGTGGTGGCCCACGCCTGTAATCCCAACTACTCGGGTGGCTGAGGCATGAAAATCACTTGAACCTGGGAGGCAGAGGTTGCAGTGAGCTGAGATCGTGCCACTGCACTCCAGCCCGGGTGACAGTGTGAGACTCCGTCTCAAAAAAATAAATAAAATAAAATACAATAAAGTTGGAAAACTAGTTGGTCCTATCTCCCATATTATATGACCCAGCAATTCCAATCCTGGGTGGAATTCCCCACAAAAATACATGCACGTGGGCACCAGGAGACATTCACAGGAATTTCCAGAGCAGCATTACTCAAAGTAACCTCAAACTGGAAGCAATCCAAGTATCTGACAATTGCAAAAGCAATAAATAAATCATGGTCTATTGCCAGGCACAGTGGCTCACGCCTGTAATCCCAGGATTTTGGGAGGCCAAGGTGGGAGGATCACTTGAGCTCAGGAGTTCAAGACCAGCCTTGCCAACATAGGGAGACCTCATCTCTAGTAAAATTCAAAGAAATTAGCTGGGCATTGTGGCACATGCCTGTAGTCCCAGTCCTGAGGCAGCAGGATCTCTTGAGCCCAGAAAGCCAAGGCTGCAGTGAGCCCTGATTGTCACACTGTACTCCAGCCTGGGCGACAGAGAGAGACCTTGTCTCAAAAAAAAAAAAAAAAAAAATATATATATATATATATATATATATATATATATATGCACATATATATAATAATTCAAGATTCCCGTTAGCCATACATGACAAGCTGTGTAAACTTGAATAAGTTATTTAGCCTCTCTGGGCCTCAGTTCCCTCACCTGGACAGTGGCGATAATAATACCAGTTCCTCAGGTTGTTGTAGGTATATATTATGGTCTATTTATAAACAACATTGAGAACAAATGAACTACAACTTTGTGCAACAACCTGGGTGAATTTCACAAACATAATATTAAGTCAAAGAAGCTAGATAAACATAAACACACAATATGTGCTGTTTAATTCCATTAATTCCATTTACATGAAGTTCAGAGAATGGGAAAAACTAAATTGTAGGGTTTAATGGTGCGTGTTTAAGTGGCAAAATTATGAAGAAAGGTAAGGAAATTCTTACCAAAACCTTCAGGATAGTGTTTACTTTAGAGAAAAGACAAAGTAATGGTGGTTAGGAAGGGGCATGAGAAGGACTTCAGGGGGGTTGACATCATTCTAGTTTTTGACCCAAGAAATGTTCACGTGAAGGCTAACCTTGCGATGGTTAATTGAACTCTATAGTTTTTGTAGATGTCTGTAATATTTCATTTTTTAAAGGCTTAAAAGACAAATGATTGACAGGCAGCATTGAGCACCCAGTAGAAGGTAGACAGCATTAAATTTCAGTAAATCCTGGCAACTAAATGTAAGGAATTCTCTTGCAGTGTGCAAGGGCTTGAGAGTGTGAGACCAGAAGGAGGCTATGGCAGTGGCCCAGGACTAGAATGGTCTGTGAGCTCACTGGAAGGCCTGGCTTGAAGACAGCACATATTTGACATTGCAGACTGTGAGGCAGACATTTAGGCAAACATAAACTCAGAGTCAAATCCCCTAGGTGATTAGAAGATAGCTTTAAAGACCAAAGATCACAGTGAAGGTGAAGAGTGAGTTCATAGATGTGAGAGTCTGGAAAAAATAAAAACACATAAGGGAAGCTTCGATGAACACTGGAATAAAATGTATTGTATTGATACGAAGTGTACAAAAGAAAGAATCTTTTAGCCTGGTATTTATTCATTCATTCAAACACTTCTTGAGCATCAGAAACTGTTCTGGGTGTAGTAGAGAAGACAAGAAGGTATGAAACACAGTTCTTCTCTTTAGTTTTAACTACAATGAAACATACCCTCATGAACGTTTAAGTAATAATTCAAGATTCCCATTGGCCAAGGGATAAAGCCCAAACTCACCTCCTCCCCTAATATAGAAACTCCACTCCAGTTTGGCCTCTTGTTGGTGCCGTCTCCCCGTGGGTCTCTGCTCTTCCCCAGAGCTTTTCATTTTCACTGCTCCTGTATATAGGAGGCATAGTTCTATGCACTTTATATCTCTTCATTCCTACAACAACCTCAGGAACTGGTATTATTATCGCCACTGTCCAAGTGAGGGAACTGAGGCCCAGAGAGGCTAAATAACTTGTTCAAGTTTACACAGCTTGTCAGTTCTGGGGCCAAGATTCCAACCCTGGGAGTCTGTCTCTAGCACCTGTTCTCTTAACAATCCAATTGGGCTACAGCCATTTGTGCTCCAATCCCCAACAAGCTCAAGCCCTTTTGTCTCTCTGTGGCTTGGGATTTACTGTTTGTGGGTTTCTTCTCCAAAAACCAGCTTGAAGGCTGCTGCCTTCTCTGTGCAGCTTTCTGTGCTACCTCCTCAAGGTCAGTGTCCTCCCTCTTCTTCCATGCCCTCTCTTTCATGGGCCTCCTCTAACATGTTCCTGAATGTCCTTGAGGGCAGGAAGTTGGACTTAGTTTTCTATATGTTTTGCAGAATCTGTCACATATGAGATCACAGACGATGTTGAATTGGATCCAAAGAAGAATGTAAATCCCAAAATAAGTGGTGTCAACATGAAGGGTCATTAAAGGTAGAAGAAAGAGAGGCACCTGTCATCTGAGGTATCCCAGGGAAGGCTTCCAGAAGGGGTAGCTCTTGGCTAGACTTTAAGGGATGAGCAAAATGTGCATAGCTGAAGATGACCAAGAGGGTGTGCACAGGCCTGGATACTCCAATGCACAGAGCATCTCTAGGAGTCGGCCATTAAACCAAACCCATCAAAGCAGAGTTGCAGGAAAAGCAACCAGTGAGCAGGAGGCAAGAGCGTCAAACTCCCAATACAGACCCACCCCAGAACCCTCAAAAAGTTCTGCTCCTTAAATAAATCCAGAAAACCTGAATTCTGCTAAGTACAAGAAACCTGGGGGAAAAAATCCAATTTAACAAGATTTAGATTTTTTAAATAATTTTTATTGGATAATATGGTACATAATTAACTGCAGGTTAGAACTCCCCTGAATTAGGTCCTTTTTTTAAATAAATCAGTATCAAATGGGGGGGATTTTACTGGATATTCTTTGCAACCAGGCCGTCTGAATCATTGCCATAGATCAGGTTCCAACAGAAGATTCCAGCAGGAGATCTCAGCTGGTGCCCATGAGACACCCACCCAAGCCAAGAGCAAGCTCCTTCCCAAGCTTCTCTCAGTAGTGATACAAACAGTCTGAGACCCAGCCAAGAAAGAGGGCACTGGCCATGCTAAAGAGGTATTTCTTGAGGTGAACATGGGGTGGACTTCTATGCGGTCCATTCTGGTGGAGAGCGGGCTCTGAAAAATATATACCACTGGCTTTGGGTTACTGATGGGATGTCTCAGCAAGACAGACTGAATGGATTAAGGATTAGGGGAGTTGAGGCTACAATATCTGGATTATAAGGTTTGTCCTGGTTAGTCTTTGTTTATATTATTACCTTTTTTCTAGGTAAATTTTGGGAACATAAGGAATACAAGTGGAGTATTCTGAATCCGAAAAATCTGAAATGTTCCAAAACATGAAACATTTTGCTGCTCAAAGGAAATGCTCATTCTGAGATAGAAGATCAGTAGGACTTGTTTTCATGACCCTGCTAATCAAATAGGATGTAGCAAAGAAATGAGAAATGAGCCCAAACCAGCTAGGACTAGGAATTATAATGCATTTGCATGTTATAAGACACTCGCCAGTGCCATGACAGTTTGCAAACACCATGCCAATGCCTGGAAGTTACCCTATATGGTTTTGGGCACTCCCTGCCCCTTTTCCAGAAAGTTCGCGAGTATACCCCTTATTTAGCACATAATTAGGAGTAGTTATAAACATAGTTTGCCAGCAATCCACAAGTCGGGTAGCTAGGCTCTGTCTATGGAGCAGCCATTTTGCTGTACACTGTTGCTCTAATGAACTTGCTTTATTTCACCGTCAGCTCGGACTTGCTCTTGAATTCTTTCCTCAGCAAAGCCAAGAACCCTCCCAGCCTGAGCCCCAACTTGAGGGTTTACCTGCATCGGCTGGGCATTCTGTATTTCAAATTTTTAGTTTAAGGATGCTCAACCGGTATGTAAATATTATTTTCGGCCGGGCATGGTGGCTCATGCCTATAATCCCAACACTTTGGGAGGGCGAGGGGGGCAGATAACCTGAAGTCAGGAGTTCGAGACCAGTCTGACCAACATGGAGAAACCCCGTCTCTACTAAAAATACAAAAATTAGCTGGGCATGGTGGTGCATGCCTGTAATCCCAGCTACTCGGGAGGCTGAGGTAGGAGAATCGCTTGAACCCAGGAGGCGGAGGTTGCAGTGAGCCAAGATTGTGCCATTGTACTCCAGCCTGGGCTACAAGAGCAAATCCCCATCTAAAAATATATATATGTGTGTGTGTGTGTGTGTGTGTGTGTGTGTGTGTGTGTGTGTTTAGGACAGGCACAGTGGCTCATGCCTGTAATCCCAGCACTTTGGGAGGCTGAGGAGGGTAGATCACGAGGCCAGGAGATAGAGATCATCATGGCTAACACGGTGAAACCCCATCTCTACTAAAACTACAAAAAATTAGCCGGACGTCGTGGCACGCGCCTGTAGTCCCAGCTACTTGGGAGGCTGAGGCAGGAGAATCGCTTGAACCTGGGAGGCAGAGGTTGCAGTGAGCCAAGATCATGCCACTGCACTCCAGTCTGGGCAACAGAGCAAGACTTCGTCTCAAAAAATATATATATATTTAATATATATTTTATACATATATATATATGTATATAAATATACAGATATTATTTTCTTTTCTTTTTTTTTTTTGAGACAGAGTCTCACTCTGTCGCCCAGGCTGGAGTGCAGTGGCATGATCTCGGCTCACTGCAACCTCTGCCTCCCAGGTTCAAGCGATTCTCCTGCCCCAGCCTCCTGAGTAGCTGAGACTATAGGCTCACGCCACCACACCCAGCTAATTTTTGTATTTTTAGTAGAGACAGAGTTTCGCTATGTTGGCCAGGCTGGTCTCAAACTCCTGACCTTGTGATCCCCCCACCTCAGCCTCCCAAAGTGCTAGGATTACAGGTGTGATCCACCATGCCCAGTAAAAATATATACATTATTTTCAACTGGTGTCTAAATGAGAAAAACTCTCCACTTTTCATCAGAAGCCCCCAGACCTGTCATAACTTCTCAGGGTGTATAAGAGAGGCCCCTTGCCCACCTCTGCTCTCTCAGCAACCATCACTAAGAGAGAATGCAATACAGGGAGTATGGTTTTCAGAAGATGAGAAAATGTTTTTTTTTTTTTTACTGCTACCTATTTGCCTTAGATTCTTCACAAATAAGGACAATACATCTCACTGGCACTCTTCCATCTACAAATTACCTTGCGGACCTTGATCTCATTGAAATTCATTTTACAAATGAGAAAACATTATTCTGTGAGTTTTAACTGATTTGCCTAAGATGGCAATGTTACAAGGTAGTGGAGTCAAGCCCAAGTCTAGGACTGCAGTGCCCAACTCTGTCCTGGCAACTCTGTGCTGGTCATTTTAAGACCATTGCAGGCCCCAGACCCCAACCCACTTCATAGCAAACACATTACAACATATTTACATTCCACAGAACATATACATTTTTGCTGTATAATTTTTATAATTGCAATTTGGAGTTTTATTATAACATACTTTTTTCTCATGATTCAAACCATATTATATTTTTATGGAACCATATAAGGCTTGAGTTGAGCATTGATATCACATTACATTTTGCAGACACTTAATTGAATATTTATTTCTATTTGAATGTTTTATTTTCATGTTTAGGAGCCAGTACATTTTTTCCAGCTCCGAAATATTGTCTTGGGTCCTTGAAAGGTCACAAGCCCTGAGCACCGAGCCAAGAATACCTGGTGGCAGAAAGAGCCCTGTTCTGGCTGAGCTGCCACCATAGCGCAGGGCTGTGATGTGAGCAATGGCTTAGAGGCTGGAATTACAGCAGGCAGGTAGAGGTGGCTGTCACTGACCCCACTGGCCAGAGCAGAAAGAACAAGATCCTGTCAGTCTCTGGCCTTCTGACAGCTAGGTTCACCTTCGTGGATCTTCTCTGGAACAGTTTGCTGTCTGCATTCTGAAACACCGTGGGTCCTTATGCTAAACCATGATATTGCCAACATCCAGGAAAATGTCACAGATGATCAGAGGAAGAGTTCACCGTATATAGTTTTTTTTTTTTTTTTGAGACATAGTCCCACTCTGTCTATGGCTGGGGTGCAGTGGGGTAGACAGGCTGGGGTGCAGTGGCACCATCTCGGCTTACTGCAACCTCCATCTCCTGGGTTCAAGAAATTCTTCTGCCTCAGCCTCCCAAGTACCTGGGACTACAGGCGTATGCCACCATGCCTGGCTTATTTTTTGTATTTTTAGTAGAGACAGCATTTTCACCATGTTGCCCAGGCTGGTCTCGAACTCCTGACCTCAGGTGATCCACCTGCCTTGGCCTCCCAAAGTGCTGGGATTACAGGTGTGAGCCACCGCACCCAGCCCAGTAAACCTCTTTCTTATACCAACCTCACAGGCTGGCATTTGGGATTCAGGGATGCTAGGGTTTGTACCCAGAGACAAACTGGTCCTGACTGACTTCATCACCAAAAACTCCAACACTAGAGAGAACTGAGATTGGAGAGGAACTCAGGGAGCAGAAGGGAGCCCCTCCTTCTGTTGCCATGGGAACACTCAGAATCTCCCACCAAGCCTCACTTGAAACCCATTTATGCCTAGTGTTCCATTATTGGAACGCTAAGCTTGTGGGAGTTATTTATACCCTACTGATCAAGGTCATCGTCAAGGTCTGACTTTTCCCACAAAAAGTCAGCAACCTCCGGCATAAATGGGTTAAGGCTGTATCTACTGAACGTCCCACTAAATGCAACATTTGATACATGCAACATCTCCCCAGTAATTCTGCCTAAGTTGAGCTTTAATAAAATGCATTTTAGGCCGGGCGCAGTGGCTCACGCCTGTAATCCCAGCACTTTGAGAAGCCAAAGCGGGTGGATCACCTGAGGTCAGGAGTTCGAGACCAGCCTGACCAACATGGAGAAACCCTGTCTCTATTAAAAATACAAAATTAGCCACGCGTGGTGGCACACACCTGTAATCCCATCTACTCGGGAGGGTGAGACAGGAAAATCACCTGAACCCAGGAGGCAGAGGTTGCAGTGAGCCAAGATCGCACCACTGCACTCCAGCCTGGGTGACAAGAGCGAAACTCTGTCTCAAAAAAATAGAAAATAAATAAAAATAAAAAATAAAATGCATTTTAAATGCACACAGGTTAGGGAAGCCTAACTGCTTAAAGGCATACTGCTTCAAATCATTTTGGATAAAAAGAAAGAAATCTTTAGTAATCTGTCTCTGCTTCAATTCTCTCTTCGGATGTCCATATTTTTATATTCTGCAAAATGTTATTAAATTAGGACACACTGGCTGGGCGCAGTGGCTCGTGCCTGTAATCCCAGCACTTTAGGAGGCTGAGGCGGGTGGATCATGAGGTCAGGAGTTCAAAACCAGCCTGGCCAACATGGTGAAACCTCGTCTCTACTAAAAATACAAAAATTAGCTGGGTGTGGTGGTGTGCGCCTGTAATCCCAGCTACTCAGGAGGCTGAGGCAGGAGAATCACTTGAACCTGGAAGGCACAGGTTGCAGTGAGCTGAGATCACACCACTGCCCTCCAGCCTGGGTGACAGAAAGAGACTCCACCTTGGGGAAAAAAAAAAAATTAGGACACATTACCACAGTATTTGCTACAACATACTGCATTGGGCTTTGGAATTCAGAAAGAAGAGTGAGCTGTTGTTCATGTCATGCCACTTTTCTTCAGTAATTGAGACAAATTTGAAGATATGGAGAAACCTGGGGATTTGGGCAAAGCTCTCCACTCATCTATTCCTCTCATTGCCATGGAGAATAACAGTTTTAAAGGCATCTTTAAATGAAGTCAGCTCTGAGCTGAAACCTCTCCTTTTAAGTGAGAAAGCACACTCAGAGGGGAGGGACGGCTGCTCTCTTTGCTGCTCTAAATGGCAAATAATCCAAGGAGGACACAACAGAACCTCGTGCCTGTTCAGGAGGGGAGAAATTCACATGGGAGATGATGACAGTTCTGGGGTAGTGCACCCTTCAGAACTCTCCAGGGCCTCCCTCGCACCCTCAGGATCTCATTTCTGGTCCTCAGAACTCCAGGTTTCTGAGAGTTGGTTCTTTCTCCAAGTTCACCAGGTTTCCTTTACCAAATATTCTACTTCTTTGTACCCATCAGTCCTGGAGCTCCTGTGAACAGGGTTTCACCCTTTGACTATCCTTTCCCATTGCCTAAAATTGGCTTCATTTGCCCATTCAAATTCCTTTTCATCCCTCATCCCTCATCCCTCAGGGAGCCCCCTTTGCTCTGTTTACCTTAAGAAAGGAGGAAACTAGCTAATAATGATAATAGACATTTATTAAGCACCTCTGAAGCATTTGGTATGGATTACCTCATTTTATCTCCCAGCAACCTGAAGATAGGTCATATCTTTACCCTATTTTACGAAGGAAGAAACAGTCTTAGGAAGCTCAGATAACCTGGTCACACAGATGGCAAGAGCCGGAGTCAGAGTTCAACCCAGACAGTCCAACCCCAGAGGCTCCCTTCATCTTGCCTTTCCATAGAATCATACATTCATTTATTCAGCCAGTATTTATGGAGTCCTCACTATATGCCAGGCACTGTTCAGGGGTTATAGCATCAAGGCAAAAGGAGTTTCCTCCCTTATTATGAGATTAATTCTATCAAGGGGAGGTGGGCAAGGAATGAATGAATAAGTCAGATAATTTCTCTGTTTACAGATGACATAATCTTATATATGGAAAACTCTGAAGACGCCACACACACACAAAAAAAAACCTCTTAGAACTAATAAATGAATTCAGTAAAACTGAAGAATACAAAATCAACATATAAAAATCGGCAATGTTTGTATACACTAATAGTGAACTATCTAAAAAAGAAATCAAGAAAACAATTCCATTTACAATAGCTACAAAAAAAATGAGATACCTACGAATAAACTTAACCAAGAAGATGAATTATCTCTACACTAAAAACCATAGAACATTGATGAAAAAAACACAAATAAATGAAAGAACACAATTCTTATTCTTATTGTGTTAAGAAACACAAATAAATGAAAAGATATGCCGTGTCCATGGATTAGAATTAATATTGCAAAAATGACCATACTACCCAAACATATCCACAGATTTAATGCACTCCCTATCAAAATACTAAAGACATTCTTCACAGAAATAGAAAAAAAAAATCCTAAAATTCATATGGAACCACAAAAGACCCCAAAAGGCCAAAGCAATTCTGAGCAAAATCAACAAAGTTGGAGACATCACACTACCTGATTTCAAAATATACTATAAAGCTGTAGTAACCAGAACAACATGGTACTGGCATAAAAACAAACACATAAAACAATGGAATAGAGAGCCTAGAAATAAATTCAGGCACCTACAGCCACCTGTTCTGACAACAGCCACCTGTTTTTGACAATGATACCAAGAACACACATTGGGGAAAAGATTGTCCCTTTAATAAATTGAATATCCTAGGGAGGCTGAGGCAGGAGAATAACTTGAACCCAGGAGGTAGAGTTTGCAGTGAGCCGAGATTGTGACACTGCACTCCAGCCTGGGCAACAGAGTGAGACCCTGTCTCAAAAATAACATAAAATAAAATAAATTGAATATCCACATGCGAAGAATAAAATTAGACCCCTATCTCTCACCGTGTATGAAAATCAACTCAAAATGGATAGAAGGCTTAAAAGTAAAATCTGAAACTATAAAACTACTAGAAGAAAACAGGGGAAAGACTTCACAACACTAAGCTAGGCAGGGATTTTTTAAATAGGAAGTCAGAGGCACAGGTATCAAAAGCAAAAATAGACAAATGGGACTACATGAAATCAAAAGCAAAAACAGACAAATGGGACTACATGAAATTAAAAAGCTTTTGCATAACAAAGGAAACAATTAACAAAGTGACGAGAAAACCTACACTGTCTTATAGGTTTGGAAGAAAATATTTGCAAACTATCTAACAAGGGGTTATTATCCAGAAATATATAAGGAACTTAAACAACTCAACAGCAATAAACCAAATAACCCGATTAAAAAATGGCCAAAAAACCTTAATAGACATTTCTTAAAAGAAGACATACAAATGGACAACAGATACATGAAGAAATGCTCAACATCACTAAATGTCAGAGAAATGCAAATCAGAACCATAATGAGACACCACCTCATTCCAATTAGAATGGCTCTTATCAAAAAGACAAAAGAAAACAAGTGTTGGTGAGGATGTAGAGAAAAGGGAACACTTGCATACTGTTGATAAGAATATAAATTAGTACAGCAATTATGGAAATCAGTATAGGGGTCCCCCCCAAAATAAAAATAGAATTACAATATAATCCAACACTCTCACTGCTGGATATATATCCAAAGGAAGTGAAATCAGGGCTGGTTGTGGTGACTCAGGCCTGTAATGCCAGTACTTTGGGAGCCCAAAGCGGGTGGATCACTTGAGGTCAGGAGTTCGAGACCAGCCTGACCAACATGGAGAAACCCCCATCTCTACTAAAAATACAAAAAATTACTTGGGCATGGTGGGGTGGGCACCTGTAATCCCAGCTACTCGGGAGGCTGAGGCAGGAGAATCGCTTGAACCCAGGAGGCAGAGGTTGCAGTGAGCTGAGATGGTACCACTGCACTCCAGCCCGGGCGACAGAGCCACGCTCCATCTCAAAAAAAAAGAAAGTGAAATCAGTATGTTGAAGAGATATCTGCACTCCCATCTTTATGGCAGTACCATTTGTAATAGCCAAGATATGGAATTAACCTAAATGTCCATCATCAACAGATGAATGGTAAAGAAAATGTGGTATATAAGCACAACAAAATTCTATTCAGTCATAAAAAAAGAAGGAAATCCTGTCATGTGTGACAACGTGGCTGAACCTGGAGGACACCAAGTTAAGTGAAATAAGCCAGATACAGAAAGACAAATACCACATGATCTCACTAATATGTGGAATTAAAAAACAAAGTTGATCTCATCAAAGCAGAGTATAGAACAGTGGTTATCAAAGGCTGGGAAGGGTGACTATGGTTAACTGTAAGGTATTGTGTATCACCCTACAGTTAGAAGAGAAGTTTTTAAATGTTCTCATGACAAGGAAATGACAAATGCATGAAGTGATGAATATGCTAACTACCCTGACTTGATCATTATACAACACATACGGGTACTGAAATATCAACTTGTATCCCATAAACACATACAATTATAACGTGACAATTTCTTTTTTTTTTCTTTTCTTTTTTTTTGAGATGGAGTCTCACTCTGTCACCCAGGCCAGAATGCAGTGGTGCAATCTTGGCTCACTGCAACCTCCACCTCTCGTGTTCAAGCGATTCTTGTGCTTTAGACTCCTGAGCAGCTGTGACTACAGGCGCCCACCACCATGCCCGACTAATACAATGTGACAGTTTTGGTTTTTTATTTGAGATGGAGTTTCACTCTTGCTGCCCAGGCTGGAGTGCAATGGCACAATCTCAGCTCACCACAACCTCCGCCTCCCGGGTTCAAGCAATTCTCCTGCCTCAGCCTCCTGAGTAGCTGGGATTACAGGTGCGCACCACCACATCCGGCTAATTTTTGAATTTTTAGTAGAGCTGGGGTTTCACCACATTGGCCAGGTTGTTTTCGAACTTCTGACCTCAGGTGATCCACCCCCCTCAGCCTCCCAAAGCACTGGGGTTACATGTGTGAGCCATCGCACCTGGCCAACAGTTTTTTTAAAAAAATCAGATAATTTCTGAGAGTGATAGGAGCTATGGAGAAAAAATTTCAAGGAATGGGACGAAATCATGGTCCTCAAACTTGGGCGTGCATGAGATCAGCTGGGCCCACCCTCAGGGCTCCTAGTCCAATAGGTCTGGAGTAGTGCCACGGAATTTGCATTTCTCTCTTTCTTTCTTTCTTTCCTTTCTTTCTTTCTTTCTTTCTTTCTTTCTTTCTTTCTTTCTTTCTTTCTTTCTCTCTCTCTCTTTCTTTCTTTCAGACAAGCTGAAGTGCAATGGCACAATCTCAGCTCACTGTAACCTCCACTTCCTGGGTTCAAGCAATCCTCCCACCTTGGCCTCCTGAGTAGCTGGGACTACAGGCGTGTGCCACCATGCCTGGCTAATTTTTTTTTTTTCACCATCTTGCCTAGGCTCATCTCCAGCAATCCACCCACTGTGGCCTCCCAAAGTGCTGGGATTACAGGAGTGAGTCACCACGCCCAGCCTGAATTTGCATTTCTTTCTTTTTTTTTTTTTTTTTTTTTTTTGCTCATCATCACTGGCCATCAGAGAAATGCAAATCAAAACTACAATGAGATACCATCTCACACCAGTTAGAATGGAGATCATTAAAAAGTCAGGAAATAACAGGTGCTGGAGAGGATGTGGAGTAATAGGAACACTTTTACAGTGTTGGTGGGACTGAATTTGCATTTCTAACAGGTTTCCAAGTAAAACTGCTGCTGGTGGTCTGGGGACCACACGTGGAGAATCCCTGGAACAGAGACAGTTGGGATTAGAATGGGGAATGGGGGAAGCCTCTCTACCTATGTGTGGCATTTGAGTTGAGATGTGAATGACGAAAATGAGTAAATCACTGGAATTATGAGGAAAAAAGGTTTCAAGCACAGGATATGGCAAATGCAAAGTCCCCAAGGTGGGAAAATGAGCTCCTGATGTTGGAAGGACAGAACAAAGATCTGCTGGGTGTTGAATGAGGCAAGAGTCAGTTTAGCCCCAACTCAGTTTGATTCTTTCTTCTCCTACTGCTCCTCTGGGCTGTGTTGTTTAACATGAAAATCAGAATGTCTTTCACAACAAAATAGTGGCAGTAGATTGACTTAAAAAAGAAAGATCCAATATAGGATTACTTTAAATGGGCTCCTCCTTTGGCACCTTTGAAATATTTCAGTTGTCCTTCACTCCAATTTCCAACTGCAGTTTTTCAAATAAAAATAACCTCTTGTGTTACATGCAACGTATGTTGATGTTGTATATAATTTAATTATCTATTTTTTATCTGGGCAATTTGCCAAATCTTCAAGTTGTTTCAAAAGATCAAAGACAGGATCTGTGCCTTTTCTTTCCTCATTCTTACACCCCAGTGCTTTTCAAATGTAAATGTGCCTAGAACCTAACTCACTGAGCCTCCCTGGAGAGGAACCTTTATGAAGGAAGAGTGGTAGCTCAGGTGAACCTCTGAGACCCTTACCCAATCCCTGCCCCAAGGAGCATGGGTAATCAGTCTGGGAAAGGGTGAGGTCTAGGATTCCACTGAGTTCTCCGTCAAGGTGAGCCCAGTCTGTTAGGGGAATTGACTTTCCTCTTTCTCTCAGCAGACTTGCCTGGGGCTGCTTCTGCGGCTTCGTGTTCATTACCTGCCTTTGTTTTTATCTGCTCTGATGAAGCGGTGATGTTCTCCAAGATTGATAGAAAGAGCCTACTGATCCAATTTCTACGAGAAATGAAGACTATCAAGCATTCTAAATTTCCTAAACATTGTACAATTGACAGTTGGCTGGAGCATCCAGAAGTTTATTATTGTTGAGTTTTATGGGCTGAATTGGGTCCCTCCAAAATTTGTATGTTGAAGCTCTAGCCCACAGTACCTCAGATGTGACTGCATTTGGAGGTAGGTCTTTGAGGAGGTAATCAAAGTTAAATGAGGCCATTAGAGAGGGCCCTATCCAAAATGACTGACATCCTTACAAGAAGAGGAGATTAGGCCACACACACACAGGAAGGCCAGTTGAAGACACAGGAGAAGGGGACCATCTACGAGCCAAGGAGAGAAGCCTCAGAAGAAACCAACCCTACCCACATGTTGATCTTGGACTTCCAGCCTCCACCAGGACTATGAGGAAATAAATTTCTGTTGTTTAAACCCCCAGTCTGCATGGTAGCCTTTGCAAACTAACACAGTGAGTGTATGTGTCTTAGATTCTTATAGAAATTTTGCTATACATCTCACTCTGCACTTTTAAAATAAATTTCCTTTTATAAAATAAAAGAAGGCTGGGCACGGTGGCTCACACCTGTAATTCCAGCACTTTGGGAGGCCAAGGCGGGCGGCTCACCTAAGGTCGGGAGTTTGAGACCAGCCTGACCAACATGGAGAAACCCCATCTCTACTAAAAATACAAAATTAGCCGGGCGTGGTGGCGCATGCCTGTAATCCCAGCACTTTGGGAGGCCAAGGTGGGCGGATCACCTAAGGTTGGGAGTTTGAGACCAGCCTGACCAACATGGAGAAACCCCATCTCTACTAAAAATACAAAATTAGCCGGGCGTGGTGGCACATGCCTGTAATCCCAGCTACTCAGGAGGCTGAGGCAGGAGAATCACTTGAACCTGGGAGGAGGAGCTTGCAGTGAGCTGAGATCGCACCATTGCACTCCAGCCTGGGCAACAAGAGTGAAATGCTGTCTCAAAATAAATAAATAAATTAAATTAAATAAAGGAAACCAGGTCTCCCCCCTGAGAAAATCTTGCAGGTTTCAGTTCTGCAGAAAACCTATTGGCCAGAGCCAGTGAGAGGAGACTGAACTCCTGCCTTCTGCTGCAAATTTTGATGGGTGTCTCTCTATCCATAAGACAGCTCTATCTCTTGACTTCTGTTTTTCTCACTCTGGCCTGGTCAGCAAACAGGATTTGTGGGTTGTTGCTTGGGTTTCGTATTTCACATTTTGTTGAAATACACCCTGACCCAGATTAGTCCACCTAAGTAGTTAGGAAGAAAAAAAATCCAGATTCTTCCCCTGTCCCTGAGGTTCAAGGGGTGCTAAGAATGAAAAGCCCTTCTCTATGCCAACAATGACACAGCACCGGATATCCATAAGAGAGACTCCAGAGTGAGGAGGGAACATACACCAAGTCCTTTGAGTCCTGTTGAGGGAACTTTCAGTCTGAATAAATCAGAATTCCTTCGGTTGCAAGTGACAGAAAACCAGCTCAAACTAGCTTAAAACAATGAAAAAGGAGAGTGTGGAGAGGCCTCTCTAAGTAGGGTGTCCAAGTCCTGGTGGTTTTAGTCAGGTATAGTTGGATCCTTGGTTCGGTATACTCTGCTTCCCTGATATGTTGGTAAAGATGGCCACAGATTTGTCTTCCATAGAGATACTGATCCCAGGCCGGGCGTGGTGGCTCACGCCTGTAATCCCAGCACTTTGGGAGGTCAAGTAGAGTGAATCATGAGGTCAGGAGTTCGAGAGCCTAGACAATATGGTGAAACCCCGTCTCTACTAAAAATACAAAAATTAGCCGGGCGTGGTGGCATGCACCTGTAATCCCAACTACTCGGAAGCCCAAGGCAGGAGAATTGCTTGAATCCAAGAGGCGGAGGTTGCAGTGAGCCAAGATCGCACCACTGCATTCCAGCCTGGGTGACTGACCAAGACTCCGTCTCAGAAAAAAAAAAAGAGAGAGAGATACTGATCCCAAAGAAAAAGTCATGTCTCTTGTTACAAACCTCTATGGGAGAACCTTGAGTGGTCCAGCGGGGTCACCTACCAATTTCTAAAACAATCAATGTAGCCAGGATGGTAGAGGATCTGGGCCACACAACCTACCTACCTCTGGGACTGGGAAGTGGGGTGAGGGTGGTTGGCCCCATCCAAGCCGCTGAGAGTAAGGAGGGTTGGTTCCTCCAAGAGGTGCCAGGAAGGAAGAAAGTGAACACATGAAACATGAATGTATAGGTTGGTGCAGGCTTATAGAAAGTGCTCAGCAATGAGTGGCATAAAAAGTGCTTAAGTTTCAGGAGAGTTAACCTGAGGCAAAGAAAAAAAAAAAGTGCTTAAGTGACAATTTGATAAAAAAGGGAAAAGTGCTGTTCCAAAAATTTGAAAGGCTGTCTTGTGGAAGAGAGAGAGGAAAGAAAAGAGGATGAAACTCGAAATTATGTGTAGAAGTTGTAAAAGAGGTAGATTTCACTTTAGTGCAAGGAAAACCCTTCCAGAACCCAGGAACAACAAAAAGGGGTTGCTTCGTGAATTGATGGGGTCCCCTTTCCTAGCTGAGTCCTAGCAGGGATGAACGGCCACCCACCAGCAATGCAGAAAAGGGAGGTTCAAAAGCAGGTGAGTTAGGGGCTAGACTGATGCCAAGACCCCATTTCGACCTCAACATCTGATGATTAGGAAACACTGGTGGCTCACGCCTGTAGTCCCAGCACTTTGGGAGGCCGAGGCGGGGGGATCACTTAAGGCCAGGAGTTCGAGACCAGCCTGGCCAACATGGCAAGACCCCATCTCTAATAAAAATACAAAAGTTAGCCGGGTGTGGTGGTGGGTGCCTGTAATCCCAGCTACTTGGGAGGCTGTGGCAAAAGAATCTCTTGAATCTGGGAGGCGGACGTTGCAGTGAACCAAGATCTTGCCACTGCACTCCAGCCTGGGCGACAGAGTGAAACTCTGTCTCAAAAAAAAAAAAAGAAAGAAAGAAAAGAAAAAGAAAACACTGAAGCAGTAAAGAAGGTGCAAACCTGAACCTGAGAGGAGCACCTTGGGCAGCATCAAGGAATTTTTTAAGGCAACATTTCCTGAGGCTTGACCACGAGCCAGGTTCTGGCTAAGGGTTTGCATCTCTCTCCCCCATTTAAACCTCACAGCAACTCTTGAAACAAGTTTTGGCGACTTCACTTCATGAGCGAGGAAACTAGGATGCAGAGAGGTTGAGTAGCTTGCCCAAAATGATGCAGTAAACAGCAGAGCTGGGCTTTGAATTCAGGCCAACTGCACTTTAAGTCCCAGCTCTTTGCCTCTTTGCTCTTGGGACACAGGCAGGCCTGCTTCTTCGCAAAGAGCAGCATCACGCACCTCCCTCTGCTCACCTACCCCTCCCGCCCGATTGGGATCAAGGTCGACTTGATCCAGATGGCGGCAGGCAGGTCTAATGAGATGTGAAGGGATTCCCCATGGGGAGCCAAGAGTGGCTGGGAGAGAATCCCAGATTCACATCCCCCAACTTGAGATGTCAGGAGCAAATGCGGTAGCCATGCACTAAAAACAGCAGCAGCAACAGCAAAGTCAGCACTCTCACTGAACCCTTTCTGACTCCCGTCCGTCCAATTGCTTAGGTTGGAAGGACCTCAGGCCCCCAGGTGTGGCATGGGCGCCATCTGCCCTAGGCCCCCACATGCACAGTCAGACTCCGCCCCCACCATCCCCAGCATCCACATGGACAACATTGCCAACGGGCCCATCTTTCACGGACACGACTTGCTGTTTCCTCTCAAAATGGCAGAAAGCACCTGCTCAGGCACTGACACACACACCTAGGAATTTATATTTCTCTTTTTTAGAGAAAGTAAATCTTGAAATAAATAGACTGATAGGCCAGGCCCAGTGGCTCACACCTGTAATCTTGGCACTTTGGGAGGCTGAGGCGGGAGGATTGCTTGAGCTCAGAGAGACCAGCCTGAGCACACACAGTGAGAACTTGTCTCTAATAAAAAATTTAAAAAGGCCGGGTGCGGTGGCTCATACCTGTAATCCCAGCACTTTGGGAGGCTGAGGCGGGTGGATCATGAGGTCAGGAGATTGAGACCATCCTGGCTCACACGGTGAAACCCTGTCTCTACTAAAAATACAAAAAATTAGCCGGGCGTGGTGGCAGGCACCTGTAGTCCCAGCTCCTGGGGAGGCTGAGGCAGGAGAATGGTGTGAACCCGGGAGACAGAGCTTGCGGTGAGCCGAGATCGCGCCACTGAACTCCAGCCTGGGCAACAGGTGAGACTCCGTCTTAAAAAGAAAAAAATAAATAAATTAGCTGAATGTGGTGGCACACACCTGTAGCCCCAGCTATCTGGGAGGCTGAGTCAGGGCGAGGTGGGAGATCAAGGCTGCAGTGAGCTATGATCATATCACTGCACTCCAGCCTGAGTGGCAGAGCAAGACCCTGTCTTAAAATAAATAAATAAATAGAAATAGATAACATGGAGGCCTCCTGGACTCTGGACCCATGTGTGTATTGTTTCTTACAAAGGATTAAACAGAACTGGGCCACCTCTCACTTGGTTCAGTTATTCGTTTTCCCAAAGCTTCCTGTTTCTCTTCCCCTCTGTGCCTGATGCTAATCATCAGATTTCCAGGTTGGTCATGGCTTCAGAAGTTTCACTGAGGCATGTGGTGATCTGAGCTTGTGGTCTTTGTTTCTTTCTTCAGCTCTGCAGTTAATGATGAACACCGCAACAGCCACCTTATCAAATACTTCCAAATGCCAGCCTGAAACTCACATGGGAGATTGACAGAGGCCAAGGACGTGTGATTTTTAAGGTAAGCATGTGATGGCTTTGACAGGAATACATTTTGAGAGGTTAACATAGCACTGAAGAGATGGTTTATTTTAAAGGCAGGCCATAACTCAGGATCACGAGCTTGGAGACTTGAATGCAGCAAAAGGCAAACTGAGCTTGGCTCCTGCAAGAGCCTCCTGTAAACGTGAGCTGTGTCCCAGCAGCCTTCGAAGGTGGACTCTAAAGAGAAAATGTCTCAAAGTATTGTAGAAGATGGCTGTGACTTGGAGTTGTGTTGGGGAAAATTTTGCAAGCACATTATTAGAATATATCAATTAAATATGACATCAATATGAGAGTTAAGGTGAAATTCAAATTCCTTGCTGGAAACAACCATAGCAATGACTCATCCTATAGGTCTTGAATTAAAGCTATATTTCAGTAACACTGTATATTTCAAAACCACAAAATGGAAGCTTTGATTTTTCATTCAGTCACCTGAAAAGTACTATAACAGTATTCGAGAGCAATGAAATTGCATTTCAGAGACCTGACATGAGATAGCTAGTTGGTGTTCAGAAAGTGTTTGGGTTTTAACGACCCCTTCTGATTTGTTCTTCACTCAAAGCTGCTGCCAATAAGCTACTCCTAGAGGATACTGAAAGATCCTTTCCTGTTTTTAAAAGAAATAACATGCTTCATCAACAATTATTACAAACTTTGGAAGGAAACGGTACTGCAGGAGCTCTATCTCTTTTTCTCCAGTGAAAATTGCATTTCTATAATTCAAGATCTAGTCACAAGGGCTTAAGCAAGACCTTGTGCCAGCAATCAGGCATGGATCAAATGCACTTTTGCCTTCCTAAGGTAAGTTCAATTAAAAAATAAAACTGTCATAGAACTTTCACAGGATAAGGTGTGATTCCTGAGTCTAATATTTCAAAGATATTTTTATGCAAGATAAAGTAAGTCATAGATGGCCACCTGTTATTTCCTTAGGGATCCCTTTGTCTGGGAAGAAATGCCTATGAATTGTCCCAGGTTGGCCACCACTAAGAAATGGAGACATCAGAATGCTCCTGGACAAAGCTGCCTCCATAAGTTTTGTTTCATTTTTAATTTTCATTGAAAATAATAGACATATAGCTGGGTGCACAGTGGTTCACGCCTGTAATCCCAGCACTTTGGGAGGCAGAGGCCAGCGGATCACCTAAGGTCGGGCATTCGAGAGCAGCCAGGCCAACATGGCGAAACCCCATCTCTACTAAAAATACAAAAATTAGCTGGGCTTGGTGGCACACGCCTGTAGTCCCAGCTACTCGAGAGGCTGAGGCAGGAGAATTGCTTGAACCTGGGAGGCGGAGGTTGCAGTGAGCCAAGATCACACCATTGCACTCCAGCCTGGGCGACAGAGACTCTGTCTCAAAATAATAATAATAATAATAGATATACAGAAACATGCATATATCATTCGTGTCCAGCTCGATGGATTTTCACAAACCAAACACACCTGTTTAACCAGAACACAAGCAGCACCCTAGAAGCTGCCTCATTCTCCCTTTCAGTCACTGCTGACCCCCAAGGGTAACCAATATTCTAATTCTAATACCATAGATAAGTTTTGCCTTGTTTTATACTTTGTGGAAATGGAATCACGCAGTCTGTTTCCTTTTGTGTCTGGCTTCTTTCACACAGTTATGTCTGTGCCATCCATCCATATTGCTGCCTGTTATTTCAGACAGTTTCTTCTCTCTGTTGGCTGGTATTCCATTATGTGAATACACCGCCATTTATTTATCTATCCTACAGCTGACGGACATTTGAGTAGCTTCCAGTATGGGGCTGCTAGTGAGCCAGCTGCGAGAGTGTGTCACATGGGTCACAGTGTGCTGGTGCCCAGGACTACTCCTAATGTGCGTGAATGCTCACGGAGCTGCTTGGAACAGCGCCGGCTGCGCGGCATCGTCTGTTACCCTTCTGCCGGCAGATGCAAGCCTCGGGCGAGAAAGGCCACAGCTCCCCACCTGTGAAAACCAACTCTTGTTTCCATGAAAAGAGTTTTTAAAAAAGATCAGCAACTGAGAACAGAAGTAAGTATTGTTTGCATTATCTTAGAGATTGCAGCAGCTGGCCACAGAGAATCTGGATCAGAGCTAATAAGGGAACTTATTGAAACAGGATACAGCCTGACAATTCTTGAACAAGGAATAGGGCATGCCCAGGGAAGTAGAAAATAGTAGAAGCTGAGAGGTAAAATGTTGCCAAGAAAACTTAACTGAACCATCTTATCTCAATAGTTTATGAGTTTTAAACAAAGACAAAAAGACAGGCGTGGTGGCTCATGCCTGTAATCCCAGCACTTTGGGAGGCTGAGGTGGAAGGATCACTTGAGGCCAGGAGTTTGAGACCAGCCTGGACAACATAGTGAGACCTTGTCTCTACCAACAGAAAAAAAAAAAGAAAAAGCTAAAAATCTTCATGAACAAAATAACTCGCCTATCTTTTCCCTGAGAAAGTGAGTTCGCATCTCAGCCCAGGGCTGTCCTGGGGATGTTGCCCAAGCTCTCTGTGGTGAAGTTCTGCTTCTTGTCCGTAAAAAGGGGGGACTATGTTCTCGGGGCCTGAGGGTCAGAGACACGGGAGGTAAAAGTGCTGGAAAACACTGAATAGACGCTGACCAAATGCTGTATTCCCTCTCAGCCCCCACATGCCGTGGTTTAGACAAGAACTATGTAATGCGTAGCTGAGAGCTCAAGTGCACAAATGGGCTAGAATGTGGTGACTCAGAGGAAGGTCAGAAGATGCACAGCTTGTGCCCTTTGAAAATCTAAAAGAAAAATAAGTGAAAAAACTGCATGGGTGCCAGTGCAGGGCAGAGAGTGAGTGGGGAGGAGAACAGCGTGCTCTGGAGCAGACAAATGCCGGCCAGGGGCAGGCTCAGAGGCAGCATGGCCGCATACACCAAGCTGACGGCCTTTTCGTGGAATGCGGCTTCACTCTACAAGTATCGGATTCTGGGTACTAAGAAAAAGTCTCTAGCGTGATCTGCATCTTGGAAAGTTTTCACCTGCCCAGACACTCAATCACCTGGTTGGGTGAACAAAGTGGGGCCTGAGGTCTCAGGATTTGGGGTGCTTTCAGGATGCCTCTTCCCAGAACTTCTCTTCTGTGTGAACCCAGAGTCAGTGGTTCTGAGACAGACCTTAACCTCTCCTGTGAGTGGAGATGACAAGTTTGGATTTGAGGGCAAAAGATAGTATCTCTGGGAATAAAAGGCAGGCAAGCAGTAACGCTTTGAAGTCCGGGTGCCTGAAGCGTCACCGCTGCAGCTCCAGCTGTGCTGTGGGTCTCCACAGGGCCGGGAGACTCTTACCAGGCTCACCAACAGGGCTGCAGGAAACGGGGAGGAGTGAGTGCTCTCCAGTCAGGCAGAAAAAAATCACTCCAGCTCCACTAGTTTCTCCACCGTGACTGAGCCTCCTTTTGCCTGTTAGACTCCCAGCCCCAGTCACAATCATCCTTCATGTTTACCCATGTGCGTGTTGTTTTCTGACTCTCAAAGAGATGCAACCCACTTTATCTCAACATGAAGGAGATCAGGTGGTTACCATCAAACCCACTTTACCAGTAAGCTCAAGCAAACCCACCAATAAGCTCAAGCAAACCCAGAGACATTATGTAACTGACTGGTGTATGAAAAGCCACAAGTCATAGGTCCAAGTCTCCTGGACGTGTTCACCAGACCACACCTTCCAGAAAGACAGATCTGAGCCCCTGACATAGGCAGGTATAGATGGTCTTCAGGTTTTAAACCAACAGAGCCTGGATTTAGGGGTCACAGATAGTGGCCACTCAGCCACGGTGTGGAGAGGCTCAGCTTGTTACCTCCTAAGAATACCAGGTGAACAGATTTGAGAGATGCTTAGGTGATAAAGTGAACTGGATTTGGTGACAAGCCACTTGGGGAAAAGGAAAGTCAAGATACTCCTAGGTTTCTGGCCTGTGGGTCTGTGTTGGACAGTCATGCAATCACCGGCCAGCTGGCCTTTGAGATCAGCCTTGTTGATAGAGGCTGGATTTCAAGGGTCGTCATTCATTTATTTTGTGAACAAACATTAATTGAGTTTCTCTATGTGCCTAACACTCTATTGAATGCAGAATCATGCGGGGTGGACACGTCCTTCCTCTGGGTTGAGAGTATGTTTGACATGGCTTTGTGTCCCTAGCAATTTGCCCACCACCTGGCATCTTTGTGAGTTCTCAGTATAGTCACATTCTGAATGAAGAAAGGAAGAGATGTTTGTTTGTTTTTTTTTGTTGGGGTTGGGGGCGCAGGGTCTTGCTCTGCAACCCAGGCTGGAGTACAGTGGTGCAATCATGGCTCACTGCAGCCTCAACTTCCCTGGCTCCAGCAGTCCTCCCAGCTCAGCTTCCCTGTTACCAGCAGCGAATCCAAACAGGTCTGCAGCAACCTCAGTTCTCGCCTCCTCCAAAGAAAGAATTCAGCCAAGGAGGCATAAAGCAGAAGGAAAGACTGAGGCAAGTTTTAGAGCAGGAGTGAAAGTTTATTAAAAAGCTTTCGAGCAGGAATGAAAGGAAGTAAAATTTGGAGGAGGGCCAAGCGGGCGACTTGAGAAATCAAGTGTGCTATTTGACCTTTGACTTGGGGTTTTATATGCTGGCATACTTCCAGGGGCCTGCGTTCCTTCTCCCCTGAATCTTCCTTTGGGGTGTGCTGTCCGCATGTGTGGTGGCCTGCCAGCACTTGGAGGGGCCGCATGCACGGTGTGTTTACTGGAGTTGCACGCATGCTCACTTGAGGCATTCTTCCCATGCAAGTCCAACGTCCCTAGATGCTCATATGCCAGTTAATACGCATGCTTGAGCCCACTCAATCAACTCCTGAGATCTGATCAGGAAGCAGCTAATCACCAGTTTCAGATGTTTCCTATCTACTGGGAGACTGCCTTTCTCTGGCGCTGGCTACAACCAATTATTATTTTAAAGAGACAGTTAACAACCTTGAACATCACCTGATGGTCACCTGACATTCCTGTTGGGGTCAGGGGAGCCCTCTCCTGCCCTGCTCATGTCTGACTAGCTACCTACTGTAATCCTGAGTAGCTGGGACTACAGGCGCACACCACACCTGGCTAATTTTTTTGTATTTTTGGTAGAGACGGGGTTTCACCAAGTTGCCCAGGCTGGTCTTGAACTTCTGAGCTCAAGCGATCCACCCACCTCGGCCTCACAAAGTGTTGGGATCACAGGTGTGAGCCACCGCACCTGGCCAGAAGAGATAATTTCTTTAAAAAACCTATTCAAACCATATCACTTATCTGCTTAGAAGTCATCAGTGGCATGGTTGGCTCATGCCTGTAATCCCAGCACTCTGGGAGGCTGAGGCCGGCGGATCACCTGGGGTCGGGAGTTTGAGACCAGCCTGACCAACATGGAGAAACCCATCTCTACTAAAAATACAAAATTAGCCAGGCATGGTGGTGCATGCCTCTAATCCCAGCTTCTTGGGAGGCTGAGGCAAGAGAATCACTTGAACCCAGGAGGCGGAGGTTGCAGTGAGTCGAGATCTTGCCATTGCACCCCAGCCCGGGCAACAAGAGTGAAACTCTGTCCCCCAAAGCCTGAAAAAAAAAAGAAGTCATCAGTGGCTTTCCATTGCATTTGGAATAAAACTTGAAGTCCTCCCCGAGGCCTCCAAAACCACATAGGAGCCAGCCCTTGTGAGCTCCACCTCCCCTACCACTCGCCCCCTTATCTCCAGCCTGTAATCATCCGACCACTGAAACTTGTGCTCCCATCTCAGGACCTGTGGTTTTGAGGCAGACCTGGAGTCCCCTTCCTCACCATCCTCAGCCTGACCTCCACACAGAGCCTTCCCCAGCCACCCTCTCAGTCACTCTCCAATCGATTACCTGGGTGTATTTTTCTTCATGGTACTTACCTAAAAGGATCTGACTTATTTATCAGTGTGCTTGTTAGCCTTTTCCTCAACTATATTTTATGTTGAACATATAGATAGAAAAGTCAGAGGCAACAGCTGAGCCAGAGAATGGGCCTGGGCCACCCTGGTGAGGAGGGAGAGCAATACGCAGATATTTGAGAGATTTATTTGGGTTTTTGGTTTGTTTTTCTTAGACGGAGTCTTGCTCTGTCATCCAGGCTGGAGTGCAGTGGTGCGATCTCAGCTCACTGCAACCTCCACCTCCTAGGTTCAAGCAATTATCCTGCTTCAGCCTCCTGAGTAGCTGGGATTACAGGCACGTGCCACCATGCTGGGCTAATTTTTGAATTTTTAGTAGAGATGGGGTTTCACTATGTTGGCCAGTCTGGTCTCCAACTTCTGACCTCAGATGATCCAACTGCCTTGGCCTCCTGAAGTGCTGAAATTACAGGCGGGAGCCACAGTGCCCGGCTGGGAGATTTGTTTGAAAGGTGCTCAGTGGCTCACGCCTGTAATCCCAGCACTTTGGGAGGCTGAGGCGGGCGGATCACGAGGTCAAGGGCTCGAGACTAGCCTGACCAACATAGTGAAACCCTGTCTCTACTAAAAATACAAAAATTAGCTGGGCGTGGTGGCACGCGCCTGTAATCCCAGCTACTTGGGAGGCTGGGGCAGGAGAATTGCTTGAACCCGGGAGGCGGAGGTTGCAGTGAGCCAAGATCGTACCACTGCATTCCAGCCTGGGTGACAGGGCGAGACTCCATCTCAAAAAAAAAAGGTGGGGGTTGCTTTGGAGGCAGAGCTGACGGGGTTTGTGGAGCCACTGAATAAGGAAAGGATACTGTAGGTGCTCACCAGGTCTGCATGGATGGTTGTGCTGATCCTTGACCGTGGCTGCCCCAGAGGAGGGCCACATGTGGGTACAAAAGGCATGAGCTGGGCTTTCCACTCCCTGGGTTTGCAGTGCCTCTGAGGCACCCCAGAGGACCCTTGCAGTGCGAGGCTGACACCGGGGCCTGGAGCTCAGCAGAGGCCAGAGTGGCAGGTGTAATGTGTGAGCCCCGGTGTGGCTGGCTGTGGGCCCTGTGGGTTGCATGAAGTAGCTTAATGCGAGTAGAAAAGAGAGACAGGAGGGGGCCTTAGAGTAGCTCTTGAGGAGCTCTTCCAGAGAAGAGCTGGGCAGGGAGAGGGGTGTGGGGAGCTCAAAACAGAATCAAAGGGTGGAGAAAGCAAGCCAGGAGACAACTGGCTCCAGTGACTGACAGCATCATTCCACCCTTGCCTGCTTTCCTGTGCTGTTGATAACCAGTGTGGCTATGTTGTCATTCCCCTGTCAATATCAAGTGAGTTTTTATAAGTTTGAAAACCTGGCATTTTAAATTTTAAATGAAGATAGAAGAGTATGTCAAGAGGCGTGGGTGCGCGTGCCTGGTCCCAAGCTGGACTCCTTGGGAGAGTCCTGCCAACCCTGCCAGCCAGTGCCAGATACGTGGATGTGTGCTGGGCTGAACCACACAGAGACCCTTGGGCTCTCCAAGTGGCCTCTTTCATAGCCTTTACAAGTGATAACTCACAAGGACCCTCTCCATGACTTCCCCCTTTTCTTCAGAGGAGGAAACCAAGGCACAGCCAGGAGAAATGACTTGCCCAGCTCAACAACCAGTGAGGAGAGGTATCAGGATTCAAACCAGGCAGTGTGGCTCCAGAGTCCATGGCCTTTATCACTGCCCCCTACCCTTTGGCAAGCTCCACTTTTGATAGCGCTGATGTGATAGCAGACAACGTGTAATTGCCAAACTTTAGTCATCAGCACGCTAGCTTTGAATGGAAACACAAGGTATGACCCAATCTCTTCTTCTTAAGCATTTGGCTGAGATGATTTGTCCCTGCTCTGCCCCTACCCCTACCCCCCTGCCACCCACCGCCCCCCGCCGGCGACCCCCTGCCCCTTGTCTTCCTA
This sequence comes from Homo sapiens, assembly GCF_000001405.40. NCBI lineage: Eukaryota > Metazoa > Chordata > Mammalia > Primates > Hominidae > Homo > Homo sapiens. The sequence continues at coordinate 101,622,576 of NC_000002.12, forward strand.
AGGAATTGCTGTATCACGGTCTAGGGGAGTTTCCGAGCTCTGAGAAGTTTCTCTACAGCTTCTGAGGTGAGGATCCACCCTGCATGAAGGATACTGGGCCACTCAGGCCTTCTCCCACTCCGCGGCAGGATCCTAGCGCCTGAGGACACTGGAGCCATTCCAGGTGAGATCGGCTGTGTGACTAGCCTGCAGTGCAGCAGACATTTGTGTAGGGCGTCTCTCCACACATCAGATGAGCTTCTTGACTCAGGCTAATTTGAGCCTGTTTCATTATGACCTGGGTGAGAAGACACCCGAAGCCAGAGAGCACTTTGGTGCTTTTTATGACCTTGAGAGTTTCTCTTCCTAATAAGCTGTTTCCTGGCATCATTCTAGCCAAGCCCCCTTTCCCGTTTGATAACCAATGTTGCTGTGTTGCCATTCCCCTCCCCTGAGTTTAAAACATTTGACAACCTGCATTCTAAATGAAAAAAATCCTGATATGCAACCAGTCTTGTCTTTCACAAAACTAAACAAGAGTTTCTCTTTGGCTTAACAAAATCTTAGAGCAGCCAACCTTGGAGTGTATTTTAGTTACTTTACATCCAAACTGTAGGATTTAGTGAAAAGCCATGTGTTTACTACCATGAAGTAGAAATGTGTTGAAAACACACCATCCAATTGCTATGGTGCAGGCTCTTCTAACAGCCTATCGGAACTTCCTTCACTTCACAAATGATACACTCTAGGGTAGAACTTCCTATTTTTAAAACCGCATAAATTCCCCCACCCATTCCCCTTACAACACTTCAACAATCTGATTACGTCGTATTTTCATTTTCCTACTGTGATTGACGCTTTATGTGAAACCTCACCAAGCTCTGAGAAACTCCTAGGAATGCAGTCACACTAAGTGAGATCCACTTTTGCTGTTTTTCCTTGATTTGAAGGTCAGATGGACATTCAGTATTTTCCCCAGTTGGGTTCACTGCAAACAGGATCAGTCTGGAAAACATATTCTTGTCCCATGACGAGAATCCAGAGGGAACTATGTTTGCCTTTTCATTGATGTGATTATCAATGTGGATTTTGTAGTTTAAAAACAAAGCAACTCCATTTTGCAACTGCATTCTCCATAGAAATTTGACCTTTGGTGGGGCTGACTAATCTTATCAACAAATCGGTCCCACAATGATTATTCCACCCATTAATTCTCAGCAACAAATGGTAAGCAAGATGGCCAGGAAGGATGACTGACTCCCTCGCAGGCTCGGCCAGGCTTCAGGCCCTATCTTTGGATCTGTGTTCATCATGGTGATTGTCAACTGCAAGCCTGATTTGATAGCCTTTCCTCTCGTGGTATTACTCGGAGGTAATGTGCAAGCAGAGAGACCCGGATGCAAATTCTGCTCTATAGTTGACCATTATCTTACAATGATCTCAGTTTCCCATAACACCAATTTCTATGTTTTCCATTTATAAACACCTGTAATTCGCCTTGCTTGGCTTTGTGATGTGTGAGTACAATACATTTGATGTTATAATGGAAATGTGCACTAATAAAATGCACCTTTAGCCATTTGCTATCTTAGGGATTTCTGTAATGCATTATTTATAAGAAAGATGGGTTTAGCCTTTTTTTTTTTTTTTTTGGTGAGACAGAGTTTCACTCTTGTCGTCCAGGCTGGAGTGCAATCGCATAATATCAGCTTACTGCAACCTCTGCCTCCCAGGTTCAAGCTATTCTCCTACCTCAGCCTCCCAAGTAGCTGGGACTACAGGCACATGCCACCAAGCCTAGCTAATTTTTGTATTTTTAGTAGAGACGGGGTTTCACCATGTTGGCCAGGATGGTCTTGAACTCCTGACCTCAGGTGATCGCCTGCCTCAGCCTCCCAAAGTGCTGGGATTACAGGCGTGAGCCACCATGCCCAGCCCGGCCATTTCTATAATTTTGAAAACTACTGGCTAAGGAGAATAATGGTGCTGAGGCTGGGGGTGTCCGGAGAACCAGCATCCATCTCCCAAGAAAACAAGGCGGCAGCCTGGGGCCTGGGACTGGGAGGGCAATGAAAGAGCTCAGTGTTATGCCCAGGAGTGAGGAAGGGCCGGGGGCATCTCTGAGCCCCTGTGAGCACAGGAGCCCTGCCTGTCTCAGGTCTGGAAGAGGGTCTCACTTCCGGCTTCAAAACGGGCTGCCTCTCCTGTGCTGCGGTGAAGCCCCTGAGTAACAGATGCTGAAGCCCGTGTGCTAGGAACTCAGAAGACGGGGCAGTCCCGCCCCTCCCTCCAGATTCCGCAAGGGAAATTACAAAGGGGTCAAGATCAGAGGAAATGTAGCCTCAGGAGCTTTACAGGAACCCAGTGGAGCTAAAGAAGGAGAAAGAGCCTGTGCTGGGCCTCTCTGTCCCGGAACTAGGCACAGCACACAGAGCCCTTCTTTTCCCCAGGTGTCATGCCGAGCAGGTGCTGTGGGTTTGCTGTCTACCTGGGACTCGCACCCTTCCCCTGGTCCTACTTACACTTTTTTTTTCTTGAGACAGGGTCGCACTGTGTTGTCCAGGCTGGAGTGCAGTGGCATGATCACGGCTCACCGCAGCCTTGACTGCTGAGGCTCAAGTGATCCTTCCACCTCAGCCTCCCAAGTAGCTGGGACCACAGGTGCTTGCCACAGCACCTGGCTAATTATTTTGTATTTTTTGTAGAGATGGAGTTTTTGCCATGTTGCCCAGGCTGGTCTGGAATTCCTGGGCTCAAACAATCCTACCTCCTCGACTTCCCAGAGTTGGGATTACAGGTGTGAGCCACTTCACACGGTGCTCCTGGCTCATTTAACAAAGGTACATTGGGCAGCACAGGCCGGGGCTGGGCTCTCTTTCTTAGGGAGTTTCTCCAGCTAGAATGACTCAGGGATATCCTACTCTAACAAAATCTTTCCCTTGATTCTGCCTTCCCCTCAAGCTACTATCCTATCTCATCCCGGCAACTTCTTGAAAGAAAGGAATCACCACCCCAGACCATTGTGTGTGTCTCTCTCTGACCTAACACACCTGGCTCCCTGTACCCCACTGCACCAATGACATCATCCTCCGAAAGGTCACCAGCAACTTCCTGATTTCAAAACCCAGCAGCTTTCTGTCAGCCCCGAGTCCTCACTGACCTCTCACCTAGCGATTTACACTGGCAGCCACCCGTCACCGGGGGTATGCACTTTGCTTCTGTGACTCTACCACCTGCTTCTCCCACCACCTCTCTGATGCTTCTGTGCTGTCTCTGAGGACTCTTCCACCTATTCTTGTTCTTCTTAAGGAAGACGGTTGTGTCAGTCTTTCAGGGCTGCTAATACAAGGTAACATGACTGGGGGTTTAAACAACAGGAATCCACTTTCTCGAAGCTCTGGAGGCTGGAATTCTGAGATCAAGGTGTTGGCGGAGCTGGTCCCTTCTTTTTTTTTGAGATGGAGTCTTGCTCTGTTGCCCAGGCTGGAGTGCAATGACATCATCTCGGCTCACTGCAGCCTCTGCCTCCTGGGTTCAAGCGATTCTCCTGCCTCGGCCTCCTGAGTAGCTAGGATTACAGGCATGTGCCACCACGCTTGGTTAATTTTTGTATTTTTGGTAGAGAGGGGGTTTCACCATGTTGGCCAGGCTGGTCTCGAACTCCTGACCTTAAGTAATCCTCCCACCTCGGCCTCCCAAAGTGCTGGGATTACAGGTGTGAGCCACTGCACCCGGCCCCTTCCTTCTGAGGCCTCTCTCCGCTTGTAGATATGGGCTTCTCCCATTGTGTCCACGGTCCTCCCTCAGTGTGTGCCTGTGTCCTGATCTCGTCTAAGGACAGGAGTCATATTGGATTAGGGCCCTCCCTAATGACCTCATTTTAACTTAATTACCTCTGTAATGACCTTATCTCCAAATATATAGTCACATTCTGAGGTACTAGGGGTTAGGACTTGAACATATGAATTTTGGGAGGTAGGGGGACAAAATGTACTTATTTATTTGTTTGTTTACTTATTTATTTTCATTTTTTGTAGAGATGGGGTCTTGCTGTGTTACCCAGGCTGGTCTCAACCTCCTGGCTTCAAGTGATCCTCCCACCTCTGCCTCCCCAGCTGCTGGGGTTACTGGTGTGAGCCACCAGGCCTGGCTGAAGAGACACAGTTTTGTCCTTAACAATGGTCTTCCAGATTTGGTTCTTGATCCTTTCAAACATTTATTTGTTGTTCCCACTGCTGAAGTTTCATGTATTATTATTGAATAAACAATTTTATTAATTTCATTATTTAAATTACAGAAGCAATGTATTTTATTTCATTAAGATAAAGTGAAATTTCTTTTTTTTTTTGAAACAGAGTTGCCCGGGCTGGAGTGCAGTGGTGCGATCTCGGCTCCCTGCAACCTCTGCCTCCCAGGTTCAAGCGATCCTCCTGCCTCAGCCTCCTGAGTAGCTGGGCTTACAGGCACACAGCACCATGCCCAGCTAATTTTTGTATTTTTAGTAGAGATGGGGTTTCACCATGTTGGCCAGGATGGTCTCAAACTCCTGACCTCAAGTGATCCACCCACCTCAGTCTCCCAAAGTGCTGGGATCACAGGCGTGAGCCACCGTGCCCAGCCAGAAGATGATATAATTTCTGAATAAATAAATTGCTCAAAGTTCTTTACTGAGCTGTAAGATCGAATTCCCAAAGCATTATCGTGGGTCTCCCAACATGGCTGTCCCATCACATGCAGTGTGTTGTCTCCCAAACACCATCTTACTTCTTAGCTCCTCTCTGACACCTAAATTCCCACAGCTTTTTCAGTTCTTTCTCTCCTCTGCCCCACTTCATAGCCAAACATTTTGTCGGTCTCCCTCTCAAGGCTGGCCACAGAATTTGAGAGAACCAGGTCAGAATTGTGGGGCTTCTTGTTCAGAGCCGATTCAGAGTTTCAATAGAGTGACGGCAGAGCATTACGCAAGCGAGCGAGGGTTCTCCTGCCGAAAGCCGTGAGGCCAGCCCAGCCCTCCCTGCCCATCCCTCCCCAACACGCTTCTTTCCATCCACCATACCCTGGCCACCACCTGCCCAGATTTCCACCGCAGCCTCCTGTGACCCCCACATCTGTCTTATCTTCCTCCCACCCCATCTGCCTGGGTACTCCTACCCCAGGACGCCAGCCCTTTGAGCCTGTGCTCAGAGCCTCTGGTATTTCCTCATTTATTTAGCAAACTGGGCACAGTCTCTTTGGGCCAGCATCTGAGGCCCTCATTTCCGGGCTTGACTCCTACTCGGTCCCCAACCAAACACAAAGCTCCAGGCCAGTCTTTCCCTGTACAACTCAGCCTCTGTTCTTTGCTGCGGCTGTGCCATTTCTGTGAAGTCTTACCCACCCCACCTGTGTCATCAGAACCCCTCCAAAGATCAAGGCCTACCTCTGTTGAGAAGCATTTCCTGGTCTTTGACCAGGGTCTGATCACTTCTCTCTGGTCAGTCCTACACGCTCAGGGACCATGCTGAGCCCCTGCTGCACACCGGGCACCCTGCTAAGGGTTCATGTGCTTTTATCATTTACATCTTTAACACCCCTACCAGGAAGGTTATATCAGTACCCTTTCGGGACTCAAAGGGGCTGAGTGAGTTGCGCAAGGCCACTTATACTGGCAAGCGGTGGATTCGAGTTCAAACCCCACTGTCTGGCTCGAGGCCCATGCCCGTGTTGTGCCTTATGGGGCTGACATTGGTGCATTTCTCTTGGCAATACAGTTTTGGAAGAAAATAGATTCTTCTTGGCCGGGCGCGGTGGCTCACGCCTGTAATCTCAGCGCTTTGGGAGGCCGAGGCGGGCGGATCACAAGGTCAGGAGATGGAGACCATCCTGGCTAACATGGTGAAACCCCGTCTCTACTAAAAATACAAAAAAAATTAGCCGGGCGTGGTGGTGGGTGCCTGTAGTCCCAGCTAGTCGGGAGGCTGAGGCAGGAGAATGGCGTGAACCCGGGAGGCGGAGCTTGCAGTGAGCCAAGATGGCGCCACTGCACTCCAGCCTGGGCGACAGAGCGAGACTGTCTCAAAAAAAAAAAAAAAAAAGAAAGAAAATAGATCCCTCTCATTTTTGTTTTCCTGGAGGAGCTTTCTCTATCCCCACATTCAGCCTTTACTGTTACTGTGATGGAGCAGTAGCAGGCCTTCAAACTTTGGGTTAGCCTGGGAAGATGCAGTGAGCAACTAGATCACTTTATCTTTCCAAAAACTCAACCAACTATGGATTCCCTGGAGTGAAAATAACCCCTTTCAAAAGCAACATACCTTGGGTACTGTTTAGGGAATGTGTATTTGTCAATCACACTTGACTACGAATTGTCAAATTCAACTCAGAATTGGCTTGCCTTCCTTCCTTCCAACTGAGAGCAGCCCCTAGGGAATTTCTGGTTGGAGGGAGGCAGACGAGCTCCTCAACATTCACCCTTTTGTTTGGTTTTGTGCTAAGCTCTGTCTCTGCCTTGAACTCCTCTCCGAGGCTCGGGGTAAAGGAGGGAGCCAGACTTCTTTGCTGTTGTTGTTGTTTTGAGACAGTCTTGCTCTCTGTTGCCCAGGCTGGAGTGCAGTGGCACCACCACAGCTCACCATAACCTCAAACTTCTGGGCTCAAGGGATCCTCCTGCCTCAGCCTCCCAAGTAGCTGGGATTACAGGTGTGCAGCACCACTCCCAGCTAATTTATTACTATTATTTTGTAGAGATTGGGTCTCCCTGTGTTGCCCAGGCTGGTCTCAAACTCCTGGTGTCAAGCGATCCTCCCACCTCATCCTCCCAAAGTTCTGGGATTATAGGCGTGAGCCACTGTGCTTGGCCAGATTTCTTAGCTCCTAATATTTCTTTTCTTCTCACTGGCACTGGGGGAACCAACTTCTTTCAGAACTTCTGTGGGGCCCAAATGGAAATAGTGCTCATCCCTCCTCTTTGTTTCCCTCTCTGCCTAAAAAGCAGCTCCACCATGAGAAGAGTGAAAACTGCGGCAGGTTTCAGTGGGAGGAGCACCTAACCAACAAAAGTTAGAGAATGTGCAACCATTAACTACTGCGTTGGGCTGGGCGCAGTGGTTCACACCTGTAATCCCAGCACTGCGGGAGGCCAAGGTGGGTGGATCACCTGAGGTCAGGAGTTCAAGACCAGCCTGGCCAACATGGTGAAAACCCACCTCTACTAAAAATACAAAAATTAGCCAGGCGTGGTGGTGGGCACCTGTAATCCCAGCTACTTAGGAGGCTGAGGCAGGAGAATCGCTTGAACATGGGAGGCGGAGGTTGCACTGAGCCAAGATCGCGCCACTGCACTCCAGCCTGGGTGAAGGAGCAAGACTCCCTGTCTCAAAAAATAAATAAGTACTGCACTGCAAAATAATATTTCATGATATGGAAAATGTCCATCACATATTATAAACACATTACAAAGCAGTATGTGTAACAGGATCCCACTCTTCTATTTAAATAAATGCATGTGTTATACTTTATCCACAGAAATTAAATGTGTATTGTAAAACGGTAGACATACTTTTCCAAAGATATTCACCAAAATGGTTTCAGCAGTTGAATCTGGGTGGCAGATTTTGAATGAAATTGTCTTACCTTTTAAAAGTGTATTTTAATAATTTTTTTTTTTTTACCGTTAAGGTGTATCTCTCAGGGACCTGTGCACAAGCTCTGTGCTGAGTTGTAAGCTAAGAGACAAATCTGCACGTGGCCTGTTGGCCTCCTGATCTGGCACCTGCCTCTATACCTTGCACAATCCGCACCCTGGCAGCTGCCGGGAGGAACAATATGCCACCAAAGGCCCTTCACCTGCGGTCTGCAGGCATGTGAGCGCCTTTGCCAGCAGGAACTTGGTCAGGAGTGTACCACTTCCCCTTTGTTGGGAATTCCAGGCTGACGTGGGGATGTGATTTGAGGGTGTGACCAACCTGGAGGAAAACAGGGAGTTGGGCCGCGTTATCCTGACTCACCGTCTTGTGTTTGCGCCACACTGCCTGTGAGGTTGGAACAGGGGACAATGGCTCACAGGGGTCTTTCCACCCTGCCAGCCAATGCCTCCTTCTCTGCCTAGCTTGTCCTCACCCCGAAAGTGCCTGCTTCTGACCTCTTCTTGGTCCACCCGGGCTGGCCCGTGATTGGCATTCTAGAAATGCTGCTCGAGGGACCGGGCCTCCATGCTCTGCCTACTTCACTCTGACTCCACATTCCCTGTCACATCTCTGCTTAGACAGAAACCCCTTAACAGCTCCAGCTCTCTCCCACCCCATGCTGGAAATCCAACTTGCTATGGGAAAGGTCTCGCTGAAAAGAACACCACATTCCTGCCCCTCCACACTCGCCAGCTTCAGATAAATGGAAGGGTGAGAAAAAAAGCACGAGCACATGGAACGAGCCAGGAAGAAGCAGACGCTGGATGCTGCGTCCCTGATCACATCATCAGAACAGGCATTCTCCTGGGTCCGTGCTCAGGCCACTCGCCGGCCCGGACTGCTCTGCCTTCCTTTTCCTCTGGCCCATCCTTCTCAGCCCACTGCAGCCCACAAAAGCTTCTTGTGACAGCACTTGTATTATGATTTCACTGTTCCATTGTTTATACTTTTTTTTTTTTTTTTGAGATGGAGTCTTGCTCTGTTGCCCAGGCTGGAGTGCAGTGGCAAGATGTTGGCTCACTGCAACCTCCACCTCCCGAGTTCAAGCGATTCTCCTGCCTCAACCTCTGGAGCAGCTGGGATTACAGGTGCGCCACCACACCCAGCTAATTTTTGTATTTTAGTAGAGATGGGGTTTCACCATGTTGGCCAAGCTGGTCTCAAACTCCTGACCTCAAGTGATCCACCCGCCTTGGCCTCCCAAAGTGCTGGAATTATAGGCATGAGCCACCACGCCCAGCCAACTGTTTACATTTTATCTCCTCCAGATACTAAGGTTTGAGGACAGAAATCTCATTCCTGAAAGCAGCAAAGTGTATCGGGCTTAAGACTGAGACCTGGGCAAGATTCCTGGCTCAGCCTCTTGGTAGTTATACGGCCATAGGTAGATTGGTTGAACTACTTGAAAGCCAACACAAATCTCCACCTCACAGGACTAATGGAAAGAGTACATGCAACAATATATGTAAGGGTCCTGATAACTAGTTATCCCTCCAACTTTTAACATCTTCCTATCCTTTGTTGGTTGATTGACAGACAGGTGGTGGTTTAACCTCCATTCCTCCCGGAATTTTGTCTGCCTATCTCAGAGAGCTGGTCCTTAGGAATGTATTATGGAAAAGTTCTTGTGGCTATACCCTGCTACTCACAAGAAATTAGAGATAAACATCACTGATTATTTTTTAACAATCTACCTACAAAATAGTATTTTTGTTGTTGTTTCACAAGCTTCCTGTTCCCAGAGAAAAATAACATGTCTTTTGATTCGTCCTAACCGTCTGTCACATTACAATTTGTATGGGGCCTGTCACTCTAGGTAGTATAAGACCCATTTCCTTCATTGCAAGGGTTATTAATAAAATATAATTAAATAGGGTTTGAATTGGATTTGAGAAAAAGTCCATTCCAACCGCTTCTAATGTAGTAGAATTTGTGTGAGCAATTAGTAGTCTCTTCCACAAAAGAGATTTAAGAAAATGTAGGGGCCGGGCACGGTAGCTTACAGCTGTACTCCCAACATCTTAGGAGGCCAAGGTGGGTGGATCACCTGAGGTCAGGTGTTCAAGACCAGCCTGCTCAACGTGGTGAAACCCCATCTCTACTAAAAATACAAAAATTAGCCGGGCATGGTGGCACATATCTGTAATCCCAGCTACTCGGGAGGCTGAGGCAGGAGAATAGCTTGAACCCGGGAGGCGGAGGTTGCAGTGAGCTGAGATCATGCCACTGCACTCCAGCCTAGGTGACAGAGCAAGACTCCGTCTAAAAAAAACCAAACAAACCAAAAACCCATCAAACTCCATCAAAAAAGAAGAAGAAGAAGAAGAAGAAGAAAATGTGATCCATCCAATATTAAAATGAGTTCTTATGAAAACTCAACTTGGGGCTGGGCGCAGTGGCTCATGCCTGTAATCCTAGCACTTTGGGAGGCCGAGGCGGGCGGATTGCCTAAGCTCAGGAATTTGAAACCAGCATGGGCAACACGGTGAAACTTCGTCTCTACTAAAAATACATAAAAATTAGCCGGGTATGGTGGTGTGTGCCTGCAGTCCCAGCTACTCGGGAGGCTGAGGCAGGAGAATTGCTTACACCCGGGAGGCGGAGGTTACAGTGAGCCGAGATAGTGCCACTACACTCTAGCCTGGGTGACAGGGTGAGACTCCATCTCAAAAAAAAAAAAAAAAAGAAAAAAGAAAACTCAACTTGGTCAGGCACGGTGGCTCATGCCTGTAATCCCAGCACTTTGGGAGGCCGAGGTGGGTGGATCACCTGAGGTCAGGAGTTCGAGACCAGCCTGACCAACATGGTGAAACCCCGTCTCTACTAAAAATACAAAAATTAGCTGGGCGTGGTGGTGGGCACCTGTAATCCCTTCCTACATGGGAGGCTGAGGCAGGAAAATCGCTTGAACCCGGGAGACAGAGGTTGCAGTGAGCCGAGATCTCGCTATTGCACTGCAGCCTGGGCAACAAAAGTGAAACTCCATCTCAAAAAAAAGAAAAGAAAACTCAGCTTATCAACTCTTTTGGAATGCAGCTAAAAGAATACTTATGGGAAGATTAGAGCCTTAAATACATATGTTACAAAACAAAAAAATCTGTAAATTAATGAGCTAGGTGTTTAACTCATGACGCTGGGGAAAAACAACAGTGAATTTGATATTTGTCTTAAGGAGTATTACACTTCAGTGGGATCACCGCCCTGCACACATATTTTCATACAATGTGCAGCAAATTTATAAGGTGCTTTTCTGAGTTTTGTAGCTGTTATGCTTACTCAGAGCTGGAACATATCAGTTTCTCAATAAATACTCAATGAATGAATGGATAAGTGAATGCTCAAGGCATTCCCCATTTCCTAGAAGCCACGTTAAAAAATGTAAAAGCATAAAACAGGTAAAATTAATTTTAATATTATATTTTGTTTAAGTCAGTATATAAAAAATATTGTCACTTTAAAATATAATCAATATAAAAAATCATTGAGATATTTTGCCTTCTTTTTTTCATATTCATAAGCTTTCAAAAGACAGTGTGTATTTTACACGTAAAGAATATCTAAATTCAGATGCTAAATTCTCATCAGAAACACCATATCAAGTTTTATATTTCATAAAATTTACTTTGAAAAGCACTTCCAGATACCCAGACACCCAAGTTGTTTGAAACTTATGTAAAAGTTTTCCATAACTGAATGGAGAGTCAGTTTTCAAACTTAAATTTAAATACTAAAATTAAATAAAATTAAACATTCAATCCACATTGTAAGTGCTCAAGAGCCACAGAGAGCTAGAGGCTCCTGAATTGGACAATGTCGTCCTAGTCCATGCAATATTTATACAGTGAGTGATTGTGTCTTTCAAAGTGTTCCACCTTGCCTCAGCTGTCTGCTGGCCCATGTTAAGATACGGAACTTTCCATTCTGACCTCAAACAAAAGCAACTGACTGGGTGTGGTGGCTGATGCCTGTAATCCCAGCAGTTTGGGAGGCTGAGGTGGGTGGATTGCTTGAGCTCAGGAGTTCAACATCAGCCTGGGCAACATGGTGAATCAGGAAAGAAAGAAAAAGAAAGAAAGAAAGAAGGAAGGAAGGGAGGGAAAGAAAGAAAGAGAGAGAAAGAAAAAGAAAGAAAGAAAAAGAAAGAAAGAAAGAAAGAAAGAAAGAAAGAAAGAAAGAAAGAAAGAAAGAAAGACAAGGAAGGACGGAAGGGAAAGAAAGAAAGAGAGAGAAAGAAAGAAAGAAAGGAAAGAAAGAGAAAGAGAGAAACAGAGAGAAACAGAAAAAGAGAGAGAGAAAGAGGGAGGGAGGGAGAGAAGGAAGGAAGGAAGGAAGGAAATAATCTTCCTAAGTTACTCTCTAGAAGGAAGCCTCAGATTATCAAAGCATCCCCTCCCAATATTCCATGTGAATTTCTATTTGACAATAGCACTAGGCATGCTATTGTCTTTCTTTTTCGAGGATCAGTAAATTACGCTTCAAAAAATATTAATAACTGTGTGCAACTGAAGCTGTAGGTTAATGTGCAAACAAATTCATAGCATTTCATTTCAGAGGACACCAATAAAAAGGAGAGGAGAGTTTCCTGGGTCAGTCCTCTCCCCAAACTCCAAATGGGGTGCTTTGGAGAATGAAGCAGAAGAGCGCATGGCAATGTTGCTCCCTGAGCTTGAGCTCACCACCTACTACCTACTCAGAGCTTCATGACAGGCCCCACACAGGGCAACACACAGGGCCACCTGCCTCCTCCTTCCCCAGCCTGGCTTAGTCAGAAAAGAGGAGGGCTTATTTCAGCTAAAGGAATTGAACCCCCTAATCAGGTCATTCTTTGTTCTGTGGCATAAATGCAAGACTTGCAAAACCCTTGGGAGGCTCTTCCTGGGAGGACCGCTCATGGTTGGTCCTTCCAGCTTGCAGAAGGAAATTCAGAGAAGCAGTTCAAGGGTGCCGCTTTAGGCATTGACACTGACTTGCAGTGAAACCCAGGGCAAGTCTTTATGGCCGAGTTTCTAAAGCAGAAATAATAAAGCCTTCCCTACTTACTCCGTGACTGCTGTGAAGACCCAAGGAGAATATGCATTCTGTGTAAAAATACCTGGAAAAGCACAGAGTATTTTACGCACCAAAAGTATCATTGTAAAAATCACATTGGCTGCAAATCTTCCAACATATGCCAGGAAAGACTTAAAACAGGGATCCGCAGTCCCCAGGCCCTGGACCTATATCGGTCCCTGGCCTGTTAGGAACAGGGTCGCATAGCTGGAGGTGAGCAGCGGGCAAGCAAGCGAAGCTACATCTGTATTTACAGCTGCTCCCCATCACTGACTTTACTGCCTGAGCTCTGCCTCTTGTCAGATCAGCAGCAGAATTAGATTCTCACAGAAGTGTGAACCCTATTGTGAACTGCGCATGCGAGGGATCTAGGTTGCTTGCTCCTCGTGAGAATCTGATGCCTGATGATCTGTCTCTGTCTCCCATCACCTCCAGATGGGACCATCTAGTTGCAGAAAAACAAGCTCAAGGCTCCCACTGATTCTATATTATGGTGAGTTGTATAATTATTTCATTATATATTGCAATGTAATAATAATAGAAATGAAGTGCACAATAAATGTTATGTGTTTGAATCCTCCTGAAACCATCTCCCCTCCCCACCAGTTCATGGAAAAATTGTCTTCCATGTAACCGATCCTTGGGGCCAAAAAGTTGTGGACCACTAACTTAAAAGATACGTAAACTCTGTAGGCCTTCTCAGTTCATGTTGGGAGTACAAATCAGAAAATACAACTTTTTGGAGGAAAATTTGGCGTTATCTACCAATGTCAAGTGTTCATGTCCCTAGACTCATAAATTCCACGTCTAAGAGTAATCCGAGGGCCGGGTGCCGTGGCTCATGCCTGTAATCCTACCACTTTGGGAGGCTGAGGCAAATGGATCACTTGAGGTCGGGAGTTTGAAACCAGCCTGGCCAACATGGTGAAAACCCGTCTCTACTGAAAATACACATACAGACACACACACACACATACAAACACACACACACACACACAGATTAGCCAGGTGTGGTGGCATGCACCTGTAATCCCAGCTACTCGGGAGGCTGAGGCAGGAGAATCACTTGAATCTGGGAGGCGGAGATTGCACTGAGCTGAGATCGCACCACTGCACTCCAGCCTGGGTGACAGAGCAAGACTCTGTCTCAAAAAAAAAAAAAAAAAAAAAGGGTAACCTGAAAAATACATATTGAAGATGTATGTACAAGGATTTTACTTCAGTGTGATTTGAAATAGCAAGAATTGAATCCTGCCTGAAATTTTAACAGTGAGAGGTAATAAATAGACTGTGCAGCCGCTACAGAATAAAGGAGATTTATGTGTATCTATGTGCAAATGAAGCCATACATTTCACTAGTTTTTTTTCTTTTCTTTAAAAATTTTTTTTTGTAAAGGCAAGGTCCCAGCTCACTATATTGACCAGGCTGGTCTCAAACTCCTGGACTCAGGTGATCCCCCTGCCTCAGCCTCCCAAAGTGCCGGGATTACAGGTGTGAGTCACTGGGCCCAGCCATTTCACCAGTTTTTAAAAGCAGATTACAGACTGAACGGATAAAATAGTATCAATATGTTATTCTTATCGCAATAAAACCATGGAAAGATATCAGTAAGTAACCTCTAGAAAGTTGGACCTAGGTGGACCTTATACTTTCTACTTTATGTTTCCATATTGTTTAAATGTTTGCATTGAGCGTATGTCACTTTTTAATTAGCAAGAGCAGTAAAAATATTTCCATCTTTAAAAACAGTGAAAGTTAAATAATTTTGCCAAAAATGTACTAGGCAATGGGAATTTGAAATTTTTAAATATGATCCATTTCTTTGAGGAACTCACAAAATAGCCAGGCATATTTAAAAGGAAAACGCTTCTCCCTTTCTTCTGAATAATTATCTCAGTCTTCCAAATCACTTTGTAAATTGTATTTTAAAATTACTATATGAGAACTTCCACTGTTTTTAAAGTTCTCTGTAGCTTTGAAGTCTCAAGATACTCTTTACTTCACTTTTTCCTTTGTTCATTCAAGAAATATTTACAATTCACCCCACAGCCAAGGTATTGTACTGTGTGCTAAGGTGGAACAAGAGGATTTCTTATTCTGATTATGGGAAGTTTGCAGTCTGATGGGATACACAAGAGGTTCATATAAATAATAACACAAGGGAGACCGGATGATAAATGCCGGAGGAGATGGACCAAATGGAGTGTCCTCTGTTTTAAAGAGCGTGCCCTGGGGATCGCAACAAGCAGGATGGCCAAGGCTTTGTGAAAGGGCACTTGACCTGCATTGTGAAGGAGTGTTGGGATTTGGGAAAGTCAGTATTACTTGCCAAATTTAGCAATTAACTGAGAAACGTGTAGTAGCTGGGGCAAGTGCTGAAGCTTACCACTCTTGGTTTTTTGTTGTTGTTGTTGTTTTGGGTTTGTTTTTTGTTTGTTTTTTGTTTGTTTGTTTTTTGATACAGGCCTCACTCTGCCTTAGAGGTCAGAGTGCAGTGGGGGTGATCTCTGCTCACTGCAACCTCTGCATCCTGAGCTCAAAGACATCTCACTTCAGCAACTCCAGTAGCTGGGACCGCAGGTGTGCCAGGATGCCCAGCTCATTTTAAAAATTTTTTGTAGAGACAGGGTTTTCCCATGTTGTCCGGGCTGGTCTGGTAAAACTCCTGGCCTCAAGCAATTCACCCACCTTGGCCTCCCAAAGTGCTGGGATTACAGGCGTGAGCCACCGCGCCCAGCTACCACTCATGTTTTTAATTCCAGTGACCAAACCAGCTCTCTGCCACACCGCCACCCCTTTGTGTTAACCAAAAGGTGAGCCCTTACATGCACTTGGTGGTCCTGGTGGCATGGCCCAGTGCTGGGCCTTGGGAGCTCATGGCTGAGGGTTTGCCGTGCTGGTCCAGGCTTACCACCCCTCCCCGCCAAAACAAGCTCTTGGATAGATTTTTCTGGTCATTGGAAATCTCTCGGCAGACCTGATCTCCAAACTGAGTAAAAGTCACATGTGTGTGCAAACCACGCCCCATCTGCACATCGGGAGGCAGCTCATGCTCACAGGGCCCTGACATACAGCCAGTGTGACCTTTGTGTGCCGAACCACAGCATGCCTGGCTCGATGGAACCACGCCCTTGAGAAAAGGCTCCTCTCTGAAATAGCAGTTCCAAACTATTTCCTCCCAAATCCTGATTTCAACATTCTAGAACGTCCCTCCATAAAGACGTTCACTTTCCCCTATTTTTCTTTGTTCTCATGACAGTTTAAGGAACGCTTGTGTGAAGGTCACCGCTTCCTCTTGTAGTCGTGCTGCATCCTGGTAAACAAGAGGATCTAGTCACAAGGCTGGCAGCTTGGATTGGGGAAAACATCATTCTAGCAATTATTTTGGGAACCACCATGACTGTGAGCAGCAGATGCTCACAGACACACTTAGCCAGGATTTATTAAGCAGTTAATATGTACCAGGCATAGGAGATGCAAAAATGAATGGCCTGATCCTTCACCTCTAGGAGTCTGCCGTCTGATAGAGGAGACACTGTTGCAAATCATATTAATAGCTACCATTATTTGGGACACCTCTGGGTCAGGCATTATGCCAGTATGATTTCAGTCATACTCTCTCTAACCCTGCCAGATAGGTTTGGTGAGTCTCTTTCCATATGGGCAGAAGCAGAGGCCCAGGGAAGTCAAGCCTGGAGGAACACAGAGAAGGTGCTCATAGCCCAGGACGGCCCAGGTTAAAGGCTGGGCTGGATCTGTCCCACATACGAGCTGGAAGTTCATGCAAGGCCTGCTGTGAGTAGCACGCAGTGTGCAGAAGCTGGGAGTGCTAGTAAGGCAGAAAAGGCTGTAAGAGGCATGAGACAGGTAGGCAACAGCCCCAAGGTTGAGAAGCTTGCAGGAACTGCGGCTTCATGCAGATGGCGGCACCTCTGGCCAAGAAACACAGCAGGGCTTTGCTTCCAGAGCAGAGATGGCCTGAGCTCCGACTTCTTTTGTCCAGCCTGGCTTCCCCCGGTAGCCAGTGGCACCTCGGTCAGCCATCTTCAAGCTCAAAGAGGACAAACGCAAGAGCGACGCAGAAGCACGGCTTATTTACTTTCCTGGAAGGGTGATGCTCCCCTGGGAGGGACTTGGCAGAATCACTTCACATAGAGCACAGCCACTGTGTGTCTGCCACAGATCAAATGCTCCAGCGGGAAGGAGTGGGCCCACGGGCTGGTCAAACTTACCCAGTCCACGAGGTTTATTTACCTTTCCTTCCAATTCCTGAAAACTCTGCACGTAGTGGCCAAACTTGATCTGACGTTGGGCAAAACACATTACCTGTTGATGCCTGTTTACTCATCTGTAGGAAATGCGAGGTCCGGCTTGATGATTTCCAAGGCCTCTCCCTGCTCTAAACATCCACAAGCCTAAGCCAGCATCTGGAGAAGCAAGATTAATTCCCACACTCCACCTCTATTTGATGGGCTATTTTTACTGCAATAATCAACTTTTTTTTTGAGACGGAGTTTCGCTCTTGTCACCCAGGCTAGCATGCAGTGGTGCGATCTCAGCTCACTGCAACCCCCACCTCCTGGATTCAAGCGATTCTCCTGCCTCAGCCTCCTGAGTAGCTGGAATTACAGGCACGTACCACCACACCCAGCTAATTTTTGTATTTTTAGTAGAGATGGGGTTTCACCACGTTGGCCAGGCTGGTCTTGAATTCCTGACCTCAGGTGATCCACCCACCTAGGCCTTCTAAGGTGCTGGGATTACAGGCGTGAGCCACCATGCCTGGCCTACAATAATCAACTTCTACAGATGGAAAAAAGTTATTCTACACCATAAACCTGTCGACAGAATATGGTAATGTGAATCCTGAAGATTTTTCAAGTATTTGGTGTCAGAGGATCCATGTTTTAATCTAGGTGCCATCACCTATTGGCTACTGAGCTTTAGATGCACTGTGCCCATACCTGTTCCTCCATCTGTCAACTGTAGGAAAGCATCTTACCATGCAGAGTTATTGGAAGGACCTCCTAAGACGATAGATACAAAAGAGGTTTTTGGAAAATATGTTAGGAATATCATTTCCAGTATTAAATTCTGGATGGGCCAAAATTTGGTAAGTATGTAAAAGACAAAAGGAAAGGAATTATGGGTGAACACAGAACAATTATAGATCAGGACCCATCAGTAAAGTGAGGGAAAGCGCTTGCTGACAAAATAAGAATAATGGTGATTCACTTGAGAAGAAGGGAGGAAGCTACGGTGAGCAGTACTGAGGACTTTAGCAGTCCAGGTAGATTTCCCTTAAGCAGGTTCTTCCTTAGGTAAATGTATCGTTCCCTACTGGAAACCAAGCACCAAGGTCAGAGAGTCCTGGAGTTCCTGTTGCTTCTCAGATTGCTCACTTTGGGATCATCTGGCTGCGCCAACTATGGCATTTAAGTTTGAGGAAACAGGCCAGGGAAGGTGAGATGACTTACCTGAGGTCAAAGGAATAGAAGCATACTCAAAGGGCCTCGGGAGAATTCCATCAGACGATGAGGGAGTATGGTCTGAGCCAGAGCAGGGGCTGTGCAGAGGGCAGATTTCGCCTGATTCTAAAGGGGCTGTACTCAATCCCACTAGAAAAGGATTTTTTCCTCAAATATTAGGATTACCAGGCAAACTCTTCTTGTGTGAGAAGCAGGCTGGACCAAACAGGAAATATATCTTAAGCTGTGTCAAGCTGGGTTCAATGATGAAAATGTGAGTTTCTACAGACATACTTCAGAGACATTGCAGGTTTGTTTCCAGACCACTGCAGTAAAGCAAGTCACACCAATGTTTTGGTTTCCCATTGCATATAAAATTTATGTTTACACTCTACTGTGCTCTATTAAATGTGCAATAGCATTATGTCTAAAAAAACTACATACCCTAGTTAAAAATACTTTATTGTGGGCCAGGTGTGGGTAGCTCATGCCTGTAATCTCAGCACTTTGGGAGGCTGAGGTGGGTGGATTTCTTGAAGCCAGGAGTTTGAGATGAGGTCGGCCAACATGGCAAAACCTCATCTCTACTAAAAATACAAAAATTAGCCAGGTGTGGTGGTGGCGCACGCCCATAATCCCAGCTGCTCAGGAGGCTGATGGACGAGAATCATTTGAACTCTGCAGATGGAGGTTGCAGTGAGCTGAGATCATGCCGCTGCACTCCAACCTTGGGCAACAGAGTGAGACTCTGTCTCAATCAATCAATAAATAAAAATAAAAATACTTTATTGCTAAACAATGCTAATGATCATCTGAGCCTTCAGCAAATAGTCATCTTTTTGCTGGTAAAGGGTCTTGCCTAGATCTTGATGGCTGCTGGGTGGCTGCTGACTGATCAGGGTGGTGGTTGCTAAAAATTGGGGTGGCTGTAGCAATTTCTTAAAATAAAACAACGAAGTTTGCCTCATTGATTGACTCTCTTTTTCATGAAAGATGTTTTTCTGTAGTATGTGGTGCTGTATTACAACATTTTACCCACAGCAGAACTTCCTTCGAAATTGGAGTCAATCCTCTCAAACTCTGTTGCTGCTTTATCAATTAAGTTTATGGAATATTTTAAATCCCTTGTTGTCATTTCAACAGTGTTCACACAGTCTTCACCAGGAGTAATTTCCATCTCAAGAAACCACTTTCTATGCATATCAATAAGAAGCAACTCTTCATCTTTCAAATTTCATCATGAGATTGCAGCAATTCAGTCACTTCTTCAGGCTCCACTTCTAATTCTAGTGCTCTTGCTATTTTTCCACCACATCTGCAGTGACTTTCTTCACTGAAGTCTTGAACCCCTCAAAGTCATCCACGAGGGTTGGAATCAACTTCTTACAAACACCTGTTTATGTTGATATTTTGACCTCCCCCCAAGAATCATGAATGTTCTTAAAGGCATCTAGAATGGTGAATGCTCTCCAGAAGGTTTTCAACTTACTTTGCCCAGATCTATTACTATCCGTGGCAGCTACAGCTTTACAAAATGCATTTCTTAAATAATAAGACTTGAAAGCTGAAATCGCTCCTTGATCCATGGGCTGCAGACATGGAAACAACATTAATCTTCTTGCACATCTCCATCAGAACTCTTGGGTGACCAGCTACATTGTCAATGAGCAGTAATATTTTGAAAATAATTTTTTTTTTTGAGACGGAGTCTCGCTCTGTCACCCAGGCTGGAGTGCAGTGGCATGATCTCGGCTCACTGCAAGCTCCGCCTCCCAGGTTCAAGCGATTCTCCTGCCTCAGTCTCCCAAGCAGCTGGGACTACAGGTGCATGCCACCATATCCAGCTAATTTTTTGTATTTTTAGTAGAGATGGGGTTTCACTATGTTAGCCAGGATGGTCTCGATCTCCTGACCTCATGATCTGCCCACCTCGGCCTCCCAAAATCCTGGGATTACAGGCGTGAGAAAGGAATTTTTTTTTCTGACCAGTAGGTCTCAACAGTGGGTTTCAAATATTCAGTAAACCATGCTGTAAACACAGGTGCTGTCATCCAGACTTTGCTGTTCCATTTTCAGAGTGTAGGCAGAGGAGACTTAGCATGATTCTTAGGTGTCCTACAATTTTCAAAATGGAAATGAGCATTGGCTTCAACTTAGAGTCACCAGCTGCATTAGCTCATAACAAATCAGCCTCTCCTTTGAAGCTTTGAAGCCAAGCATTGACTTCTCTCTGGCTGTGAAAGTCCTGCATGGCATCTTCTTCCAAAAGAAGGCTATTGCATCTACATTAAAAATCTGTGTGGCCACCTTCATCAATGATCTTAGCTAGATCGTCTGGATAGCTTGCTGCAGCTTCTGCATCAGCACTTGCTGCTTTACCTTGCATTTTTTTGCTATGGAGACAGCTTCTTTCCTTAAACCTCAAGAACCAACATCTGTTAGCTTTCAACTGTTCTTCTGCAGCTTTCTCACTTCTCTTAGACTTCACAGAATTGAAGAGTCAGGGCCTTGCTCTGGATTAGACTTTGGCTTAAGAGAATGTTGTGGCTGGTTTGATCTTCCATCCAGACCACTAAAATTTTCTCCACATCAGCAATAAGTCTGTTTCTTTTTCTTATCATTCATGTATTCATGGAGTAGCACTTTTAATTTCCTTCAAGAAGTTTTCCTGTGCATCCATAAATTGGCTATTTGGTGCAAGAGGCCTAGCTTTCTTCCTGTTTTGGCTTTTGACATGCCTTCTTTACAAAGCTTAACCATTTCTAGCTTTTGACTTAAAATGACAGGTGTGGGGCTGGGCATGGTGGCTCATGCCTGTAATCCCAGCACTTTGGGGGGCCAAGGCGGGCGGATCACGAGGTCAGGAGATCGAGACCATCCTGGCTAACACGGTGAAACCCCGTCTCTACTAAAAATACAAAAAATTAGACAGGCGTGGTGGTGGGCGCCTGTAGTCCCTGCTACTCGGGAGGCTGAGGCAGGAGGATGGTGTGAACCCGGGAGGCGGAGCTTGCAGTGAGCCAAGATCGCGCCACTGCACTCCAGCCTGGGCAACAGAGGCGAGACTCCGTCTCAGAAAAAAAAAAAAAAATGACAGGTGTGGGACTCTTCCTTTCATTTGAACACTTAGAGGCCACTGTGAGGTTTTTTTGTTTGTTTGTTTGTTTTTTGAGACAGAGTTTCACTCTTGTTGCCCAGGCTGTAGTGCAATGGTGCCATCTTGGCTCACGGCAACTTCTGCCTCCCGGGTTCAAGCGATTCTCCTGCCTCAGCCTCCCGAGTAGCTGGGATTACAGGCATGTGCCACTATGCCAGGCTAATTTTGTATTTTTAGTAGAGATGGGGTTTCTCCATGTTGGTAAGGCTGGCCTCAAACTCCTGACCTCAGGTGATCCGCCCGCCTTGGCCTCCCAAAGTGCTGGGATTACAGGCATGAGCCACCGTGCCCTGCCATTGTGAGGTTATTAACTGACTTAATTTCAATATTGTTGTGCCTCAAGGAAAAGGGAGGTCCAAGAAGTGGCAGAGAGACGGGGAAATGGCTGGTCAGTGGGGTGGTCAGAATACATGCAACATTTAACTTTTGTTTGCCTTTTTATATAGGCGTGGTTTGTGTTCCTCCAAAACAATTATAATAGTAACATCAAAGATGACTGAGCACAGATCACCCTAACAGATATAGTAATAATAAATGTTTAAAATATTGTGATCATTGTGTCAAAATTTGACACAGAGACACAAAGTGGGCACATACTGAATGAAGCCAATAGACTTGCTTGACACAGGGTTGCCACAAATCTTCAATCTGTAAAAAAGGCAATATAGGCTGGGCACGGTGGCTCACGCCTGTAATCCCAGCACTTCGGGAGGCCAAGGTGGGCAGACTGCCTGAGGTCAGGAGTTCAAGACCAGCCTGGCCAACATGGTGAAACCCCATCTCTACTAAAAATACAAAAATTAGCCGGGCATGGTGGCGCACACCTGTAGTCCCAGCTACTCGGGAGGCTGAGGCAGGAGAATTGCTTGAACCCGGGAGGTGGAGATTGCAGCAAGCCAAGATCGTACCACTGCACTCCAGCCTGGGTGACAGAAAGAGACTCTATCTTGGAAAAAAAAAAAAAAGACAATATATGGGAAGCATGATACATTACCTACCTCTCTATAGCAGTAGTAGGGTCCTCATATAACTGTACTCTAGGTGGCTTCCCTGGGCATAGAATGTGCAAACCAGCCACTAACAATTGCTTTGTTGGTGTCATCCCCAGTAGAGTGGTGGAAAATATGATTATTGTTACATTATTATGGGTATTATATACTCAGGGACTTTCATGTGTTCCATGCTATGCTATTATCTCTATGAACTCCAACCTGCACAATGACCCAGTCATGTAGGTATTTGCAGTAAATCTGCTGAGGCTCAGAAAAGTTCGGAAATTTGCCTGAGGTCACATAGCTGGTGAACAACTGAACCAAGGTTTAAACTGTTATGCCTGGTTCCAAAGCCCTGCCAATGTTCCTCCCACTTCTTCATATTGCCACAGGGACAGCAGAGAAGCAACTGCAATAGCCAAAACCCCAGAGAGTTCCTGTATCAAAATCACCAAACCAATTGAAAGGTTAAGTGTAAAGTCAGTAATCAAAAGTCATTATTTCTGCAATGTACTACCTAACCACTGTTCTATTTAGTTGAAGCTGCCACTTACTAAGTTTGGTATAGAGAGCAATTGTGCCAAGGTAGAAGCAGTCCCATTAATGTAGGATCTCAGAGTAATGAGAACCCATGTTCGTGGAGCATAGAGCATGCCACAGGAAAATGTTTATTCTCAGGTAGCATGAGCTGAGTCAGTTCAACAAGCATGCCTGGAGCACCAACACATACTAAATTCTGGGTACACTACCTGGGAATGAGTGGTTTCTCCAGGAAGACCTAGAGGTGACATGTAAAAAGACAGTATCATTATATCAGACTAGTGCTTGTTAAGTGTCTCAGTACTCTTTTTAAAGATAATCTTGGCTGGGTGAGGTGGCTCATGTCTATAATCTCAGCACTTTAGGAAGCTGAGGTTGACGGATCACGAGGTCAGAAGATAGAAACCATCCTGGCCAACATGGTGAAACTCTGTCTGTACTAAAAATACAAAAATTAGCCAGGCGTGGTGGTGCATGCCTGTAATCCCAGCTACCTGGGAGGCTGAGGCAGGAGAATCGCTTGAACCCCAGAGGTGGAGGATGCAGTGAGCCGAGATCGAGCCACTGCACTCCAGCTTGGTGACAGAGCTAGACTCTGTCTCCAAAAAAAAAAAAAAAAAAAGATAATCTTTATTAGCTGACAATAATTTCATCCAGCTGGATCACTTAGAGAAATGACTTAAGCCCTATTTTTTTTTTCTTTTTTTGAGACATAGTGTCACTCTGCTGCCCAGGCTTGAGTGCAATGGCACGATCTCGACTCACCGCAATCTCTGCCTCCTGGGTTCAAGTGATTCTCCTGCTTTAGCCTTCTGAGTAGCTGGGATTACTGGCACCTGCCACCACACCCAGCTAATTTTTGTATTTTTAGTAGAGATGGGGTGTCACCATGTTGGCCAGGTTGGTCTCAAAACTCCCGAACTGAAGTGATCCGCCCACCTCGGCCTCCCAAAGTGCTGGGATTACAGGAGTGAGGCACTGCACCTAGCCAAGAAGCCTTATTTTCATAACATTATTTAAAGGTCTAGAAGTAAAGACTTAACAGAATTCAAGTGACAAATTTGGAGACATGAATTAGTGCCTTGTGCAAAATGAAGGCGAGCATAGTGGCCTAAGACAGAGTAATGAGAACAGAGTCTCTATGTTGCTGCTATGGGGATGGCCAGAGGTACAGGCCTCAAGACGGCAGCTACTTGCACATCTTGCTGCCTCCAATGGCATATGCATTATTCCTTCACAAATGCCAGGAAGCAGGGAAGAGTGGGGAGCCCTCAGAGAGGTGGCAGGCAAGCCAAGCTGGAAAGAGATGAGTGAGGAAGGCCTATAAAGTAATACTGAGTCTTAGGGGTCACTGACTCTATTTCAGGAACCTTTAAAAAATATCCAGCCTGAGTAACAGAGTGAGACCCCATCTCTACAAAAATAAAATACAATAAAATTAGCCAGGCGTGAGGTGCACACCTATGGTCCCAGCTACTGGGGAGGCTGAGGTGGGAGGATGGCTTGAGCCCAAAAGGTGGAAGCTGCAGTGAGCCATGATTGTGCTACTGCACTCCAGCCTGGGTGATAGAGGGAGACCCTGTCTGAAAAAAAAAAAAAAAAAAAGGCTGAGTGCGGTGGCTCCCACCTGTAATCCCAACACTTTGGGAGGCTGAGGCAGGCAGATCACCTAAGGTCAAGAGTTTGAGACCGGCCTGGCCAACATGGCAAAATCCCATCTCTACTAAAAATACAAAAATTAGCTGGGCATGGTGGTGCGTGCCTGTAATCTCAGCTACTTGGGAGAGGCTGAGGCAGGACAATCACTTGTACCAGTGAGGCAGAGGTTGCAGTGAGCTGAGATTGCACCACTGCACTCCAGCCTGGGTGATAGAGCAAGACTCTGTCTTAAAACAACAATAAAAAAATCCATTAGCAGACTCAGGCTGCAGGATCACATAAGGGCAGGAGTTTGAGACCAGCCTGGAACATAGCAAGACCCTGTCTCAAAAGAGAAAATTCATTAGTAGGTCAGGCATGGTGGTTCACACCTATAGTCACAACTACTTGGGAGGCTGAGGCGGCAGGACTGCTTGAGCCCAGGAGTTCAAGGCTACAGTGAGCTATGATCAGGGCACTGCATTCCAGCCTGGGTGACAGACCAAGGCCCTGTCTCTAAACTAAATGAATAAAATACAAATATCCATTAGTAAGAATAATAAAACTAGCATTTATTAAATATCTACTAACAGCCAGACTGTAGCAATGTCTACAGACACTATTTTTATTCTTTATCAACTAATCTATGACCTAGGTTTTAGTGTCTGACGTTTAGACAAGAAAAAAGCAGGCCGGGCGTGGTGGCTCACGCCTGTAATCCCAGCACTTTGGGAGGCCGAGGCGGGCGGATCACGAGGTCAGGAGATCGAGACCATCCCGGCTAAAACGGTGAAACCCCGTCTCTACTAAAAATACAAAAAATTAGCCGGGCGTAGTGGCGGGCGCCTGTAGTCCCAGCTACTCGGGATGCTGAGGCAGGAGAATGGCGTGAACCCGGGAGGCGGAGCTAGCAGTGAGCCGAGATCCCGCCACTGCACTCCAGTCTGGGCGACAGAGCGAGACTCCGTCTCAAAAAAAAAAAAAAAAAAAAAAAAAGAAAAAAGCATAAACTCAGTGAGGTTAACTTGCCCAAGTTTGCAAATGCAGGATTTCCATCCTTATTTTCCTAATTCTAGAACCGAGGCATTTCCCACTGTCTCGTTCAAACCTCCCCTCTTCAAGCCAAGCAACATTTACTGAACCTTCATGCTGAAGAGTCAGAAAGCATTGGCAAGGAATTCAAGGAAGCAAAAAGCATACTTCTGGACACCAGCAAGCTTAAAATCTGCAAGAGAAGACAGATTCACCTAAGAAGATAACTAACACTACTACCAAACAATAAAGCGATCATTAAACACATGAAAAGGGGGCCCCACGGCACACAGGTGGGGAGTGTTACCCTAGTTAGAGAAGCAGTGTGTAGGTTGCCCCTGAGGTGGTGCTGAAGAATGAGTAGACATTAGACAGGAACAGAGGTGGGGTCACATATGTTCTAGCAGAAAAACTTCACACACAGTGAACTTCTCCACTCCAAAGACAGCAACAACTAATATCTCGATACTTTTGAAGCTTGTGGGAGACACAGGAAGAGCATTTTGAGGACATTTGGAAAGACTTGCTCATTTAATTTTCTTTTTAGTTAAAATTTGCATAGAGTGGAATGCACAGATCTTAAGTATAAATTCAATGATTTTGATAAATGCATACACCTGGATAATCACCACCCCAGTGAAAATATAGAACATTTCTATTAACCAGAAAGCCCTCTTGTGCCCTTTCTTAATCCTTACTTCTCATCCCTACAGGCAGCCATTGTTCTGATTTCTGCATCTATAGATTAGAACTTTGTAGGAAAAGAATCATATAGTGTGCACTATTTGGTTTCTGACGTCTTCAGTGCAGCATAATGCTTTTGAGGTTAGTTCCAGTTATTTATGTATCTATCGTTCATTTATTTTCATTTCTGAGTAGCATTCCATTATATAGATATACCATAATTTGTTATTCATTAGTCTTCTGTTGATGGTCATTTGGGTTGTGTCCAGTTTTGAGCTATTATGAATGAAGCTGCTATCTATGAACATTGCTGTTTTCCCGATACTGTTTTAAAAATCCATTTTCTATTCTCTTGCTTTTTTCTCCCTTGTTTATTTTCTTTCTTTCTTTTTCTTTCTTTTTTTGTTTTTTTTTTTTTGAGACGGAGTCTTGCTCTGTCACCCAGGCTGGACTGCAGTGGTGCAATCTCGGCTCACTGCGCAATCTCAGCTCACTGCAAGCTCCAACTCCCGGGTTCGTGCCATTCTCCTGCCTCAGCCTCCCGAGTAGCTGGGACTACAGGCGCCCGCCACCACGCCCGGCTAATTTTTTGTAATTTTAGTAGAGACGGGGTTTCACCATGTTAGCCAGGATGGTCTCGATCTCCTGACCTTGTGATCCGCCCGCCTTGGCCTCCCAAAGTGCTGGGATTACAGGCGTGAGCCACCACGCCCGGCCCCCTTGTTTATTTTCTTAAAATCCTGATGACTCTACCATAGACATCAAGTGACCTGGAGCTGAGGCCCATTCCCTGGTAGAATCATCATACAGATGAGAGCCTTCGTGTTCAAACCTACCACACAAACCAAGAAAATATCAATAATTTATATGACCTTGTTGTATTTATCAAGAGTTTTGATGAACTTGGTAGTTAAAATGTGAAGGCAGTACCTTGGTGGTAACTACAACAACATTCTTTCTAAGCAATGTTACAGAAACAATTTCCCCTATACACACACAAGGATGTCTCACTCACCCATTTATGAACCCATGGTGTTAAAAATAAAAGAGGTGGGCCAGGCATGGTGGCTCACGCCTGTAACCCCAGCACTTTGGGAGGCCAGGGTGAGCAGATCACTTGAGGTCAGGAGTTCGAGACCAGCCTGACCAAACATGGCGAAACCCCATCACTACTAAAAATACAAAAATTAGCTGAGTGTGACGGTGCACACCTGTAATCCCAGCTACTTAGGAGGCTGAGGCAGGGAGAATCACTTGAACCCATGAGGTGGAGGTTGCAGTGAGCCGAGATCATGCCATTGCACTCCAGCCTGGGCAACAGAGTAAGACTCTGTCTCACAAAAAAAATAAAAATAAAAAAATAAAATAAAAGAGGTAAAAGATGAAATTTACATTTCTTTCTTCTTCCTCCATTTGCAACAAACTAAGAGTCAAAGACATTAAGAAACTAGTAACAAGGAGAAATTTGGCCCGGAATCAGTCCTCTTTCCATATGCCACTTCAGTCTTTCTCTCCATCCCCCCAGCTCGAGCCCAGTCGGTGCTCTACAGATTGCGAATGCCCCGTAAGTGCTGAAGATTGACCGCCTCTGTGATGTGGCGGCCATCCATCCTTCAGTCACTCACATCCAAGGTGACTTTTCTTGTCATCCAACATCCATGTTTGAAGACCTTTCTCATTACCAGAACTTCTGATCCACTTAGGAAGGCCTCTAGAGGCATATATAGTTAAATATGGTAGATGGAATTAAGTGTTTACCTCCATTCCCTCCAAAACCTTCACTCAAATAACAGATATGAGACTTAAAAGAATGAAAAAAAGGACACAGAGCAAGATGGAAAATGACAGCAATGACATTTGGGAGCCTAGAAATCATGAGTTTGTGCTAATGGATTTAGCACCCTTGAGAAAGCCAAAATCTAAACTGGCAGAGGAAGAAATTCAGAAGTAGGCTGGTTTGTACAGCAGAAAGTCAGAAAGACCCAAGAACTAGAGGTACTAGGTGACTTTAAAAGTAGGGGTCCGAGTGAGACTAAAAATAAGTATATTGGTTAAAAGTCACTCTCAGAATCCGTTACACCTGAATTTCCCCTCTGTGTTTAAGCAACCAGGCAACTGCCCCAGCCCACACTGGGAAGAAGACCCCAGGTTCACTCTCTGGAGAGGCAGGGCCAGAGGGATTCCGGCCCCGCAGGAACAGTAGGAAATGGTGTTCCCATACTGAAAACGGGATTAAGGATGACACTTGAGAGAGTGACAGCTCTCATCCCTTCTTCAATCTGACTCCAAGAACACAGGCAGCCAGGCTCATATCTCCCAGGAAGAGACAGGGAACTTCCTCCCTTGTAGAAATAACCTGACTTTCAGCCTCCAGAGCTTCGAGAAAGTGGACTACTGTTGTTTAAGCACCTCCGAGCTGTGGTACCTTGTTATAGCAGCCCTGAAAGACTGACACAACCATCGTCCTTAAGAAGAACAGGAGGCCCGGTGTGGTGGCTCACGCCTGTAATCCCAGCACTTTGGGGGCCCGAGGCGGGCGGATCACGAGGTCAGGAGATCGAGACCATCCTGGCTAACATGGTGAAGCCTTGTCTCTACTGAAAATATAAAAAATTAGTCCGGCGTGGTGGCGGGCGCTTGTAGTCCCAGCTACTTGGGAGGCTGAGGCAGGAGAATGGCATGAACCCGGGAGGCGGAGCTTGCAGTGAGCCGAGATCAAGCCACTGCACTCCAGCCTGGGCAACAGAGTGAGACACTGTCTCAAAAAAAAAAAAAAAAGAGAAAGAAAAATAAAGAAGAAGAACAGGAATAGGTCTGGGCCTGGTGGCTCGTGCCTGTAATCCCAGCACTTTGGGAGACCAAGGTGGGCAGATCACTTGAGGTCAGGAGTTGGAGACTGGCCTGGCCAACAAGGTGAAACCCCGTCTCCACTAAAAATAGAAAAAAATTATCTGAGCGTCGTGGTGTATGCTTGTCATCCCAGCTACTTGAAAGGCTGAGGCAGTAGAATCACTTGAACACGAGAGGCAGAGGTTGCAGTGAGCCTAGATTGCACCACTGCACTCCAGCCTGGGTGACACAGCCAGATTCTGTCTCAAAAAAAAAAAAAAAAAAAAAAAAAAAAAAGAGAGAGAAATAACCTGCCTGAGAGAAAACACCTACCATTTACATTTGGGGATTTCCCAGTGAAACAGCCTAGCCAGAGAACTGTAAATGAAGTGCACCAACCAATAAGCCTCACCTACCCTCACAGAATTTCCACTCTTAATGACAAATGGATAGCCAAGGATCATCAGACATTTGAGAAATGCTTCTAACATGAACCACAAAGATGAAAGTAAAAGGAAGTTGGTGAGGGGGAGAGAAATAGGCAAAGGGCAAAAACAAACGAACAAACAAAAAAACCAACAGAGTTAACATCCTTACAGAGCTAAGGATAGATACTGCACCCAAGAGACAAGAACAAGAGGTTATAGACAAAATTTTTGACAAGAGGGCTCTTAGGAATTAAAAATGTGAGAGCAGATATGTAGAAGTCAATAAAATGGTTAGAAAATAACATTAGGAAATATCACAGACATGGAACAATAACCAAGAAAAAAGGATGAAACAAGATTTTTAAAATATTAGCAAATGGCCGGGTGTGGTGGCTAATGCCTGTAATTCTAGCACTTTGGGAGGCCAAGGTGGGCAGATTGCTTGAACTCAGGTGTTCAAGACCAGCCTGGGCAACATGGCAAAACCCCATCTCTACTAAAAATACAAAAATTAGCCTGGCGTGGTGGCACATGCCCATCTTCCCAACTACTCAGGAGGCTGAGGCCAGAGGATCACTTAAGCTCAGGAGGCAGAAGTTGCAGTGAGGCAAGATTGCATCACTGCACTCCAGCCTGGTGACAGAGTGATCCTGTTTCAAGAAAATAAAAAAATAATAAATAAACAGCCAATAAGTTCAGATAGTCCAATATCTGGAAGGGAGTTCAAGAATGAATAAACAGAGAAAAGTGAGGAAAAGAAATGAAGCAAACCATCATAAGAGACAACTTCTGGAATGGAAAGATGTGCGTTTGCAGACGGAGAGGGTTCACCAAGTGCCCAGAGCTAGGGAGGAATGACAACTCAGAGGTCACAGGAAATCTCAGAACACCAAGGACACAGAAAACCTCAACAGCTTCCAATAAGTTAAAGAAAGAAAAAAAAAAAAGACACAGTCAAAGCCTTGGGGAAAGACTGGGAATCAGAGTGGGTCAGACTCCTTGTCAGTGACCACCAGAAGACAAGGATTATACATCTTCAAATTCTAGGGGAAATGGCTTCAAACTAAAATTCTACATCCAAGCAACCACCATCAGTCTAGGGTGAGGGTAGAATAAAATCTCAAAAAACTTTACCTTCCTGTCCCTATTTTTCTTTTAAGGACAGATGTACTCCACTACATGAAGGAATGCTTGAAGCAGAGGCAAGCCCAGGGTCCAGGCATGGGAAGGCATTGCCCATGCTGGAGGCTAGGGCTGTCCTGCAGTGACAGTGACCTGCAGGCCTGGAGTGCTATTGAATTGAAACCGACCCAATAGTCCCATAGACAGGTTTTTTGTTTGTTTGTTTTGTTCCGGATAAACATAGAAATTGACCCTTCTGATGCTAAAGCTTGAAATTTATATTTGTTTTATCTAAGTTCTTTCCCTGGGAAAAGACCCTCAGACCTCTCAAAAAATAGTATCAAAGAACTGCAACTCACCAGATCATCGCATCAGCCAATGAGATGCCAGACCCCTCATTCATCACAATTGCTTCCTTACCCCTCCCTAGTTCCTGTTTTCCTACACGTTGTTACTTTTCTTCCCTGCTATGTAAACCCCTAATTTTAGTCCATCAGGGAGGTGGATTTGAGACTGATCTCCCATCTCCTAGGCTGCAGCACCCAGTTAAAGCCGTCCTCCTTGGAAATAATCGCTCAGTGATTGGTGTTCTGGTCGGTGAGCAGCAGGACGTAGACGGAACCCCTGGTATTATCATAACAGAATCAGTCTGAAACAAGAGGACAGAGGGTTACAGGAGGGGTGGCCCCAAGGGAAAAAAAAATTGATAAATTACCTACTATGTTTGAATGTATGGAGAAGCAATTTACATTTTAGGAGATTTATAAGAATGAAGATAAATTAGCAATTGGCACATAAAAATCTAAAAAGAAAAATTATCTTAGGAAAGCAAAAAAGAAAAAAAGCGTGGTATGAGAAAGAAAATGTAGTTAATTATATAGTATACCATATGGCTAAGCTTTGAATAGTATTTCCACAGTCATAGTAATATAAATACTGGTAACAGTTGACCAAAGTATTTTTTATTTTATTTATATTGGGAGAGAAATTGTAGTGTATGAGAGCCAATTATTCTCTTCTGCAGAAGGAAGACAAAGGATAGTATTAAAGTAGAAAAATAAAGAAATAGCAGCATAAGCAAGTTATTTAAAAATATGAAAGCAAAAATCAAAATAAACAGCTGAACTAATTGAAACTGGTATCGCCTGTAGTGGGAATGGGGAGTAGAAAACTGGTACAGGAGCTGCTGCTTTTGTTACAAGCTTGTAAAATGATTTCACTTATTAATGTATCTGTCACTCTAAGAATTAAGATTTTCTAAAGAAAAGGAAAAAATAGGCTTGAGGGTATTTTTTTTTTTTTTTTGAGACGGAGCCTTGCTCTGTCGCCTAGGCTGGAGTGCAATGGTGTGAGAGCAACAGCTCACTGCAGCTCTGCCTCCTGGGTTCAAGCGATTCTTGTGCCTCAGCCTCCTGAGTAGCTGGGACTATAGGTGCGCACCACCAGGCCCAGCTAATTTTTGTATTTTTGGTAGAGACAGAGTTTCAAGATGTTGGCCAGGCTGGTCTCGAACTCCTGGCCTCAAGTCATCCGCCCGCCTCGGCCTCCCAAAGTGCTGGGATTATAGGCGTGAGCCACCTTGCCCAGTGGCTTGTGGACATCTTTTGGTGTCTGGAGACATGAGCACATTGAGTAATGTGGGATCTTACGCATATCCAAACCCCTATCCTGCTGGATGCACCCACCCACAAGTCCCCAGTGTAGTCTAAGCCTCCTCAAGGACTCCAGTCTGCGTCTGGTTCCTCCTTCCAAGTTGTTGTAGAGGTCACTAACCAGAAAGACTGATTTCTCTTTGGTGGTTTATCCCCAGTAGCCAGAACACACTATAGATGCAGTGCTATCTTTTTTAGCATGTGAAAGAAATGCATAGGTTGCCAGGCTAATTAACTAAATGTTATATTTAGCTGGGAAGATAACATAGCCCTAGTGTTTGGATTTATCAAAACAAATTCCAGATGGCACACAAGCCACAGAGAGAGGGGCCATCTGGTAAGAAAAAGCAGGGCTCATTTTTTCTAAAGGTGAAAGGTAGTAAATGTCAACACTTTCTTTTTTTTTTTTTTTTTTTTGAGGTGGAGTCTTGCTCTGTCACCCAGGCTGGAGTGCAGTGGCATGATCTCGGCTCACTGCAACCTCCGCCTCCTGGGTTCAAGTGATTCTCCTGCCTCAGCCTCCTGAGTAGCTGGGATTATAGGCACCTGTCACCACACCTGGCTAATTTTTATATTTTTAGTAGAGATGGGGTTTCACCATGTTGGCCAGGCTGGTCTTGAACTCCTGACCTCAGGTGATCCACCCACCTTGGCCTTTCAAAGTGCTGGGATTACAGGCGTGAGCCACCACGCTCGACCGTAAATGTCAAAACTTTCTATGGTGAAAATATATCTAGCTGTTGCTCTCCTGGAGGAGCAATCCTCAGCCTCATATCTTTGCTAATTCAAATACCTGTAACATTACGCTCTTTCAAATAACTGAATGATTAAGTATGGTGAGTATAAGTGATTAACACTTGGTGAGTATTTTAAGGTTTCAGCATATACCTGTTAAATATATTTTGTACAGTGACAGCTGCAGGCATTAATAACACCATTTAACAGACTCTACAATTACACAAATTCTTTGAGTATATAAACCAATAAAAACTGAAATTATTTTTTTCCAAAATGATTTAAGATGTTGCTGCCATTTTTTTATTTAGCTCAGCAGTGGTATTTTTAGTGCGTTTTCTGTTTGACAGGATGTTTCTTGCACATATTTTCTTCTCTCCGTATTCCCACTGTTCCTCTGAAACTAATCATTCCCTGCCTGTATTTATTCGCCAGTTCCCCACCCCCCTCCCCCTGGCCCCACTTGTACACAACTGCCAGCTTAATCTTCTTTAAACATTTTACTGTTTATATAACTTCACAGCTCAAAAAACAGTCAATAACTCTCTGATGTCCAGAAGATAATGTGCAGGCTTCTGCTCACAGACACCCCAACCTCGTCACCCAACCCCCTCAGTGTGAGTCCCCCACACCCCAGGGCTGCAGCCAGGCTATCACCCCAAGAACTGGAGCTCTGTGCCCAACCTCAGTGCTTTGGCTGGGACCAGATCCTCTTTCTGCTGGGCCCTAACAGCCTTCTCCTTAAGGAGTCTGGGCCCTGCTCCGTCTATCTTGAGCTGAATCCAAGATGATTCAGCATGAAGGTGGGAATTGTGCCCACAGAGAGGCTTCTTGCTCAAGCCCACCTCCAGGTCTGTTTCCAGGGGTGAGGTCATTAGCCCAGATTTTATGTGATGGGAACAGTTGGCTATCCTTGGTGGTAAGCACAATAATAATGTCCCCTTACCCTACAATGTCTACAGCCTAATCCCCAGAACCTGTGAATTTGTTACATTACATGGCAAAAGAGGCTTTATGATTAAGTTAAAGATCTTGAGATGGGGAGACGATACTGGATTAGCCCAGTAGGCCCAATGTAATCATAAGGGTCCTTATCAGAGCGAGGCAGGAGGGTCAGACTCAGAGAAGGCGATGTGAGGACAGAAGCAAAGGTCACAGAGAAAGGGAGATTTTGAAGATGCTAAGGGCTGGCTTTGAAGATGGAGGAGGGGGCTATGAGCAGAAGAATGTAGGCAGCCTCTGGAAACCGCAAGGAATGGATTCTCCCCCGCCCTCTAAAGGAGCCAGCCCTGCCAACACCTAACTTTAGCCTAACTCATAAGACTAATTGAGATTTCTGACCTCTGGAACTGTAAGACAAGAAATTTGTGTTGTTTTAAGCCACGAAGTTTGTAGTAATTTGTTCCAGCATCAATAGGAAAATACTACACTCCCTTTGCAGGCTCTCCTGGTCCCAGTCCTAATAATCGTGGCCTGCACTCTGATGTATCTATTACCAGGCTTTCAGGCTGAGACCGATAAAGGCTAAAACCTGTACAGTCCAATACATTCACCACCAGTCACATGCAACTATTTATAATTAAACTTAAACCAGCCATAATGGCTCACACCTGTAATCCCAGCACTTTGGAAGGCCAAGGTAGGAGGATTGCTTAAGCCCAGGAATCTGAGACCAGCCTGGACAACACAGTGAGACCTAGTCTCTACAAATAAAAAAAAATAACAGGGTGTGTGGTGGTGTGTACCTGTGGTCCCGGCTACTCCGAAGGCTGAAGTGGGAGGATTGTTTGAGCCTGGAAGGTCGAGGCTGCAATGAGCCATGATCTTGCCACTGCACTCCAGCCTGGGTGATAGAGCAAGACTCCATCTCAAAATAATTTAATCAACTAACTAATTGGTGTAATTAAATTAAAGTAAAACAATCAGTTCCTCTGTTATGCTAGCCATATTTTCGGTGTTTAATAGCCACATGTGGGTAGTTGTTACCAAACTGGATAGTGAAGACAGAATAATTCCATCCTCTTGGAAAGTTCTATTGGACAGTGCTGGTTATAATGATATGGCGTGTACCACCAGTTTTTATAGGCCACGGAACCCATTTGAATAAGTCGAATGAAATCTCAAGTGGAAGCCAAATATGTTACAGAAACAAAGTCAGAAATACTTTTATGAGTGCTTTTATGTCCTCCTTCTTTTTTCCTCTTTTTTTTTTTTTTTTTGAGATAGAGTCTCGCTCTGTCACCCAGTCTGGAGTGCAGTGGAGTGATCTCGGCTCACTGCAGCCTTATATATTCTTCTAAATAGGGAGTCCTGGTGTTTTCGGGTCCCAGGAATCGGTGTTAACTCAGACATGGTTTAAAAGCCCCTGAAGATACGGTTTCACCTTCCCCCACCAGGAGGCTGTAAATAGCATAAGTCTCTTGGGGGACCTCCCAGGCTTAGGAAACAGGGCTTAGAGGGGACTGATGTGGGCACACTGGAGTGCTTGGCCCTGGCCCAGGACTGCCGCCTGACACCAGAGAGCACTTCTGGTCTGCTGTGTTGCTTAGAAAGTCTGTCCTTGGTAAGGTGATTCAAACATCTTCACCATTTTCTTCTAAGTTTGGATGTTTTCATTCGAACACTTTTTTTTTCTCTCTCACCCAGGCTGAAGTGCAGTGGCACGATTATGGTTCATTGCAACCTTGACCTCCCACTTCAGCCCTCTGTGTAACTGGGACCACAGGTTCGCACCACCATGTCCAGCTAATTTTTTTTTTTTTTTAATTTTTGGTAGAGATAGGGTCTCGCTTTGTTGCCCAGGCTGGTCTCGAACTCCTGGGCTCAAGTGATCCACTCACCTTGGCCTCCCAAAGAGCTGAGAATAGAGGCATGAGCTACTGAACCCAGACATTTTCTTTAATTTGTCTGGTATTTGTCTGTATAATATGAGGTAGTGATCTAGGTTTATTTTCTTCAGTAGATAGCAAATGTTCTATCATTCCCCCCCACTAACTTGAGATGCCACTTTGGTGATGTAAGTTCCCATGTATAAATGGATGTTTGTCTTTTTATCTCTCCCTGCAAGGTTATAACCCTGTTTAATTTCTATAGCCTTGCAGTTTATGTTGCTCTCTGGCAGGGCAGTTCTTCTCCCATTATTCTTATTTTTCAATGTTTTGTCTTTTCTTGTTAGTTTCCTCTTCCTGAAGCACTTTAGCATCTGTTTGCCAAGTTTCCTCTAAACAGCCAATTGAAAGTTATTGGAATTGACAAACTAATGAGATAATTGACATCATAAAAACACTGAGTCTCCGGATTTAGGAACACTATTTGCGGTTCTGTTTATTTAGGTGCTTATTTTTTTGCTTCTTAAAGTTTTATACTTGTCTTCATTTCATTGTAAGTCAATTTTAAGGCAGTTGTTGTTGCTAATGTGAAAGGGTTTTGGGTTCCGCACCCCCCATGGATTTTTAAATCACTTAATGAGAGTATACAGAAAAATGAGATTTTTGTGTGTGTGGCTGTCTTACTGAATACTCTTTTTTTTTTCTGTCAATTCTTAGGAATTTTCTAAACAGACTATGATACTAACTATGAGAGTTTCTCCTTTCTTCTCCCTGGTTTTTTATTTTTTTAATTTTATTATTATTATGCTTTAAGTTTTAGGGTACATGTGCACAATGTGCAGGTTTGTTACATATGTATACATGTGCCATGTTGGTGTGCTGCACCCACTAACTCGTCATTTAGCATTAGGTATATCTCCTAATGCTATCCCTCCCCCGTCCCCCCACCCCACAACAGTCCCGGGTGTGTGATGTTCCCCTTCCTGTGTCCATGTGTTCTCATTGTTCAGTTCCCACCTATGAGTGAGAACATGCGGTGTTTGGTTTTTTATCTTTTACTTCTTTTCTTGGCTTCCCTTATTGGAATATCCAGCATGAGGTTGGAGTGGGAATAGCAAGTACCCCTCTATCTTGTGACTTTCAATGAGAGTACTTCTATCATCTCACAGTTAAGTATAATGTTTGCTGAAAAAAGTATCTGTTTTTCTAATTTGCTCAGAAAGTGATGTTGAAATTTAACCAAAATACTGTTTCACATTTGAGATTATTATATTTTTTCTTTTTTAAATTGGAAGTGTTGAATTCTATTAAGAGATCTCCTAATATTGAAGTAGCTTTATATTCCTGGAATAAACCCTATTAGGCCAATCACTTTAGAATTAGTCTTTAGATATATGGATAAATTCTATTTGCCAGTATTTTATTTGAATTCCCACTTAGGATTTTTGTGTGTGTGTATATATATATATATATATATATATATATATTTTGTTTTTTTTTTTTTTTTGAGACCGAGTCTCGCTCTGTTGCCCAGGCTGGAGTGCGGTGGCGCAATCTCGGCTCACTGCAAGCTCTGCCTCCTGGGTTCACGCCATTCTCCTGCCTCGGCCTCCCAAGTAGCTGGGACTGCCGGCGCCCACCACCAAGCCTGGCTAATTTTTTGTATTTTTAGTAGAGACGGGGTTTCACCGTGTTAGCCAGGATGATCTCGATCTCCTGACCTTGTGATCTGCCCGCCTTGGCCTCCCAAAGTGCTGGGATTACAGGCGCAAGCCACCGTGCCCGGCTGTGCCTATATTTTTAAGTGACGTTCCTTTATAGTTTTCTTTTTTTAGGCTATTTATTTTAAAGTTTCTCT
This sequence comes from Homo sapiens, assembly GCF_000001405.40. Lineage (NCBI taxonomy): Eukaryota > Metazoa > Chordata > Mammalia > Primates > Hominidae > Homo > Homo sapiens. The sequence goes on from NC_000002.12 coordinate 101,660,232, forward strand.
AGACAGCAAGACTGTGTTAGCCTTGTAGAATAATTTGGGAAACTTTCCATCTTTTTCTAGCCTCTGGAACCTTTCTATGTCCTAAAGTCTGAGAGAACTTTCCTGTAATTGTCTGAGCCAAACAGCTTTTTCAGGATGTATTTTTCAGTAACTTTAATTTCTCCTGTAGTAATTGGCTTATTCTGTTTTTCTACCTCTTTTTTTTTTTTTTTTTGACGGAGTCTTGCTCTGTTACCCAGGCTGGAGTGCAGTGGCGCCATCTCGGCTCACTGCAACCTCCGCCTCCCAGGTTCAAGTAATTCTCCTGTCTCCACCTCCCGGGTAGCTGGAATTACAGGCGCCCGCCACCACGCCTGGCTAATTTTTGTATTTTCAGTAGAGACGGGGGTTTCACCATGTTGGTCAGGCTGGTCTCGAACTCCTGACCTCAGGTGATCCACCCGCCTCAGTCTCCCAGAGTGCTGGGATTACAGGCATAAGCCACCGCACCTGGCCTTTTTTTCCTCTTTAAATGTCACTTTTGGCCCCAATGTTCATTACAGTGTTATTCACAATAGCCAAAAGGTGGAAACAATCCAAGTGTCTATCAACAGATGAATGGATAAACAAAATGTGGTATGTACATACAATAGGATATAGTGTTCATCCTTTAAGAGAAATGAAGTTCCAATACATGCTACAACATGGACGATCCTTGAGAACATGCTAGCTGAAATAAGCCACTCACAAAGAGACAGTGTATGATTCTACTTATATGAAATATCTAGAAAAGGCATATTCATAGAGGCGGAAAGTAGATGAGAGGTGACCAAGGGCTGGGAGAAGAGAGGAATAGGGAGTTACTGCCTAAAGGTCACAAAGTCTCTGTTTAGGGTGATGGAAAAGATTTGAAAACAGATAGTGGTGAGGGCTGCACAACAATGTGAATGTAATTAACGCCACTGAATTATACACTTAAACTGCTTAAAATGGCGTATTTCATGTTACTTGTGTTTTATCACAATAAAAACTTTTCAAATCCACATAAAGTGCTTTTTGTTTTAGAAAACAGTCAGTTTTGATAATTTATACTTTTTAGAATATCTTCCATTTCATCTAGCAGCTTAATTTTTTTGGTATGAATTTATAATTTTGTCCCTTTTCTTAATTTTATTGATGTGCCTTCCCGTTTTTGTTGTTCAGTCTTTTCTAAAGCTTGTCTATTGCCCCCACTTCGGCACCCCCACACGAAACAGTTTTTGGTTTAATTGATTTAATATGCTGGGTTTTTCTCCTTTTCAATTAATTCCTCCTACTAACTATACATTTCTTTTTCAATAATTATCTTCAAGCTGCCTGTGGTTTGTTATGTGGTACTCCCACTCTCCTTTAAGCAGTTAATGATTTTAATTATTTCTTATTTTATCCTAGAGATTGAACTTTTTTTTTTGAGACAGAGTTTCACTTTGTTGCCCAGGCTAGAGTGCAATGGCATGACCTCGGCTCACTGCAACCTCTACCTCCCAAGTTCAAGCAATTCTTGTGTCTCAGCCTCCCACGTAGCTGGGATTACAGGCGCCTGCCACCATGCCTGGCTTTTTTTTTACTTTAATAGAGACAGGGTTTCACCATGTTGCCCAGGCTGGTCTCGAACTCCTGAGCTCAGGCAATCCGTCCATCTTGGCCTCCCAAAGTGCTAGGTTAATAGGCGTGAACCACCGCGCCTGGCCTTTTTTTTTTTTTTTTTTTTTTGAGATGGAGTTTCGCTCTTGTTGCCCAAGCTGGAGTGCAATGACACAATCTCGGCTCACTGCAACTTCTGCCTCCTGGGTTCAAGCAATTCTCTCGCCTCGGCCTCCTGAGTAGCTGGGATTGCAGGCACACACCACCACACCCGGCACATTTTTTGTATTTTTAGTAGAAACGGGGTTTCACCATGTTAGCCAGGCTGGTCTCGAACTCCTGACCTCCATCTGCCTGCGTCGGCCTCCCAAAGTGCTGGGATTACAGGCGTGAGCCACTGCGCCTTGCAGAGAGTAAACATTTTTTTAAAATTTAAAAGCTAATTGATTTCTTTTTTCTTTTTCTTTTTTTTTGCTACCCTTTTACTATTATTTCTGATTTTATCGCCTCATAGCCAGAGAATGAATGTATGGCCATGTACATATAATTTGTACTTTTTGAAGTATATTGAAATTTTCTTTCATTTATTACTAAATTTTTTAAAAATATATTTTTACATAGAGACAGGTCTCACTATGTTGCTCAGGCTGGTCTCCAACTCCTGGGCTAAAGCTATTCTCCTGCCTCAGCCTCCCAAAGTGCTGGGATTACAGACGTGAGACACCGCCCGGCCTATATTGAGATTTTCTATGTAGCCTAATTCATAGAGGCTACATACAGGCTCAGGAGTATTCTGAGGTCAACTGAAAAGACTGCATGTGAATATATATGTGTATATGTATGTGTAAATGTATGTGCATATGTGTGTATGTATGTATGTATATCCATTATATATACAATCTAGTTATTTATATTATTCAAATCTTCTGTGTGCATGCAGAATTAATTTTTTGTCTGTTTTGTCAATTTTTGAGAAAGGTATGTTAAAGTGTCCCACTAAGATTTTGTCAAATTTTTTTGCATATTTGCATGTATATTAAAGTTTTGTTATTACAAGGGGAAAGGCTCGTGAAAATATATTTTCTAGGCATATCGTGTCTTTTATCATTATGAAATATCTTTTCTCACTCTTATACTTTTGGTTAGAATTCTATTTTGTCTGATATTATTTTGCAAAATTTATTGTCTTTTTTAAATTTTTATTTTTTGGAGACGGAGTCTGGCTCTGTAGCCAGGCTGGAATGCAGTGGCTTGATTCTGGCTGACTGCAATCTCCACCTCCTGGATTCAAGCAATTCTCCTGCCTCAGCCTCCCAAATACCTGGTATTACAGGCATGTGACACTACACTGAGATAATTTTTTTGTATTTTTAGTTTCACCATGTTGGCCAGGATGGTCTCGATCTCCTGACCTCGTGATCTGTCTGCCTTGGCCTCCCAAAGGGCTGGGATTACAGGCGTGAGCCACTGTGCCCAGCCTGAGCCATTGCGCCTGGCCAAAACTTGTCTTTATTTATTTATTTATTTATTTATTTATTTATTTATTTAATTTGAGACAGAATCTTGCTCTGTCATCCAGGGTGGAGGGCAGTGGTGTGATCTCAGCTCACTGCAACCTCTGCCTCCTGGGTTCAAGGGATTCTCCTACCTCAGTCTCCCAAATAGCTGGGACTACAGGCATGCACCACCACGCCTGGCTAATTTATATATATATTTTTAGTAGAGACTGGGTTTCAGTATGTTGGCCAGACTGGTCGCAAACTCCTGACCTCAAGTGATCCTCCCGCCTCAGCCTCCCAAAGTGCTGAGATTACAGGCACGAGCTACTGTGCCTGGCCTCTTACTGTCTTTATTTTTTAATCTGTATAAATTTTAGTTTACGTGTGCAAATGGTTTTAAAAATCAAATACAAGATTTAAAATGGCCAGGCATAGTGGCTCACATCTGTAATCCTAGCACTTTGGGAGGCTGAAGTGGGAAGATTGCTTGAGCCACAGGAGTTTGAGACCAGGCTGGGCAACATAGGGAGAACCTGTCTTTACAAAAAATAATTTAAAAAAATTAGCCAGGCATGGTGGTGTACACCTGTAGTCCCAGCTACTCAGGAGGCTGACATGGGACGATAACTTGAGCCCAGGAGGACATCATGTCTGCAGTGAGTTATGATCTTGCTACTGCACTGGGCAACAGAGTGAAACCCTGTCTCAAAAAATAAAAAAAGGAAAAAAAAAAGAAATGTATTGCCTCAACCCAACCCCCACTCAATTTTCTCAACCTAGAGACAATCACTTATTACATTGTTTTGGATAATTGCTTCCACATTTCTAAATAATAATCTTCCACTCAGGTGTGGTGGCTCACACCTGTAATCCCAGCACTTTGGGAGGCCAAGGTGGGTGGATCACCTGAGGTCAGGAGTTTGAGACCAGCCTGGCCAACATGGTGAAACCCCTTCTCTACTAAAAAAATACAAAAAAAAAAAAACAAAAATTAGCCGAGCATGGCAGCTCGTGCCTATAATCCCAGCTCTTCAGAAGGCTGAGGCAGGAGAATCATTTGAACCTGGGATCCAGAGGTTGCAGTGAGTCGAGATGGCGCCACTGCACTGCAGCCTGGGTGACAGAGCGAGACTCCATCTCAAAATAAAAATAAATAAATAAATAAATAAATAATCTTCCCACCACTGAAATCCCTTGAATTTTCAGTTTTATATTTTCTTCATTTCCTGTTGTTGAACATTATTATTTTGTTCTCTCACATGACCCCATTGCATTTCCATTTCCATTCTCCACATCCTCCCAGAATAGTTAAAATTTTTGGTTAGATCAATATTCAATATTCATTATTACTTCTATGAAGATGTGATTCACAGCCAACTTATTTCATATACTGTGATTATATATCATTTTCAGATAGCTTTCTATTGTCTCAGGAGTTAATGGATTTCCCTCTGCTTGGATCCAAACTTCTTACAACAGCCTACGTGAGGGTAGCCTGTGGAAAAATGTCTTTATTTTACTCTTACATTTGATTGATAGTTTGGGGGTATCTGTAGATTTCTAAGTTGGAAATTATTTTCTTTTTTCTTTTCTTTCTTTTTTTTTTTTTTTAAGATGGAGTCTCGCTCTGTCGCCCAGGCTGGAGTGCAGTGGCACAATCTCGGCTCACTGCAACCTCCACCTTCCGGGTTCACGCCATTCTCCTGCCTCAGCCTCCCGAGTAGCTGGGACTACAGGCGCCCGCCACCACGCCCGACTAATTTTTTGTATTTTTGGTAGAGATGGGGTTTCGCCATGTTGGCCAGGCTGGTCTCAAACTCAAGTGATCCACCCACCTCGGCCTCCCAAAGTGCTGGGATTACAAAGTGTGAGCCACCTTGCCCAGCCCAGGAAATCATTTTCCCTGAGGATTTTGAAAGCATTGCTGGTTCTAGTCATGTTCTTGAGGCATGTTAGCCAGTCTGATCTCCACTCCTTTGTCTATGGCCTGTTTTATTTCCTGGAAGCTTTCAGTATCTTTTGTCCTGAGTGCTCTGAAATTTCACAATGAGTTGCCTTAGTAGGGGTTTATTTTCATCCACTCTGCTAGGCATTAGTGAAACGGAAAAAATTCCCTTGTCCCCCTCGCAGGGTGTGTGATGGGGGTGTGGCTTGCTTCTTGGGTGCCCCGATGCTCAAGCCCCTAGGGGTAGCATGCAGACGGGCAGGTTGTGGGGCTCCGACCCCACGGCAGTGTCTAAGGGTGAATGTTTACAGCTCCTGAGGCCCCAGTGGGCGCGTGTTACAGGGTGCTCTTTTAGTTTAGCTGTCGGTAGTCAGTTTATGTTAGTCAGCTCAATTAGACCCTCTGCCTTACCGCAAAGACAGAGGACTTTCTGTATCCCGGGGTTTCTTGCCTTGGTGTACCGGAAGAATCGGAATACACCTGGGCTTGGAGAATGAGTGCAAGGTTTTATTGTGTGGAAGTAGCTCTCAGCAGATGGGGGAGCCAGAAGGGGATGGAGTGGGAAGGTGGTTTTCCCCTGGAATCGGGCAGCTCAGTGGCCCGGAGTGTCCTCCCACCATCCCGACCAAACTCCGCGATGGCTTGCCGGCGTCTGTCGGTGTGCTCTTACGCTGATGTGTTCCTCTTGAAGTCCAGCCACTTGTGTCTTCTTCCAGCGATAAGCTTCTCTGGATGTCCAGCTGCTTGTGTCTCTGCCTGTTAGGGTCTTGGGGGTTTTATAGGCACAGGGTGGGGGCGTGTTGGGAAATGCAGCATTTGGGCAGGAAAACAGAAACAAAACTTAGGTTCGTGGGCACAGGCCCGGGGGTCCTAGCCAGGGACCATGCCTTTCCCTTCCCAGCACTTCCCTGCCCGACTCCTGTATCATCAGTTGGTACTTTCCATCTAGAAACTCATGTCTTTTATGTCTGAGAGAGCTCTTAAATTGTTGACTTGATAATTTTTGTCTCCTTTGTTTTCTCTCTGGAACTCCTGTTCCTCAGTAGCCTGCCACACTGATGCACTGATCCTCTATCACTTCTAGCCCATTTTCATCCTCTTTCTTACTCAAGTTCTTTTTTTCTTCCATGTCTTATGGAATTTTCTCAAATGTCTCTTCATTGAATTTTTTCATTAAAAATTTTTTTTCAGTTTTTTTATTTCATTGAAAAAGTTCATCGAATTTTTCATATGTGCTATTGTATTTTTAATTTCTAAGACAGCTGGCCTTCTTATCTTTTTAAATAGATGCAATTATCAGGCTGGGCGTCGTGGCTCACTTCTGCAATCCCAGCACTTTGGGAGGTCGAGGCGAGCGCATCATTTGAGCTCAGGTGTTTGAGACCAGCCTAGGCAACATGGCGAAACCCCGTCTCTACACAAAATAGAAAGAAATTAGCTGGGCATGGCCAGGCCCAGTGGCTCACGCCCGTAATCCCAGCACTTTGGGAGGCTGAGGCAGGTGGATCACAAGGTCAGGAGTTCGAGACCAACCTGGCTGATATGGTGAAACCCTGTCTCTGCTAAAAAGTACAAAAATTAGCCAGGTGTAGTGGCAGGCGCCTGTAATCCCAGCTACTCGGGAGACTGAGGCAGGAGAATCGCTTGAACCCAGGAGGCGGATGTTGCAGTGAGCCGAGATTGTGCCACTGCACTCCAGCCTGGGTGACAGAGACAAAAAAAAAAAAAAAAAAAGATTTTTCAAAATAAGGTTGTAGATTAAAAAAAGAAAGAAAGAAATTAGCTGGGCATGATGGCGTCCTCCTATACCCAGCTACTTGAAAGGCCAGAGTGGGAGGATCACTTGAGCCCAAGAGGTCGAGGCTGCAGTGAGCTGGGGTGGTAACACTGCACTCCAGCCTGGGCAACAGAGTGAGACCCTATCTCAAAAAATATACAAATAAATAAAAATAGATACTATATTTTACCTCTTCGAAAATAATGTTTTGTTTTGCTTTCAAAATTTCTTGCGTTTCTGCATCATTTCTGGTTCCTCAATTTTATTTTCTCTTTTGTTAGTTTTTTGTTTTGATTTGTGCTTTTATTTGTGTATTTATTTATTTTGAGACGGGGTCTCACTCTGTTGCCCAGGCTGGAGTACAGTGGCCTGATCATAGCTCACTGCAGCCTCACTGCTCAAGCGATCCTCCCACCTCAGCCTCCCATGTAGTTAGGACTACAGGTGTGTGCCACCATCCTGGCTATTTTTTGTAGAGATGGGGTCTTGCCATGTTGCCCAGCCTGGTCTTGAGCTCCTGGGCTCAAGTGATCCTCCTGCCAGGGCCTCCCAAAGTACTGGGACTACAAGTGTAAGCCACTGGGCCTGGCCGATTTTTGCTTTTATGTGGAAAGTTTCCTTAACTAACTCAATCCTTAGATGATAATTTTATTCACAGTTAGAAGTGAGTCACTTAAAGCATATAGGGGGAAAAAAGCTTAATGGAAGCTCTCTATGAGTGGGTGTGGCTTATTTCCTAGTGGAATTACTATGAGATCTGTCTGGGCAGTGTAGTTGGGGGACCCCAACCATCAATATTTGAAGGTCTTTTCTTAGGCTAATCATGCCTGAGAAGGAGTGGTCTCCAATGCCTGAGACTAATAGAGCAGACTACCAGTATTCTTGGAGCCCAGTGGAGGAAGGGGACTAGAGGTCTCACATTCCATAGTATAAAGCATTTCTCTTAACTCTATTGTATTCAGTATGGGCCCTCATTCCTCGCCTAAGCCCTAAGTCCAGTGTCACTCTAGTTCATTCTCTCTAGTCTTCCATGGAGACAGAGTTAGAGATCTGACTGCATCCTATGTGGACTTTCAATCAATAATCCCATTTCCAGCCTCACAGTAACTTCATCCTCTTTATTCAGAGTGGTGCCTCCCATTCTTGAGATTTTCTGGTGGTTTGTGGCACAAAGCTGCCTACTTCTGGGTTTCAAACAGGCATTAGCCTTTTCTGGTTATTTAGTTATTAAATTAATAATTTAATAATTATTAATTATTATCTAACTGCTATCCTTTTGCTAAGATGTTGTTGCATCTCTTTGTCCTTATAAGCTTATGCGTATTAAAAAATTCCTTTACTGTATCATTAGTGGGTTTTCAAGTAGGAGTGGGAGCATCTTTAATTCATAATGTTTAATTCCATGGTTTTATTTTATTTTATTTTTTGAGATAGGATCTCCCTCTGTCACCCAGGCTGGAGTGCAGTGGTACGATCATAGCTCATTGCAGCTTCAAACTCCTGGGCTCAGGTGATCCTCATGCCTCAACCTCCTGAGTAGCTAGGACTGCAGGCATGCACCAGCATGCCCAGCTTATTTTTAAATTTTTTTGTAGGGAGGGTCTCACTATATTGCCCAGGCTATTTTCTGTGGAAGAGGTCTTGCTATGTTGCCTGAGCTGTTTTGTTTATGCAGAAACATAAGAAATTTTGAAAGCAAAACAAAACTCATGGCTTTAAGCAATCCTCCCTCCTTGGCCTCCCAAAATGTTGGGATTGCAAGTGGGAGCCACCACACCTGACCTCTTTGTTTGTTTTCATTAGTATTTTCTTGTTCTATCTTTATTTGTTCTTGCATTTTCACACTTTAAACCTGTCATTTTTTTTCAGGTATCTCTTTATAGTAACAGTAATAGCCAACATTAAGCACTATTCACCAGTCACTTTTCATGCAATCCTTGTATGGTATTGTCCATATAGTAGAGTACAGGTACTTATTTATTAATTTATTATTTATTATTATTATTTATATTTTATATATATACATATATATATATTTTTTGAGATGGAGTCTCGCTCTGTCGCCCAGGCTGGAGTGCAGTGGCACAGTCTCGGCTCACTGCAAGCTCTGCCTCCCGGGTTCACGCCATTCTGCCTCAGCCTCCCCAGCAGCTGGGACTATAGGCTCCTGCCGCCACACCCGGCTAATTTTTGTATTTTTAGCAGAGACGGGGTTTCTCTGTTAGCCAGGATGGTCTCGATCTCCTGACCTTGTGATCTGCCCGCCTCGGCCTCCCAAAGTGCTGGGTTTACAGACGTGAGCCACCGCGCCCGGCCAAACTTGTATTATATATTATATATATTAATATTATTATTTATTAATCACGGTAACTCTATTCAGTAGGTAGCAGATACTATTCATATGCTCACTTTACATATACCTAATAGGTGGAGGACCCAGGATGGAAATCCAGAGCCTGTAGTGCTATACTAATCACTGTACTACTAGTAATGGCATCTAGATTTTTTAATTCATTAGAGTCTTTGTTCTTTAACAGGGGAATTTCAGGTCATCATGTTTATTGGGATAACTAATATGGATGAATGTATTCTTACTATCTGGGGTAAATTGTATTATTACTAGCAAATATTCACTCTCTTTTCCATCTAAGACAGGGTTATACTTCGGTGCCTCTCTGATGATGGGCTTGGACATGTGCTTTCCTTTAGCCAGTGGAGTGTGGGTAGCCTCTCTCTCCTTGCCCCTCTGCCATGAAAATAAGCATGTCTCGGTGGCTCACGCCGGTAATCCCAGCACTTTGGGAGGCTGGGTGGGCGGATCACGAGGTCAGGAGATTGAGACTATCCTGGCTAACACAGTGAAACTCCATCTCTACTAAAAATACGAAAAATTAGCCGGGCGTGGTGGCGGGCCTCTGTAGTCCCAGCTACTCAGGAGGTTGAGCCAAGAGAATGGCGTGAACCCGGGAGGCGGAGCTTATAGTGAGCGGAGATTGCGCCACTGCACTCCAGTCTGGGCGACAGAGGGAAACTCCGTCTCAAAAAAAAAAAAAAAAGAAAGAAAGAAAATAAGTATGCCTCAGATAAGGGTGCTCTATCATTACAAGTCCTAGATTGAGAAAATACATGGAACAGACCCACATCCTGAGGCAGTGACATAGTCAACTCATGACCATCAAGTGATGTGAGCTGGAAATAAATTTTTACCATCCTAGCTGCTTATTGATATTTTTGAATTTTTGGTACTATAAGAAACTTAATATGTCATTTTGTATCTTCCAGTTACCATTCTTTTTTGTTATAGTTATTTTTCTTTTTCTATCCTTGTTGAATTGATGACATTTCCTTTATTCCATTTTCTTTCTTTCCTTCTTTAATTTGGCAGGTATTTATATTAGTCTGTTCTTGCATTGCTATAAAGAACTACCTGAGACTGAGTAATTTATAAAGAAAAGAGGTTTCATTGACTCAGAGTTCTGCAGGTTATACGGGAAGCATGGCTGAGGAGGCCCTCAGGAAACTTAGAATCGTGGCAGAAGGTGAAGGGGAAGCAGGCATATCTTACGTGGCTGGAGAAGGAGGAAAAGAGAGCACAGATGGGAAGGTGCTACACACTTTGAAAAAACAACCAACCAACCAAACAAAAAACAACCAGATCTTGTGAGAACTCACTCACTATCATGAGAACAGCAAGGGAGAAATCAGCCCCCATGATCCAGTCACCTCTCACCAGGCCCCTCATCCAACACTGGGGATTACAACTCGACATGAAATTTTGGCGGAGACACAAATCTAAATCATATCATTATTTATTCTATTTCCAATTTTCTAGCAATTACCCTCAAATTAGTAACAATATAATTATTATTAAACAGATTTAAACTTACATATTTTTTGAAACAGAATAAATCAGTGTCTATATCTTGAAAAAGACAAGGCAGATTTACCCCAAATTTACCACCCCCATGTTGAAAACAGTTGGAATTTAACTCCAGAGTATTAAGAAAATTATATTCCATTATCCACCAACAATTATTTAAACTTTTGTTTTTCTGGCCTTCTTGTTCACTCTTTTCTCTTGCATCCCTTGTCTTCTAATTTCTACGATAATTTGTTTTCTTTTGCTGAAATACATTCTGGAATATTATCTTGTAAAAGCCCTGTGGGATGTAAACTTTAAAAATCTTTAATGTCCAAAAATGTCGTTTTTTTACATTAAAAAACTTCATTTGCAGCTGAGTTTAACAACGTGACATAAGAAAAGCATTGTAGGCCGGGCGCAGTGGCTCACGCCTGTAATCCCAGCACTTTGGGAGGCCGAGGCAGGTGGATCACGAGGTCAGGAGATCGAGACCATCCTGGCTAACACGGTGAAACCCCGTCCCTACTAAAAATACAAAAAATTAGCCAGGCGTGGTGGCGGGCGCCTGTAGTCCCAGCTACTCAGGAGGCTGAGGCAGGAGAATGGCGTGAACCCGGGAGGCGGAGCTTGCAGTGAGCCTAGATCGTGCCACTGCACTCCAGCCTGGGCGACAGAGTGAGACTCTGTCTCAAAAAAAAAAAAAAAATAAATAAATAAGAAAAGCATTGTATATTGCAAAACTTCTAACTGACTCTGCCAGTTAAAATAGCTGTTTATAAAACCACACTAGCATGCCTCAGACACAGGTAATGTGGTTCACCAAAAGTTATAAAGAAATAGAAAAATTGGAGTAAGGAAGAGAAGATTTTAGTTTCTGTTTTTACAGAAGCATTAAGAACATTTGAATGCCAATGACCTGGAAAACAGAAAATGAAAGAAGCTTTTCTTCTTACTGCTGGCTGAAGAGACCTTTCTAAATTTCAGGGCATTAAAATAATATATGTGCTACCTACCACAGGAAGTTGTTTAAAGTAAAGGTTTACTTTTTGTGCATTTACATTACTCTGAAAGACGTCAGGACAGAGCTATTAAAGAAAGTGACATACTCCTATTATGTTGGATTTATCAGATTAACTAGATTTTTATACACATGAACAATATGTGCCAAATTTAAATGCATGCTAATTACTAAGGGTGATTACTCAGTTACCCTAACTAAGTGGGTTCACTAAAAGTTCAAACTGAACAGTGAAACCAGGCCGTTTCATAAAGATATCTTTATTTTGACCTCCCACTTGAATGTTACTTTGGCTGGGTATAAAATTTGAAGTTCAAAGTAACTTCCACTCAGAATTTTGAAGTTAATTTTTCCTTTTTTCTCCCTTATGCTGATCTACTGTTTCCATGCTGATCTGATTATCCTTTCTTTCTAGATAACCTGGTTGTTGGTCGGGGGGGGGGGGGTTTGTCTTTTGGAAGTTTTAAGTATTTCTCTATAGCCTTGGAGCTTTAAAAATTTAAGATGACACTTCTGGATTATTTTTCTTTTTTTCTTGCTCAACACGTAGTAGACTCTTAAATCTGAAAATGTATATTTTCCATCAGTTCTGAAAAATTTGCAATTATTTATTTGAATAATTCTTCCCCTCTTTTTTCTCTGTTATCTTTAGAAAGCTTATAGGAAAAATGTCCAATTACCTGTCTTCCATGTCATTTACTTTCTATCTCATAATTGTCATTACTTTATATTTTAGTGCTATATTTAGGGAGAATTTCTTGGGTCAATCTTACACTTTTACTGAATCCATCCTTCCATTCAGCCCAATTATGTAAGTTTTTATTTCATCAATCATTAACCCATTTATGCCTGAGGTTGCAATTTTTTTGAATTTTTGCAATCAAAAAACAACCTTGAGCAGTAGGATATAAATAATTCCCACATGCTTAGCGTTCCAATAATGGAACACTAGGCATAAATGGGTTTTAATAGGTATTGGAACTAGGATTCAAATCTAGAACCCATGCTATTAAACACTATGCTGCTAGTATATGGTATCAAGACTTTTTTTCTTTAAGCCAATTAGAGTCTTTGTCTTCTAATGGAGGAATTTTAACCTGCCTACATTATGGGATAATGGATATGTATGAATGTACTCTTACCATCTTGATATCAGGATATGAAAACCTTTTAATTTTCTCTAAGGGTATCACTTATACTTTATTTTTTTCTTTCCTTTTCAGGTTATTTCCTTTTTAAGGTTTTTTTTTTTTTCAGTTTGATGATTTTGATGCCTTTCTTTTCTCAGTGTTGCTTTTCCACAAATACTAGGCTAATCTTGGCTATCTGTGTTCATATTTGAGATTCTTCTTCACCTATCACTAATTTTTTTTTTTTTTAAGACGGAGTCTTGCTCTGTTGCCCAGGCTGGAGTGCAGTGGTATGATCTCGGCCCACTGCAACCTCCGCCTCCCAGGTTCAAGTGATTCTCCCACCTCAGCCTCCCGAGTAGCTGGGACTACAGGCGCCCGCCACCACACCCAACTAATTTTTGGTATTTTTACTAGAGACGGGGCTTCACCATGTTGGCCAGGCTGGTCTTGAACTCCTGACCTGGTGATCCACCTGCCTCAGCCTCCCAAAGTGCTGGGATTAAGGCATGAGCCATCACACTCAGCCTCACTGAATGTTTTAATAAGAACAGTGTGTCTCCTTCTGGCTGTAGGGAAGGATTAGGATTTGGGATTAGGTTGGCACGGGTGGCTTCCCTTCAGAGTCTCCCTCCCTTCTGCAGTTTGTTACTTCCCTGGAGCCCTGAGCCCATTACTCATTCTGTGGGTCTCTTGTGTGGGACTCTTAGGAGGGTCCCCCACTTAGGAGAAGCATTTCTTTCTTTTTTTTTTAGGGATGGATCTCACTCCTTCACCCAGGATGGAGTAGCGTGGTGTGATCTCAGCTCACGGCAACCTCCGCCTCCCAGGTTCAAGTGATTCTCCTGCCTCAGCTTCTCAAGTAGCTGGGACTACAGGCCTGTGCCACCACATCCAGCTAATTTTTGAATTTTTTAGTACAGATGGGGTTTCTCTATATGTGGGCCAGGCTGGTCCCGAACTCCTGTCCTCAGGTGATCCGCCTGCTTCGGCTTCCCAAAGTGCTGGCATTATAGGCGTGAGCCACCACGCCTGGCCAGGAGAAGCATTCCTGTACTTTGGAAGCAAACACTGAATCAACTCTTTCCATCCCTTTCTTCTGTCCTCCAATGTCCCTTTGAAGGTCTGGAGATACTTCAGAGTCCATCTGTACCTTTCTTTAACCCCAACATGGTAACTATTTCTCTTTTGAAAGCAGCTTAAAGGGTTTTAACTTGGGGACACACACTGCTGTCACCACTGGATATGCACTGGAAAAGCAGGGTAAGGGAAAGGACTGTTTCCAAATACACCTAACTAATTACCCCGAAAATTGCTTGAAAGTCCAGGCCTGTTCTTTGTAATCACATATGATGAGTGTAGAGAAAGTTACAGTCGCTCTTGTGGCTCTGAATTTCAAGCAGGATTTTTCTTGTTCTTGTTTTGCCTCGATTTCAGGCCTGTTTGTCTTCTACGAATTCCTCAAATTTCTGGACCATGGAAGCTTCTTTCTTGAATATTCTGTTTTGTTTTTCTGTTTAATTATTTCTTTAATGGAGGGAGAGGCATGTCTTCAGTTCTTCAGTTAGCCAACTTGATTCAGCAGTCTCTACTTTATCCTTAAACACATCATTTGTCTCAAAAACAAAGTGGGGAAAGAGGGTATATTTGTGGGTAAATTGCTCCCTCACCGCCGCTCCTGACAAGCTTAGCTGAGGGAGCTTTATCATCAGTCTCACAGCCTACACCCCAGGTAGACAGTGGTGCTTGGCCAAACCAATTAACTCCCTTTCCTGAGTTCTTCGTATGCCTTGCTCTTCATGTTAGTTTCACCTTTTCACTTGCCCTCCTCCCCGAACCCACCTTTTCCTTCACTCAGGTGTGCACAGCTGTCAAGTAGTCTACTTTGTCCTGTGCTGAAAATCTTCTAAGAAATTAATCTGCATTAAAATGTTAGGAATTGAATATACTTTTCTTATCAGTGATATGTATACTTTGAAGGATGGTGAATGAAGGAAAGTAACACTCACCTTAAGGGGTAAATTGGTAATAACGGCATTTCAGATATTTCAGAGGGAGAGGTCTTCAATATCAATTTCAGACAGCTGTCACTTTACCTATTCATAAAGATAGGCTTGCCTTCTACAAACGGGAACCTTCAGCAGCTCTGGTCAAGGCTGCAATGACAACTGCTGACAGTCATTTTCTTTTCCTCCTTAGTCCTTTGCAATCAATGATGATGAGGCTAGTTTGAAAAAAAATTCAGTATAGCCCCCTAGATATTTGTTGGGGGTGGCCTCTTGTGTAGTTATAAATGGCACCTTTGGGAGGGTACAAGCCATGGTGAAGGTGTGCAAAGGAGGAATTTCACTTACATGTCAATGTCTTCAGACTTTTGTCCAGAAATGGCACAAAGATACCAGTTTCCACATGCATCTCTCCCTCCTTTGTGATCTGCCATCATAGTAATTTGCCTAGTTTCCAGGAAGGAGGTAATTCCACTCTATACACCTGTGGCCGGGAGGATTAGTCAACACTGAAGTGATCAACCTACCAAGTAAGTGTCAAGTCAATGAGGTGTGCAACAGAAAACAGGCTAATTGGTTCTGGTAATTCTTAATTACAAGATCCTCCTTACACTGGGAGGAAAGTACCTTAACGTCTTGTCCAGATTCCACACCTCTCCTGCCACTTTGGGTTTTTAACAACTCACTTCCATATTTAAGCCTATCCTATTCATTGTGAAACTTCTTTCTTCAGCTCATCAAAGCTTTGTTCATCTTCACTCCCCAGTATAAATGAAAACTCATGTTTCACAGGGTAATATGTAAATGCACCTTCTGTATCACCCAAGTTAAAATGTTGTTTTGGGGCACAGTGATCTTAAAATACCTACTAATATTCAAGCAGATGCCGATACACCCTCGGCAGACATATGTCATCTGCCATCATTTATTATAGGGTAAAAGTGTGCCATGGTTGCCCAAGACAGTTTATGCTAGTTGTCCTGACACTGTATCTGGTTTAGCTTTTTTTTTAATCTGGATTTTTAATTTTTATTTATTAATTTATTTTTAGACGGAGTTTTGCTCCTGTTGTCCAGGCTGGAGTGCAATGGTGTGATCTTGGCTCACCGCAACCTCTGCCTCCCAGGTTCCAGTGATTCTCCTGCCTCAGCCTCCCAAGTAGCTGTGATTACAGGCATGCGCCACCATGCCTGGCTAATTTTGTATTTTTAGTAGAGATGGGGTTTCTCCGTGTTGGTCAGGCTGGTCTCGAACTCCCTACCTCGGGTGATCTGCCCGCCTCTGCCTCCCAAAGTGCTGGGATTACAGGCGTGAGCCACCATGCCTGACCAATTTTTTCAACTAATGTTATTAAGCCAGATGGGTTTGATATCACTCCAACCTTGTATTTCCAGCTTCTGTTGAAAGTATGTGAGACCCATGTTGTGAACAGAGGCCTCACCTTAACATATGATTGAATCTGGAAATAACCCTTTTCAGACTCACTGTATTTAACACCTCCCTTTCAAGGATGGCTTGCAAGCATGCTTGCTGACAAAACAAAGTGCTCAGAGAAGGAACGCCTTGGGACAGCTAATTTATTCTGGTCTTGGGGATAATGGGAGAAATATTTTATGTTCTTGTCTTGCCAGCCACTTTTTGTACCAGCCAGTTAGGCTGAAGCCCACAGTGATCTCTGAGGTGTAATTGTCAGGGTCATTGGGAAATATGGAAAATTATAGGAAAGATGCATGTAAAACATGAACAGGAGATAGGTGAGCAGTCTCCCATAGAGCGTTTAGAAAGTGGTCTGAACACTCTTGCTACAGTGGACTTGTACTATACGGTACAGTATAAATCCATAACTATTTATTTTGAGAAATTCAATGAGTATTTGCATTGCATTTTGGAGGAATGAGGTTTAAAAATTGCATGTTTAGTAAGAAATTAAATATCAAATTTCCATTTTTCATTCATGTTAATGATGAACTTATAACCTTGCACAAAATATTTGCTGACATCAACCAACCCCCATGGGGACCTTAATGATTTCACTGATCGAATGCAAACCGAAAGACACATGTCTGCCGAGGACGCATGAGCATCTACTTGAATATTAGTAGGTATTTTAAGATCACTGTGCCCCAAAACAATATTTTAACTTGGGTGATACAGAATGTGCATTTACATATTACCCTGTGAAACATGAGTTTTCATTTATATCAAATGGTTGTTCTTCTAAATTTATTTTATGAGTGAAAAATGAAAAGATAACTGTTAATACATTGGATCAATCAAAAGAAGAAATCTGAAAAGATTTTTAAATGATGCCAGTTTGCATTTGCAAATGACACTTCAAATAGAAAATTAGCTAATTCTAGTAATGATTATTTTTCCCTTCCAACCAAGTCAAGAAATGAAAATATGGCATTTGGAAGTTCATTATGTCGCGAGTGAAACACTTGACATTGTTAATGCTACTTTAATTCAATTTGACTGGTGAACCCAGGCCATTTGTAGGATATCCCACATTTCTTCATGTTGTCATTTAACTTGTTCCTCTGTTCCCTGTATTTCTTGTAAATAGGAGTTTCAGTCTTGACAAGGCTTGATTACTTCTTATTAAGTGTTTTTGTCAAGAAGACCTCAATCTCTTTATTTTATTGGCCAAGAAACAGGCCAAAACAGGAATTTGGAAGCAGGCTTATGTATATGGCATTTGGTTTTGAGTCAGAAGGTCTGAGTTGAAAACAAGCTTTACCCTAACATCTAGACAATTTGCTTTACTACTTTCAAGCTTATTTTCCTCTGTAAAGAGGAAGTGTCAGAACAGATGGTCCCTAGTGTGTTTCTGATTGAAGGTTACATGTCCATTTTCACATAATTAGTTTGGTGAGCTTGGACATGACAACTCTAATCTACACTCCCCTAATTCACAGTGCTTTTGACTTTATCATGTATATATATACACACACACACACACGTGTATTTATATATGGTATACATATTTATAATATATATTTGCATATGGTATATATTTATATATGGTGTGTGTGTGTATATATGTGTGTGTGTGTGTGTATATATATATATATGTGTATATATATATATCTTTGAGACAGGCTCTTGCTCTGTCACCCTTCAGCCTTAACTCCCTGGCTCAAAGTGATCCTCCCACCTCAGCCTCCTGAGTAGCTAGAACTACAAAAGTGTACCACCACCACACCTGGCAAATTAAAAGAAATTTTTTTTTGTAGAGATGAGGTCTCACTATGTTGCCCAGGCTGACTTTTGATCCCCATCAAATACTTTTGACCTTACTGATTCCCATCAAACACTTAGCAGTGTTTGTTTGTTTGTCTGTTTTAACTGAGGTATGACACAGTAATATGCGCTAATCTAAGTGTACACCATGATAAATTTTTGCATTCGTATATCAGCATGTAACCCACCAGGCAGATTAAGTTATAGAATACATTAGCAGTGACAGACTAACCTAGTGGTTTTACTACTACCAAGTTTAGAATGAGTAAGCAGCCCACTGTAGTATGACCTGATACATAAAATGCGAGAAAGATGCAGAGTTCTACCACAGTTTTGAGTTAGAAGTCAGAATAATAGATTTGCTATACTATCTTTTCATGTGCTTTCTGGAGCCATGTATATAGAAACACCATGACAAAATAGATTTTAATGTTAATTAAACATGCTTTATTATATGCAAATTAAAAAAATATTAAGTCCCCTGTGTTAGCATACTTTATTACTCACCTCCCCGCCCCCCATCAGAATCAGTGTCAGGGTTCGATATGTTGTCCTCCTCTCTTGGGTGCTGACCACAGTCACTTTGGGCTTTTTGTTTGTCTATTTGCTCTAAGATGGAGTCTCACTCTGTCACCCAGGCTGGAGGGCAATGGCGCCATCTTGGCTCACTGCAACCTCTGCCTCCCGGGTTCAAGCGATTCTCCTGCCTCAGCCCCCTGAGCAGCTGGGATTACAGGCGTGCACCACCACGCCTGTGTCATTTTTGTATTTTTAGTGGAGACAGGGTTTCGCCATGTTGGCCAGACTGGTCTCGAACTCTTGACCTCAAGTGATTCTCCCACCTCGGCCTCCCAGAGTGCTGAGATTATAGGCATGAGTCACTGGCACCCAGCCTGACCACAGTTACTTTGGATGCAGAAGCAACCAATCCCAAAAAGCAGCCAAGTCCATGAGAGACTATGGCTACAAATCACTTTTTTTACAGATTGTCTCATGCTTCTTATTTCTGACCTGCTTTAATACTATGTAAGAAAAGCAGGTATTTGGTAGTTTAAATCATGTGTGTGCATAATATATTGACCACATCTGAAGTGAATAGGTACATCTGGAAATCTAAGGTTTTTGTTTTCTCTACATTTAACGAACATAAGTGCACACCACACACCAAGATCCCTGCCTTGTTTCAACATTACAAAATGGCACACAGAATCGTGCTAGGGGTTGAGCCTTGTTTGCCTTTGTTGGAGCCAACAAACTGGGCATTGTCTTTGCACAGCCAGTCAGAGCTGTAAATAGTTGTCAAGAATGTGTAACCAGACATATAATTACCAAGAGTGCCCTTTTTCAGACCCCATTTCAACTAAGTGCATTCCCCTCATTTCTCATATTTGCCAGGCTTGTCGGTTTCTCAAGATTGCAAGCCCAAAGGCTTGAGACCCTCTATATCTTAGACAGCATCTATTGTGTGGTTGGAATTCAGCAAATGTTGAAAAATAGAGATAATTACTCATAAAGCAAGTTCAAGCGTTCCTTGATATAATGCCCAGTATTTATTTCCACTTGTTGAGGGGGAGAATCTTTGACACAGGGACTTTTTTCCTTGAGGAAAGACAGACAGCCTTATGCAGGAGAGTGGAACAGGGTCTGGGCTTCTCTGCATAGGCTGGTGTGACCTCACTTAAATCTGAAATCTCTCTCAGCAAAATACCAGTGGTTGTAAAGCTGCATCATTCCAGCGCTGTGATCAGAGGAAACAGTGGGCAGGAAAACCCTTTGTTTTCCTAGGAACTGCCTTTTCATCTTCTGGCTTTCCTACTGCTGTGGTTCTCCATGCTTCTCAGGGACCACTGAACTTACAGCCTTGAGTGGGCAGGCAGTGCAGAGCCCTGATGTTACATCCTCTGTTCCAGGTCTTCTCTGACAGACCTAGGGTCTTTCTTGGATCCCACAGAAAGACAGCAGGTGGCTGCCCATGAGGTATGTCTTGAGAAGTGACCATGTTCTACATTCCCCATGGTATCTCCCTCGAGAGCCTGTATTAGAACCTGAAGTCCCCTCACCTTTAAACTGCTCTTCAGGTCGGGCGTGGTGGCTCATGCCTGTAATCCTAGCACTTTGGGAGGCCATGTCAGGCAGATCACTTGAGGTCAGGAGTTCAAGACCAGCCTGGCCAACATGGCAACACCCGCTCTCTACTAAAAATACAAAAAAAAATTAGCCGGGCATGTTGGTGCGTGCCTGTAGTCCCAGCTACTTAGGAGACTGAGGCAGGAGAATCGCTTGAACCAGGGAGGTGGAGGTTACAGTGAGCTGAGATCAGCCACTGCATTCCAGCCTGGGTGACAGAGTGAGACTCTGTCTCAAAAAAAAAAAAAAACAAAAAAACAAAAAAACACCAAAAACTGAAAAAACAAAACTCCTCCTCTTATAACTTGGCAGAGCCTTTTTGGAGGGAGTTTGACAAAATGTTCCAAGAACCTAACAAATATTCATAGCCTTTTTGTTTGTTTTTGGTTTTTTGTTTTGTTTTGCTTCATTGTGTTTTGAGACAGAGTCTTGCTCTGTCACCCAGGCTGGAGTATAGTGGCCAATCTCGGCTCACTGCAACCTCTGCCTCCCAGGTTCAAGTGATCCTCCTGCCTCAGCCTCCCAAGTAGCTGGGACTACAGGCATGCACCACCATGCCCAGCTACTTTTTGTATTTTTAATGGAGACGGGATTTCACCATGTTGACCAGGCTGGTCTTGAACTCCTGACCTCAGGTGATCCATCTGCCTTGGCCTCCCAAAGTTCTGAGATTACAGGAGTGAGCCACCACGCCCAGCCTCCTAGTCTCTGAATCTGCCATTCCTTGTCAATAATTTGCTTAGGGAAATTACTAGCATGTGTGGTATTTAAAATAGTGACTGATGAGAAACAACCTAACTACCCAAAACCACAGAAATGGTGAAATAAATTACATTACAGTCAATACGGCCATTAAAAATTAGGTTGTAACATGGTATTTAATGATGTGAGAATGTTAGCAATATATGAAGTCAAAAGAAGCGGGTTACCAAACAGTACAATTCCGATTACATTTATAAATAATTAAACCTAACATGCTTAGGAAAAAGAACAAAGAAAATGTGTTAGATGTTAATGATTGTTGGTGAATTTTATTTTTTACTTTATACTTTTCTGTATTTTCTTCAATGAATATGTTATTTTTGAATATATATATATTTTAAATAATGGGTCTTGCTACATTGTCCAGGCTGGCCTCAAACTCCTGGGCTGAAAAATATGCCTGCCTCAGCCTTCTGAATAGCTGGGATTACAGGCGTGAGCCCTCATGCCCAGCAAATATGTGTTATTTTTATAATGAGAAAAAACTTCATAAAGTTCCCCTTTTGCATTCTTTGTGTCAAGGAACTGGATCTTCCAAGGCTTGGTTAAGATGCATAAGTTGGCCAGGTGTGGTGGTTCATGCCTGTAATCCCAGCACTTTGGGAGGCCAAGGCAGGCAGATCACTTGAGGCCAGGAGTTTGAGACCAGCCTGGCTGAATGGTGAAACCCCGCCTCTACTTAAAATACAAAAATTAGCCAGGTATGGTGGTACATGCCCATAATCCCAGCTACTTGGGAGGCTGAGACATGAGAATCACTTGAACCCGGGAGATGGAGGTTGCAGTGAGCCAAGATGGTGCCACTGCACTCCAGCCTGGACAACAGAGTGAGACTGTCTAAAAAAAAAAAACAACAAAACGTAAGTTACCTGAAACTTAGAGGTCAAAACCATGAGTTGTCCAGATTAGTCTGGTTTTTAATCCTAGATTTGCTATTTTCCAAAAGTGCAATCATGGGCAAGTTACTCAATGTCCTTAAGTCTTGGTTTTCTCCTCCATGAAATAGGGATGATGGAAGTGTTTGTTACACAGAGCAGTGGGAGGATTAAATGAATAGTGCAGGAAAAGTGCTGTGTAGAGTGGCTGGCACCTGATAAATGGGGACTGCTAGTAATAGTAATAGTAGTGCTGGGAGAGCTACCACACTCTGCTGCCAACTATCCATGCCACATCAGCACGAGTAGTTTAATTTATGTGAGTTAATTTCTGGCCGCCTTCTTGTAGGACAGACAAGAGGAGTTGGGAGTCCAAGAGGCTGAGGTCCCAGGAGACTCAGAGCTGGTGGGCACACACTCCCCAGCTGGTTGGGTCAGCCCTGCCCATGTCCTGTGCACCGAGTGGGGAGAAGTGATATTCTTATCTCCTAGCAAAATTCACACAAGGAAAAACTGCCCCACTTTAACTTTTCTGTCGTGTAATGTTCAGAATAGCTAAATACCAGCTGCTGGGAGAACAACAAATTCTAATTTCCTGGCTTATATGTAGTAAGGTTTCATTGTATTGGCATAGCTTTGCCAGTTTAAGGAATTTAATTTCCTTAGCTTTTTAAACACAAAGCACTCCGAACAAGAAAAATGGAAATAAAAGGGTATAACTGCACAATGGAATACACATACCAATTTGAAGATGTCATTGACATTCTCATAATTACTCATTAAAATAAAAGCATGCAGGCCGGGCACGGTAGCTCACACCTCTAATCCCAGCACTTTGGAAGGCTGAGGCGGGGGACCACCTGAGGTCAGGAGTTCGAGACCGGCCTGGCCAAGATGGTGAAACCCTGTTTCTATTAGAAATACAAAAATTGGCTGGGCATGGTGGCATGCGCCTGTAGTCCCAACTACTCAGGAGGTTGAGGCAGGAGGATCGCTTGAATCCGGGAGGTGGAGGTTGCAGTGAGCCAAGATTGCACCGCTTCACTGCAGCCTGGGTGACAGAGGGAGACTCTGTCTAAAAAATAAGTAAATAAATAAATAAAGAAATAATAAATAAATGCATATAACAAGAGAAATAAATATTTTTACTTTCAAAGGCAAGCAGCAGCAATATAACCATATTTAGGGAATATAAACTCATGCTTGCTTTATCCAAGTCATGCCATAGTTCCTTATTTATATTTTTATGTCAAGCAATTCTGTCAAATTTAGCAAAAGACATGATTATTACAAAAAATTAAATAAACATCCTTAGATCTCAATATAAAAAAGAAAATTATTTCTAGCACGGCAGTAGAAAAAGTCACCAAAAAAAAGTTCAAAGCCAGTAAGACACTATTTTAAAACATTAGCTAATTCAAAAATATCCCCACCAAACTGGATATTACTCGATGCTGAAAAAATATTCCTTTTGGCAAAATCAACTTCTATTTCTACCTTAGTTTTCTTCCTTCTTTTTTCCCTATTAGTCTCTGCCCTGTCATCTGTTATATGTATGTAAAAAGGTCTAAGAAATTTTTTTACAACCTAATATTTAAATATTATTATTATTATTTAGAGACAGGGTCTCACTCTGTCACCCAGGCTGGAGTACAGTGGCAAAATCATAGCTCACTGCTGCTTCCAACTCCTGGGTTTAGCCTCCTGGGTAGTTGGGACTACAGGTGCAGGCCACCATGCCCAGCTATTTTTTTTTTTTTACTTTTTGTAGCAACAGGGTCTCGCTATGGTGCTCAGGCTGGTCTTGAACTCCTGGCCTCAAGTGATCCTCCTGCCTCAGACTCCCAAAGTACTGGGATTACAAGCATGAGCCACCCTGACTGGGCCAAAGATATTCCTTATAGTGATTCACAAATTGTAGTTACTTGTTTTGTTTGTTTGTTTTTTGAGAGGGAGTCTCACTCTGTTGCCCAGGCTGGAGTGCAGTGGCGTGATCTTGGCTTACTACAACCTCCACCTCCCAGGTTCACACAATTCTCCTGCCTCAGCCTCCCGAGTAACTGGGATTATAGGTACCCATCACCACGCCCAACTAATTTTTGTACTTTAGTAGAGATGGGGTTTTGCCATGTTGGCCAGGTTGGTCTCGAACTCCTGACCTCAGGTGATCAGCCTGCCTCAGTGGCCTCCCAAAGTGCTAGGATTACAGGCATGAGCCACCGCACCTAGCCTTGTAGTTACTTGTTTAAAAGTCAATCTATTTGAAAACTATGGTACAGATGAAAGTAACTTGATTGTTAGAAGAGAGTTTTGTCAGATTTATCTTGATAGATTAAAACAGTGCTATGAACTTGGTATGTGCCTAATTACAATAGTCCCCCCTTATTCACGCTTTCGCTTTCAGTGGTTTCAGGTACCTGTGGTCAACTATGGTCTGAAAATAAGTGACTACTGCACAATAACAATTCTGAGAGAAAGGGAGAGCCATATTCACATAACTTAATGAACATGGTCTCTCCCACATTCCGGAGCAAGAGAGAGTGAGAATAGGGGAGAGGTGCCACACACTTTTAAAGGACCAGATCTTGCAAGAACTCACTCACTATCGTGAAGACAGCACCAAGCCATGAGGAATCTGCCCCCATGACCCAAACACAGCATATTATTATAATAGTTCTATTTTTAGTTATTGCTGCTAATCTCTTACTGTGCCTAATTTATACACTAAACTTTATCACAGGTATGTATGTATAGGAAAAAACATAGTATATTTAGGATTCGCTACTATCTTTGGTTTCAGGAGTCCCCATGTGTCTTAGAACATATCCCCTGGAAACAAAGCGGGAGACTACTATAAATACATGTTAGACAATGAGAGGGGTGGCTAGAGAGAAAGTGAGGGGTCACAGCAAAAACTACCCAAAGCACCACTTTCCTAAACCACCCATGTGCTAAAGTATGGAAATCATCACATTAGGGTGAGAAAGAATAAGGGTCTTCAATTGCCGCATGAAACATCAAAATCTGCCAGGTGCGGTGGCTCACCCCTATAATCCCAGCACCTTAGGAGGCTGAGGTGGGTGGATCACGAGGTCAGGAGTTTGAGACCAGCCTGGCCAACATGGTGAAACCCTGTCTCTACTAAAAATACAAAAATTAGCTGGGCATGGTGGCATGCGCCTGTAGTCCCAACTACTCTGGAGGCTGAGGCAGGAGAATCGCTTGAACCCAGGAGGTGGAGGTTGTAGTGAGCTGAGATCGCGCCACTGCATGCCAGCCTGGGCAACAGAGTGAGACTCCGCCTCAAAAAAAAAAAAAGAAAAAAAAGAAACATCAAAATTGTTAAAATCACTGCTATGGTTTGAATTTTGTCTCCCCCATATCCCCAAAAAGATATGTTTAAGTCCTAACCCCCAGAACCTCATAATGTGACCTCATTTGGAAACAGGGTAATTGCAGATATAATTATGGCGGTACCTGCGGCGAATCCCTACAGGTCTGCAGCAACCCCAATTATTGCCTCCTCAGAAGAAAGAATTTGACTGAGCGGCATAAGGCAGAAGGAGAGACCGAGGCAAGTTTTAGAGCAGGAGTGAGTTTATTAAAAAGCTTTAGCGCAGGAATGAAAGGAAGTAAAGTACACTCCGAAGAGGGCCAAGCGGGCGACTTGAGAGATCAAGTTTGTAGTCTGACCGTTGACTTGGAGTTTTTTTGTTTGTTTTCTTTTTCAGACGGAGTCTCGCTCTGTTGCCAGGCTGGAGTGCAGTGGTGTAATCTAGGCTCACTGCAACCTCCGCCGCCCGGATTCAAGCAATTTCCCTGCCTCAGCCTCCCGAGTAGCTGGGACTACAGGCACGCGCCACAACGCCCGGCTAATTTTTTTGTATTTTAGTAGAGACAGGATTTCATCATGTTGGCCAGGATGGTCCCGATCTCTGACCTGGTGATCTGCCAGTCTCGGCCTCCCAAAGCGCTGGGATTACAGGCGTGAGCCACTGCGCCCGACTTGACCTGGGGTTTTATATGTTGGCATGCCTTGGGGGTCTGGGGTGGAGGTGGGGTTGCCTCCCTTCTTTCCTAATTCTTCCCTTGGGGTGGGCTGCCCGCATGTGCAGTGGCCCGCTAGCACTTGGTAGGGGAGCATGCAGTGTGTTTACTGGAGTTGTACCCATGCTTGCCTGAGGTGTCCTGCCCTTACCAGTCTAGCATTCCTAGAGGAAGGTCATGTACCAGTTAAACTCTACCATTTTGTCTCTTAATGTGCATGATTAAGCCCACTCGCCCAACTCCTGAGATTTTATGGGAAGCTGCTGATCACCAGTTTTAGGTGTTTTCTGTTTTGGGAGGTGGACCTTCCCTGGTGCCTGCTGTGAACAATTATTATTTTAGAGAGACAGTTAACAAAACCGTCTGACCATCACTTGATGGTCCCCTGACACTCCTGGTGTGTGTACGTGCGTGTGCGCAGGGGTGGGGGTCAAGGTGGGGAAGTGGGGTGGGGTGGGAGTTGGGGGAGCCCTTTTCTGCCTTGCTCATACCTGTCTGGCTACCTACTGTAACAACGGGTCATACTGGAGTAGGGTGGGCCCTTAATCCAATATGACTGGAGTTCTTGTAAGAAGACAGCCATATGAAGACACAGACACACAGGGTGAGCAGCATGGGATGACAGAGGCAGAGATGGGAGTGATGCAGCTGCAAGCTGAGGAACAGCACATGCTGGCAACCCCCAGAAGCCAGGAAGAGGCAAGGAAGGACCCCCTTCCAGGCTTTAGAGGGAGCAGGTCCTGCTGACCTCTTAATCTCAGACTCCCAGCCTCCAGGACTGCAAGGCAACACAGTTCTGCTGTTTTAAGCCATGCAGTCTGTGGTACTTTGAGTAGCCCTAGGAAATTAATACAATTACTTTATTTCATTTTATTTTAAAAGCTATTTAAGGCCGGGTGCAGGGGCTTATGCCTATAATCCCAGCACTTTGGGAGGCTGAGGTGGGCGGATCACCTGAGGTAAGGAGTTCAAGACCAGCCTGGCCAAAATGGTGAAACCCCCATCTCTACTGAAAAAAAAAAAAAAAAAAAAAAAAAAAAAAAAAATTAGCCAGGCCTGGTGGTGCGTGCCTGTAATCCCAGCTACTCGGGAAGGCTGAGGCAAGAGGATCACTTGAACCAGGGAGGCGGAGGTTGCAGTGGGCTGAGATTGCACCTCTGCACTCCAGCCTGGGCAACAGAGTGAGACTCCATCTTGAAGAAAAAAAAAAATACACATTTTGAAAGGAAAAAAAACAGTTTTGTCAGTGAAAAACTACTAAAATTTCATGTATTTCTTCCATTATCTTTCCTCTGAATAGTTTTAAAATTTTACATGGCTATGACCATAATCTCATACAAATTTTGTAGTGATATTTTCAATTTATATTGTAACATTCATTCTCTATGTTATTACAAACTTTTGTAAACATCCTTTAAATTTTTCAATGTAGTCAATGTTGCCTAGATTATTGTTTGGCAGCTTTCTTTTAGATTTCTATTTTTATTATTATAGACAGTCTCTTGTATCTGACTCTTGAAGGAGTTAAAAATGCTTTAGATTATCTTATCAGTTCCCTAAAATGTGCTCTGAGTGAAATAGGAGGTAGGCTATTTAATTAAAAAGCAGGCTACCAAATAGACCCTAATAGACTGAGCTCACACTTAAATAAACTGGAATGGGGTCACAACTCACTCTCAGGTCTATGTGTTAGTATGAGAAGGAAGTGTCAGATAATTAATGCATACTTAGTCCCAAGATACCAGGTTGGGTGATGTAACCACTATAACGGTAGATTCTGGTAGAACCAAATCCAAAGCCCAAGTTCCTGGATTCCCTCCCTTGCATCATTTCTTTTTTCTTTTTCTTTTTTTGAGATGGAATCTCGCTCTGTCGCCCAGGCTGGAGTGCAGTGGCGGGATCTCAGCTCACTGCAAGCTCCGTCTCCCGGGTTCACGACGTTCTCCTGCCTCAGCCTCCTGAGTAGCTGGGACTACAGGTGCCCGCCACCATGCTCAGCTAATTTTTTTTTTTTTTTTTGTATTTTTAGTAGAGACAGGGTTTCACCGTGTTAGTCAGGATGGTCTCGATCCTGACCTCGTGATCCGCCTGCCTCGGCCTCCCAAAGTGCTGGGATTACAGGCGTGAGCCACCACACTCGGCCCCTCCCCTGCATCATTTCTATTTCTTTACTCAGGTCATGACAATGATTACAAAAAATGTTTAAAGTTGACATAGTTTGGATATTTGTCCCGGCCCAAACCTCATGTTGAATTGTAACCCCCAATGCAGGAAGTGGGGCCTGGTGGGAGTTGTTTGGATCATGGGGGTGGATCCCTCATGGCTTGGTGCTGTCTTCGAGACAGTGAGTGAGTCATTGTGAGATCTCCTTGTAAAGTGTGTTGCAGGGCTAGGCATGGTGGCTCATGCCTGTAATCCTAGTCCGTTGGGAGGCTGAGGCGGGTGGATTGCTGAGCTCAGAAGTCTGAGACCAGCCTGGGCAACATGGTGAACATGGTGAAACCCTGTCTCTAATTTGAAAAAAAAAAAAAAAAAAAATTAGCCGGGTGTGATGGCATGCACACCTGTGGTCCCAGCTACTTGGGAGGCTGAGGCAAGAGAATCGCTTGAACCCAGGAAGCAGAGACTGCAGTGAGCTGAGATCGTGCCACTGCACTCCAGCCTGGGTGAGAGTGAGATTCTGTCTCCAAAATAGTAATAATAAATAACAATAATAATAAGATAAACATGTGTTGCACCTCTCCCCCACTCTCTCTTGCTCCTGCTTTTGCCATGTGATGTGCCTGCTTCTACTTCGCTTTCTGCCATGAATAAAAGCTCCCTGAGGCCTCCCCAGAAGCCCAGTGATGTCAGCATCATGCTTGTACAGCCTGCAGAACTGTCAGCCAATTAAATCTCCTTAGAAATTACCCAGTCTTGGGTATTTCTTTGCAGCAAACAAGAACAGCCTAATACAAAAGTGTTGCTTAGTTCTGAGCTCATCAAACATATATTTAATAGATATCTCTGCCATGTGATTATGTAAGTCTTGGTTTCAAGTACACTTAACTCAGGGTTTTAAAATTTCTCTTAGCAGTGGAAATCTCATCTTAAAAAATATTATGAACATTTCTAATTTATAAAATCTAAAAAAGCAGAACTTGTGTGGTGGAAGAAGGGAGGGCCAGACAGTGAGCTCAGCAGTCCTATTACTAGCTCCTCAGACCTCCCCTGGAATATTCAGGAGGACCTGATCCATCTCTAGGGAACCTTGGGGCACTGAGGAACACAGTTTGTACAACAGAACACATATTCTATTTTTCATCCACTCTACATAGAATGGCAGGGCAGAAAGGGACATTCTTAGAGGTCTGATTCTTTCTAAACAATTAATAGTTCTGAAAAATAGCTTTGAAATTTTTTCTAGATAACTGGTTCTCTCTTCTGAGTGCCTGACTTGTTCTCAGTTCCTGGAAATTTCAAAATGAGTGGTGACATTTATCAGTGGCATATGTTGAGGCCATGTCCAGATCATTCCATCTTTAATTCCTCTTGCTGTCTACTGACATCCGGCTTCCTCTGCATTTTCACTTATCTGTGTAACTAAAGAGCTAAGCTATGATTCTAAAGATGATGCTTGTGTGACAACTCTCCACAAGTACTATTTCAAATCTGAATATATATATTCTTACAACCCAGGCAGCAAATAGTGATAAGTTCCAATGCAATAAAAGATGCAATGCTGTGAGAATAAGTAACCCTTCTTTTTTGTGACCCTGAGTTGCATTTCCAGGAGTTGTAGACTTTGTACCCATCCAGACACACTTTGTTTTCTTTTCTTTTTTTTTTTTTTGAGACAGAGTTTCGCTTTTGTCACCCAGGCTGGAGTGCAATGGCGCGATCTCAGCTCATTGCAACCTCGACTTACTGGGTTCAAGCAATTCTCCTGCCTCAGCCTCCCGAGTAGCTGGGATTACGGGCGCCCGCCACCATGCCCGGCTAATTTTTGTCTTTTTAGTAGAGATGGGGTTTTACCATGTTGGCCAGGCTGGTCTCAAACTCCTGACCTCAGGAGATCCGCCCCCTCAGCCTCCCAAAGTTACAGGCATAAGCCACTGCGCCTGGCCCAGACACACTTTCTCATCCAATTCTTCCCCTTCTCCAACACCTCCCTACTCCTCAACTCCCAAATAACCTCCTGGAGTTGTCTGTAGCCAAGAATTAGGACAAATCCAGGTGACCCATGTCAGTCCTGCTGGTCTCTTCCCCCAGTGTTTACTGCCTTTTCTAACTAGTTGCCCACAGAATATAGAATGAAGATATGGAAAAGAAGATGAAGATAATTATGCTTATTTAAAACAGCAAGAAAGACCTCAAAGTCTGTAATTTATAAATATGGCATTTTCAGTTCATAGTTTATCGTTGGTATGTCACCACTTAATCTTTTGTTATAGGACATATTTTAGAAGGTTTTGAGATTGGAATCACTATAATTAACTGAAAACTGTAAATCAATAGGATAGGCGAGCTTACAGTATCACTAATGGAGCCTTGTGGTTCATTCATTTTTAAAGGGATCAACCTGATTATGATTGAACCTCCTCTTCAATGAGGGCTCTTATGCATGCTGGCCAGGATCTGACACATGATGTTCCAACTCATGATTCTATTTCAGTTGTGATATATTAAATGTCTGAGCATAAGAGAGGACCACTGGTCTGGTCAATTTTGAGATTTAGCCGCACAGGGTGAGGACACAAATATTTGATCAAGTGTGAATAAAAGTCCATTATCTCCTTAGCTAGCAGGTCTAGCTCAGCCTTTCCTTGGCAGAGTCCCTGATTCCCTTCACCCAAGCACCTAACAAAACCAGACAAACCTGACAATCATTAACATTCTCATCCAGCTTTGCCCAACTACTTCCTACAATCCCATCTAGATTTCCAAAGCTGGGGCTATCTCTGACCCAATTTTTGAGGCCCTTTGAGGATTTCACAGGTAAAGGACTTTACACTATTTAACTTAAGTAATCCTGATATATAAAAATTTATATAAATTTATAAAAAGAATAAATTAAGAAACAGTAATGCTCCTTATAAAATGTTTCAAATAGGTCTTCTATAAATAGCAAGTTCCTCTGCATTTAAAATACTATTCTGGGCCAGGCGCGGTGGCTCACGCCTGTAATCCCAGCACTTGGGAAGGCTCATGTGGGTAGCTCACTTGAGCCCAGGAGTTCATGACCAGCCTGGGCAACATAGTAAAATCCTGTCTTTACCAAAAAATACAAAAATTAGTCGGGTGTGGAGCCGCGCACCTGTAGTTCCAACTACTCGGGAGGCTGAGGTGGGAGGACTGCCTGACCCCAGGAGGTTGAGGCTACAGTTAACCACGATTGTGCCACTGCACTCCAGCCTGGGCGACAGAGACCCTGTCTCAACAAACAAAACAACAAAAAACCCAAACAACAACAACAACAAGAAAAACACGCTAAAATACTATTCTTTTTTTTTTTCTTAAGATGCGGTCTTGCTTTGTTGCCCAGGCTGGAATGCAGTGGTGCAGACATAGCTCATTGCTGTCCTGAATTTCTGGGCTCAAAGGATCCTCCTGCCTCATCCTCCTGAGTAGCTGGGACTACAGGTGTGCACCACCATGCCCAGCTAATTAAAAAAAAAAATTGTATGTGGCGGGTGTCACCACCTTGCCCAGGTTGTCTGGAACTCCTGGGCTCAAGCGATCTTCCTGCCTCAGCCTCCCAAAGTGTTAGGATTACAGGCGTGAGCCACCATGCCCAGCTTATTCTGTTTTTTATAAAATGTTCACAAAAACCTTTTCCATGAACACAGATACTTGGTAAACCTGTTTTTAAAAAAGTTTTCTGACAAGCTAAGTTCATCTAGCCCAGCTGCCTGCAGTGGTAACCTGCTCATTAACCCTCACTAGCTCATCCCCATTCCATTTTTCACTTTCCCTTCTCTTTGACTTGTGCTTCTGGGATCATCTCCCAAATAAACTGTACCAAAATCCTTGTCTCAGGATCTGTCTTTGAGAGACCCAAACTAAGCTAACTTCCTCTTGGCAGACGTGGCAACGTCCATGGCTCTGGTGGTTAGGGTAGGGTGTTGGAGCTGCCCTGTCTGCTTCTTCTTTTCCTGCCTTTTGATCTGTTTCTGCATCCCACGCCTTCCATCCTGTTGTGCACTAGAGTAGTTGCTTCCTTTTAATTCAACTGAGGCACTAGTTAAAAAGACTTTGACTCTACCAATGGTCATAGATGGTCTTTCAAGGGCTGAACCTGGCTGCCAAATCTACAGTACTATCCATGTACCAGTAACAACTTTCATCACTCATGCCACTCTCTTCCACCCTGGCTAAGAGATATGAACCATCATACGGTTGAGGCCAGGTTCGGACAGATCAGTGTCTCAAAGGCTCTCAGAGGACCTTTCGATCATCTCATCTAATCCCCTAATCTCACATGTTAGAAAACGGAGGGGCAGAGAGGATAAGCATTTGCTCAACACGTTGTCAACCAGTGAATAAAAAATCAGGTCTGCACTCCTCCCATTTAAGCTTTTTCTGAACCCACCACATTTCCTTGCTTGTTTGCCTCATTACGCTTGCTCATCAATACTTTCATTATTTATTTCCAGTTGACCCAAGTCAATGAGTTATATGTAGGCACTCCTCTGCCCTCCTTACCCTGCCCCATTTTGAGGTTGAAAATCTATTTCCCACCACATTTTTCAACAAAGTAAAACCTAGGCACTAAGTGATGGACAGGAGGTTGTTGCTGTTCACTTAAGGCTCTTGCATGATTAAGCTCTCCCTGGAATTTGTGTGTGGGTGCGAGAGGACTGCCAGTTTGGTCCATTGTATCCCAGGAAGATAAGCATTCATAGCTCGTGGCCTGCCGAGCTCAGGAGAAGCTCATCTGCCATCCAAACTCTGGGGAGCCAAGGCTAGGCTGTTTCTCAATTGATCTAATTGATAATCTGGGTTCTGTTTTCAATTGTGACACTGGGTCCCTGCCTCAGCTTTGCTTTCTGGTTCCACCTAACATGTCTCGCTTTCTTGCTTTCCTTCTTTCTCTCTCTCTCTCTCTCCCTCCCTCCCTCTGTCAATGGAGTCTCGCTCTGTTGCCGAGGCTGGAGTGCAGTGGCACGATCTCGGCTCACTGCAACCTCTGCCTCCCGGGTTCAAGCAATTCTTCTGCCTCAGCCTCCTGAGTAGCTGGGACTACAGGCACGCACCACCACTCCTGGCTAATTTTTGTATTTTTAGTCGAGACAGAGTTTCACCATATTGACTAGGCTGGTCTCGAACTCCTGACCTTATGATCCACCCGCCTCAGCCTCCCAAAGTGCTGGGATTATAGGCATGAGCCATCCCGCATGGCCAGCCTTCCTTCCTTCCTTTTTTTTTTTTTTTTTTTTTGACGGAGTCTTGCTCCATCGCCCAGGCTGGAGTGCAGTGTAGTGGTGCAATCTTGGCTCACTGCAACCTCTACCTTCTGGGTTCAAGCGATTTTCTTGCCTCAGCCTCCCAAGTAGCTGGGACTACAGGTGCGAACCACCACCAGGCCTGGCTAATTTTTTGTATTTTTAGTAGAGATAGGGTTTTGTCATGTTGGCCAGGTTGGTCTCGAACTCCTGGGCTCAAGTGATCTGCCTGCTTCGGCATCCCAAAGTGCTGGGATTACAGGCGTGAGCCACTGTGCCCAGCCATCTTGCTCTATTTCTCAGGGTTCTCTGAACTGAGTCCGCTGCCCAGTGGGGCCAGTCTCCTCATTCTTTTAACTTCTCATTCTTTGTCCAAGCAAGCTACATTGTTTTCCTCCCTATGTAAAATGTCAAATTGGTATTTATTTTCCACTGTATCACCTTGATTGTCCTTTTGGGTGGATTTATTTTGTGTCCTCAACAGATTATTAAGGACAAAGGCAGTGACAAGACTACCTCCTGGCATCATGTACTACCCACAGCTTTTTATGAACTGAGCACTTGTGTCCCCTCCCCCAATCCCTCCATTCATTTGTTGAAGCTTGAATCCCTAGTGTGGCTGTGTTTGGAGACAGGGCCTCTAAGGAAGTAATTAAGGTTAAGCAAGGTCTTAAGGGTGGGGCCCTGATGGATAGGATTAGTGCCTCATAAGAGACACCAGAGAACTCATTCTCTCTCCTCAAGCGTGCTGAGGAAAGGCCATGTGTAAACATAGTAAGAAGGAGGCTGCCTGCTAGCCAGAAAGAGAACCCTCACCAGAAATCGATTTGGTGAGAACTCTGATCTTGGACTTCTAGCCTCCAGAACTGCAAGAAAACAATTTTCTGTTATTTGAGCCACCCAGGCTATATAGTATTTTGCAATGGCAGCCCAAGCTAATACATGGGTGTTGATTGAAAACATGGCCCCTATGCTGGGCGCTAGAGTGGAGTTTCAAGCTGGGCATGTGTACACTGCTCCTGCATGAAAAGGTAATTAACTTTGGTTTTGGGTTCAAAACTAAATCTTCCTTTATTGCTACCATTTAGTAATTCCCATCCTTTACTCTGTTGTGACAGCATCCTCCCAAGTGTGGACATCCTCCCAAGCTCTGAACCACAAACAAATCTCTTACCTTCTTTTCTACACTGCCTTCTGGCATCGTATCAGATGCCAAGCCTTAGAGAATCTGCTGTCTCAAGACCTCTTATATTAATATCTCCTGTCACCCTTTATTACCCTGGCATAGGCTCTTGCCTCTTGCTTGTTCTTCTCATTTCCAGTCTTCATCTGGTATGCAGAGGAGGAAAGGGAGGCTCAGAAGAAACACATGCCAGGTTGCACAACTGACCAATAACTAGGGTTCAAACCCAGTTCAATTTTGCCCAAATCCAGCATACTTTCCACTAGACCTGTTTAGTACTCTTTCCATCTTGCTAAAATCTACACTGTTCTGCTTTGTACTATGGTTATTTGTGAAGCTGTCTTATGCCTATTATCAGTGTGTAAGCTCTTTGAGGGTAGGCTGTCTTGATCTTCCTGATATCCCAGGCAATGGCTAAGCCAGCGCCTTGCACTGTGTAGGCACTTCCAGAATAGGTAATGACTCTAAAGTGGGAGATAATGGTCACAATGGTGATATAGACATAGCAGCTTAGGAGAGAGACAGATTTAAAGAAAGCCTGTAGGAGAAGGAAGAGATGATTTTGAGTTGGGCTTGAGGTGATGAAGGAATTTGGATAGATTGAGAGGAAGGGTTGGTGTGAGGTGGGCTTCAATGTCATGGGTTTGGAGTTGAATCTGTGGAAGGAGGCTGCTTTGGAAGGGGCCCTGGCGTTTCTGCATCAGGTCTAGTTGTGCATAGTGAGCAAGTTACTTAACTTTTTTAAGGGCTGGTTTTCTAACATATAAAGTGGGAATAATGGAGTGTCATTTGGAATTAAGAGCAGAATAATGAGATAATACATGTGAAGGACTTAGCACGTTGTATCATCTATTATTAATAATAAACACTTAAAATGTTAGCAATAGGCCAGGTATGGTGGCTCATGCCTGTAATCCAGCACTTTGGGAAGCCGAGGTGGGCAGATCACCTGAGGTCAGGAGTTCGAGACCAGCCTGGCCAACATGGTGAAACCCTGTCTCTACTAAAAATAAAAAATTAGCTGGGCATGGTGGCAGGCACCTGTAGTCCCAGCTACTGGGGAGGCTGAGGCAGGAGAATTGCTGGAACCCAGGAGGCAGAGGTTGCAGTGAGCTGAGAGCACTCCACTGCACTCCAGCTTGGGTGACAGAGCAAGATTCTGTCTCAAAACAAACAAACAAACAAAAAACAATGTTATCAATAGTAAGATAGCCTGAAAGTTCAGATGTGTTTCTGTCTAGTTCTCTGAGTAAATTATTTTATTTACACTCATAGATAATGACATTGCTGCTGACAAAAACCAAAATTATCTAAAAGCACCAATACATTCATAGGAATACTTGGTTACTATAATTTTCCTTACAAATGGATACCAGGAGCCCCTCTATATATTTTACCCTTACCAGGGATTCTCATAGTCAAAAATTTCAGAAACCAAACTGTTGGGAAGCAGGATAGTGCTATACATATTCTGGGTAGAGCTAACTTGGCTGAATCAGAGATCTGGATTTTGGGAACAGGCTAACCTGGTGAAAATCCCTGCTCCACTTCCAGGCTGTGCTTTTAAGGAATTTGGACATACTCCTTATCTTTCAGTACTTTGCTTTCCTTACCTAAAAGGAGGATAACATTCCTTCAAGGCTGTAAATAGAGTGCTGTGTGTAAAGCACTCGGCACAACGCGTTTGTGTGGGGGAGACACAGTATGTGCATAAGAATTGGTAGATGATGATGGTGATGTTTATGAAAATCCAATCATGAATAGCCGGAGGCCACTGTTGTCAACGAGTGATCCCTGTAACAGCGACGTTAGCTACACTGAGAACTTACACATGCACATTCTCAGGCCCATTGCAGACCTCCTGAAACGAGAACTCGGGAGGCAGGGCCAGGCAATTGGCACTTTGCCTGAAGCACTCACGTTTTGAGAACACCTGTCAGGTAACAGGGAACCACTGAAAGTTTTTGGACGGTGGAGGAATGCGATATAAATGACTGTTGATTCACTGGCATTAAAGTGCCTAACTACCGACTGGCTTCCGAGGTTGCCGGAAGAAACCTGTTGGTTGATCCTTAGTGATCTCCAGGTTACAAAATGCGGGTTGGTACTAAGGGCCCCAAACACAGTGCTCACCTACCGAGCGCAGCCAGGAGCGCAGCGCCAGACAATTACAGGAGCTGTTTTGGATATGGCCGGGCAGCCCAGCGATGCTCAGCGAATCCCACAACTACAACCACAACCGTACCACACATTTAGCCTGCAAAAGCAGAGAAAGGAAAAGAAAACCGTGCAGGGAAGCCGGAAACGAGGGACTTAAGGGTCTCCTCTCTAGGGTGTGGGAGAGTGGGGGATGGGGCGAATGGGGCGAGGAGGGGGCGAGGATCGAGGGAGGCCCCTCCTCCGCTCGGCAACACCGGGTTCGGGTCCCTCTAGAGCCGGGACGCGGCCGGCGGGACACACCCTTGCCCTGGGAGACGCGAGGGTCCATGGCCTCTTAGTGTCGGTCCAGCTCAGTTTCGTGTCATTTGTTGTTAGCGCGAGGTAGGGGCGTTTCCCCACCCCAGCTCCTCCCCGGGGAAATCCCAGCCCGCTTCCTCCCCGCTCCTGCAGTTTTCGGGAGCGCCGTGCGGGGTCGAGCGCGGAGGCCGCACCCTGGGCGCCGGGCGTCGTGTCGGGACCGCTGCCCGCGCTGCCCGCCGGCGCGGCCATTGTTCGAGCCCCACCCCTGATGAATATTCACGCCGCGCGGGCGCCTCGGCCCGCGCCCTACCCGGCAGGGCTCGGGGTGTGAGTGCGTTTCCGCCGGTTTTTCCTGCCTGAGGAGGAAAGGGGGAGCTGTTTTCTCTCTCCTCAGAATATATTTTTGGTGTCCCGTTTCTCCTCCTCCAGCGCCGCCGCCGCCCCCTCCCTCCCCACCTCGCTCCCCGCCTCCGCCTCCGCCTCCCGGGTTATCTTTGTCTCGCTGCCTCGCGCTCACTCGCTCAACTCGGCGCCGCCGCGGCCCCACGCTCCGGGCCCGTCCTCGAGGCGCGCGGCGCGGGGCGCGGGCGCCGGGGCCTGAGGCGGCGGGCGACGCCCGGGGGCCTGACGGCCGGCCCCGCGCCATGGTGTGAGCGCCGCCGCCCGTGCACGCTCCGTCCGCCCTCCGCGCGGCCCGGCCGGCAGAGAGCCCCGAGCGGCCCGAGAGCGCAGCCGAGCCCGCCGCCGCCGCCCGCGGCCCCGCGAGGAGAGTACCGGGCCGGCTCGGCTGCCGCGCGAGGAGCGCGGTCGGCGGCCTGGTCTGCGGCTGAGATACACAGAGCGACAGAGACATTTATTGTTATTTGTTTTTTGGTGGCAAAAAGGGAAAATGGCGAACGACTCCCCTGCAAAAAGTCTGGTGGACATCGACCTCTCCTCCCTGCGGGTGAGTGGGCCCGCGAGCGGGCGCGCGGGGAGCGGGCAGCCGGCAGCCGGCAGCCGGGGCCGCGCCCAGGTCGGCCGGGCGCTCGGGCGCCGCCGTGGGCAGAGCCGCGGGGCGCGGCGGCCCCTTTGTCTTCCTGTGCGGGCTGGTGCGGGGCGGGCGCTACCCTCTACCGCCCCCACGCCCCGAGCCCGCCGCGCGACCCCCGGGCGCTGGGGGACCGCGCGGGGCGAAGCCCACCTCTTTTGTCACCGCCTTTTCTCTCCAACTGCCTTGCTTGATTTATTCATTTTTTTGGCTTCTTTTAAATGATAACCCCTCCCCTCCTTCCTCTCCAGGATCCTGCTGGGATTTTTGAGCTGGTGGAAGTGGTTGGAAATGGCACCTATGGACAAGTCTATAAGGTCGGTGTGGGCGCCTTCTTTGTTTCCCGTGGCATGTGGAAACTTCTTATTGGGGGACGAGGAGAGGGTGATAAACATGCTGCTGACTGGAGGCCACGCCGCTTGGCCAAAGTTGGGAGAGGGGTTTCTTTCGCCTTGCAGTCCCTCTGTTTTTGCACACCGAGTTTATATTCAGACTGGCCTTAAAAGACCTCATTTCCTGGCTTTGAGATAAGGAAATAAGCTACACTCTTAGGCATGCACTTTACTTCGATAAAATGGAAAAGCATTTTTTAAAAATAAGACAACCTGAATTTTTTCTTTTTTTCCCCAAATCCGGCCTTCTGAGTTTGTGTGTAAATTGAAATACAGTGGAGGCGGGCCTTGCCTCTGACGATCCTAAACCACTGCTTTGGCCATCGTGAAAATTGTCATCATGTTTCAGCCTCCACTCAGTGCTTGCCAGTTGCTCAAGGTGGGGAGTTTGGCGTTACCTGGGAATACTTTATAACTGTGGTTGTCATCCTTTCTATTGATGGATACGTATTTTGGGGAAGCAGGGAGGAGTGTGTGTTTGGGCAACAGCAGCAGGAAGAATTACAGTGTGGGGATTATAAAATCTGAATTCCAGGAATAACCTGTTTGACAGCTGTGTAATTGAAACAGAAATGACAGAGAGCGAAGAGAATATAGAGGATGCCCTGGTTTACACCCACCCAGGTCTTTCTCTTTTTTCAAAATTTTAACACCCACCCTCCACCCCAGCGATAAATGAAACTAGCAAATCTGGAGACTGAGTCTGCGCTGAGTAGCTGACACCTGATGTGACTAACAGTGTTCATTTTATACATTGTACAGTCTAGAGATTATGAAAGATGTGTAGGGAATGGAGGCGCAGGCCTTGAAAATTCAGAACGGAATGTTAAATTTTTCCTGTCTTAATTTGTTTCTCAATACTGAACGTTTTCTAAAAGTTTAATCTGCACTGGGGGAGTGTTCTGTTAGAGTCGGTACAAGGTTAGGGAAGCAGGGCTCTGTGGTTCACCATGAAGAATTGTCATTGTCTCATTAAAAATGGGTGGAGTTGGGGGGGTTGGAAGCCGACTGTAGACCTTTTCTTAGGCTAGATTAAGTGTGGATCTTATTGTCTCTTTTCTGCGTTGTGAGTAGAGTTTATCTATCACTTGAACGCCTCTCCTTAGCCTAGACTTCTAGCCTGGGTAGTGTACTGTACTGGACTGTGGTCCGAACTTGGGTCAGTATTCTTAGGTGATCTCAAGTGTATTAGCTTGTGTTTTGTTGGTTAACTGTTCGGGCCGGGGCCAGATTTTTGAATTTGAAAGAGAGCCCCGTTAACTCAGCTTGCCCGGCTCAACTGAATTTGGAAGGCTTTGGAAAATTTTGGAAAAGATTGTGTTGCAACTCACTGAGTGGTTGGTAACTGGCTAAAAGACATTCTCCCCGGTCTGTTGTTTGTTTAAGCACCAGTCATTTTTTTTCTAACCCAGTTTTTTCTCGCCAAATTAAATGGTGATTGTAGTCTTCCAAGTGAATTAGCCAGAGCTTGTTTTTGACCTGGCTACACAGTAGTTGGATTGTTTGTGTCTTACTTGGTCAGCATGGATGTTAAGGGCAGAGAAGTAAGCTAGAAGGCGATATAGTCTTTAAACCTTAAGAGAAAGGAAAGAATGAAACCCCAGTTTGTCTTTATTGGTTTTAAGAGGTGGGAGCTGTTTATGGTAAGAGTTTAGTCAGGTTCATTGTTATTTCCCCTCATTGCCATTTTGGTTCCATTCCCCGCAACCTTCCCGAGCTTTTGAACTAGGTTTGCTGAGCGCTAGCTACGTTTGGTAGGTATTTGGGATACTGGCATGACACAGCTCTCTGACTACAAAGTCGGTACAGTTGAGAATTTCTCTAATTATGCAAACCTAGGGAATTAAATCTGTGCAAAAGTTGCCTACAGTCCAGAACAAAATAGTGCCTGAGATTTTGCTCATAAGCAGTTACATTTTTATATTATTATGGAAAATTTCAAACATAAAGACTAGAGAGCTCAGTTTATCAGCAGATGACTAATCTTTTCTCATCTGTATTCTTCTTTTCCTCCTTTATTTTAATGTAAACCCCAAATGCTATTTCAGCTGTAAATACTTTAGAATGTTTCTTTTTTACACAATCACATTGTTGTTATCACACTTAGAAAAATGTCATATATTCACTATTAACGTTTTCTTGATTGTCTCATACATCAGTAAAATGTGTTTTTTTTTTTTTTTACTATAACAAGTTCTTTAATGTTTACAAGCGGGTACTGGGAACTTCAATCTTAGAAGTGGTGAAAATAGCAGAACATCTCTTTTTTTCCTCTTTTTAACTATTTAATTTCTAGAACCATTTACAATTATGTGTAGGAGTTAATTTAGGATTTTTGTTGGTATGATTTGCTTGTGGTAGATTTGGGATTACATTATTAACACTTTAGAGTTTGTTTATTGCTGCTAAACATCCTTTAGGATGAATAGCATTAAAGTTTGAGAAATACTTGTTGCTGAATTGTTATTTATAAAAAGGTCTTTATTTTTAAACATAATTTCAGGTAAAAAAAATCTGTAAGCTGAACAACTTGTCCTAATTTATTTTAGTGTCATATTTTCTATTTTTCATTAGCGCAGATGTTGCTTATTTTGAGGCAACTATATTTACATGAAGTGAGTGAGTTGAAAAGAGGGAGTTTTCTGAGATTTGATATGTCGTATGAAATAGCTTCTTTTGGGGCGAACGACTCTCCTGCAAAACTGTGCTAATGGTAGACCCCTCATTTATGGAAGAAAGGGAGGGGGAGGGGTGTGTGTGGCAGTAGGGCTAAGAGTGACCTTTGGGAATGGTAGAAAGGTTAGGGAGTAGTGGGAATTTCAAGGAGATGTTATTTGGACTTGAGGAGAGACATCTTCTTTAAGCATTGAGGAGCCACTGAAAGGTTTTGTTGGAATTGGGGATCCCTGAGAGTAGGGGACTTGATCCAGTTTTTTGGGGATAACTTCTAATTTTCTGTGTCTCTGACAACAGTGGTAAATGGTCTGGTATAGTTGAACAGTATGTAACTTCATCTTAAAAGAAGGAGGTGAAAAACGGGGTGTATTCTGTTTAGAGAAATTTATTTTCACCCTTAGGTTTTTGAGAGACGGATACTCATAAACTTAAAATTGTAAATTTCTCTTCACAAGGTTACATTCAGAGTACCATATATTTATAAGAGAAGTGTCTGGTATGATCAGTGAGGAGAATGATAGTGTGAAAAATTAAAACCAGAAATAAATCAAGTTTGTTTCCATGTTATTTTGGATTTTATTGTTATTTTGTTTTGAGACGGAGGTTTGCTCTGTTGCCCAGGCTGGAGTGCAGTGGCACCATCTCTACTCACTGTAACCTCCGTCTCCCGGGTTCAAGTGATTCTCCTGCCTCAGCCTCCTGAGTAGTTGGGATTACAAGTGCGTGCCATCACGTCCAGCTAATTTTTGTATATAGAGATGGGTTTTCACCATGTTGGCTAGGCTGGTCTTGAACTCCTGGCCTCAAGTGATCTGCACGCCTTGGCCTCCCAAAATGCTGGGATTGTATACAGGCATGAGCCACTGCACCCGGCCTTATTGTTATTTTAAATATTTATTTGACCATTTTTGTGTTCTTGGGGTAACTACTGTTATTTTGCATTTTGTGAGCATGTGATGGCTGGTGTTCCAAATGTCTTGAATAAAAGATTGTCAACCGGACGCGGTGGCTTACGCTTGTAAATCCCAGCACTTTGAGAGGCGCAGGTGGGCGGATCACTTGAGGTCAGGAGTTCGAGACCAGCCTGGCCAACATGGTGAAACCCCGTTTCTACTAAAAATACCGAAAAATTAGCCGGGTGTAGTGGGGGGTGCCTGTAATCCCGGCTACTCAGGAGGCTGAGACAGGAGAGTCACTTGAACCTGGGAAGTGAAAGTTGCAGTGAGCCGAGATTGTGCCATTGCACTCCAGCCTGGGCAACAAGAGTGAAACTCTGTCTCAAAAAAAAGAAAAGAAAAGAAGATTGCCAGCCTGAGGACAATTCTGAGTCTTGGAAGGACTGACAGAGGGGAAATCCGGTAACAGTAACGTGGAAGTCAGGGAGTTTAGAATCCAGCAGGTAAAATGTCTGAAATCAAGGTTCACTCAAAGGAGGGACCATAGATTTTGTGGAAGACTGACCCATTCTGATCTTGTCATTGGAGGAAGGGTACAATGTGGACCTTGGAGATTGAGGACAAGGGTACCCTAGGCCCAAAGACCTTGATGGTAAGGGGAGCTAACGCTAAGAGTTTGCTCATTCGATGCCCATTTGACACTGTGCTCATGTTAGACCCCTCATTTATTGAAGAAAGGGAGGGGAGAGGTGAGGTGTTTGTGTGTGGCAGTAGGGCTAAGAGTGACCTTTGGGAATGGTAGAAAGGTTAGGGAGTAGTGGGAATTTCAAGGAGGTATTATTTGGACTTGAGGAGAGACATCTTCTTTAAGCATTGAGGAGTCACTGAAAGATTTTGTTGGAATTGGGGATCCCTTAGAGTAGGGGACTTGATCCAGATGTGTGTTGGGAAGGAGCTGGTAAAATGGTTGGCCTTGGGCAGTGGTCCAGTGACAGGAGGTGAAGGCCGAGGCGGGATAGTGGCAGTGGTGGTAGAGAGGAGGAGAGGTTGGGGTGGATACTTGGGCATTACTCTTTGCTAGGTTTAACATGTTGAATTCACTCGTTCTCTGCAGGCTTTGGTATGTCCCTTTAAGTGGGTACACGGTTTGCCCACAGTATTAGGAGGAGCTTTGGGATTCCCAGCACTTTGGGAGGCTGAGACGGGCGGATCACCTGAGGTCAGGAGTTGGAGACCAGCCTAGCCAACATGGCAAAACCCCATCTCTACTAAAAATATAAAAAGTAGCCAGGCGTGGTGGTGTACGCCTGTAATCCCAGCCACTTGGGAGGCTGAGGTGGGAGAATCGCTTGAACCTAGGAGGTGGAGGTTGCAGAGAACTGAGATCATGGCACTGCACTCCAGCCTGGGCAACAGAATGAGACTCTGTCTCAAAAAAAAAAAAAAAAAAAAAGGCGGGGGTGGGGTGGTTAAAGTGCTAAAATTGCTTTCGATTGCTCAGTGGTAAAGTGCCATATAGATTGTCTGGCTTTTAAAAATCATTAGGGGCCGGGCACGGTGGCTCACACCTGTAATCCCAGCATTTTGGGAGGCCGAGGCGGGTGGATAACAAAGTCAGGAGTTCAAGACCAGCCTGTCAACATGGTGAAACCCCATCTCTACTAAAAATAGAAAAATTAGCCGGGCGTGGTGGCGCGTGCCTCTAGTCCCAGCTACCCAGGAGGCTGAGGCAGAAGAATTGCTTGAACTTCCCCAGGAGGTGGAGGTTGAAGTGAGCCGAGATAGCACCACTGCACTCTAGCCTGGGTGACAGAGCCAGACTCCTCCAAAAAGAAAAAATAAAATAAAAAAATTTGCATTTTGGAGCAAGTACTTAAACTTTTGTGAGGGATTCTCTAAGTGTTATCTTTTAAGTGTAGCATCTCTCGTTCTTAATTGGAGGTAAAGACATCCACTGGGGCAAAATGAATTTTGTAGAACCAGATGTTTTCATTAGGAGGAGATTGTGTCAGCTGATCTGCCACTGAGAGGCATGTTCAGGCTTGTTCTGAGACATAGATTTCCTTCATGTGGAAGATTCTGGACTTGGACAA
Organism: Homo sapiens; assembly: GCF_000001405.40. NCBI lineage: Eukaryota > Metazoa > Chordata > Mammalia > Primates > Hominidae > Homo > Homo sapiens. Next base: position 101,704,279 of record NC_000002.12, read on the forward strand.
GGTGGGAGGAAGCCAGCCCTGTTGAGCAAGCCCTGCTCTCAAAGAGTTTCAACCCTTACTTTCAAAAACTGTTTTACTAACTCAAACATCAAAAGCTCTACAGAAAAGCCAACCACCAAACAAAACCCTGCTGATGATGGGTTTTTAACTCCTTACTGCTTGAAACTTTGTGATAAATGTACATTTATTTGCCTAGCTGCAAACTCAACTCGTATTTTGCCTTTTTTCTTAACCAATATTTTATGTGTGTGTGTGTGTGTGTGTATATATATATATATATATATATATATTTTTTTTTTTTTTTTTTTTTTTGAGATGGTGTCTCGCTCTGTCGCCCAGGCTGGAGTGCAGTGGTGTGATCTCGGCCCACTGCAAGCTCTGCCTCCCAGGTTCAAGCGACTCTCCTGAGTAGCTGGGACTACAGGTGCATGCCACCAAGCCTGGCTAATTTTTGTATTTTTAGTAGAGATGGGGTTTCACCATATTGGCCAGGCTGGTCTCGAACTCGAGTCAGGGTAAAGTTTTTAGACATACAGGGAAAGATGACTAGGAAGAAAATGGAGAAGGCCAAGGTAATCTTATATTTATTACCAGTGACCATTGTGGCAGCAATGGTTGTTAGGTTTTATAATGTTATATCACTGCTCACCAAACAGAATTTGTTCTTTTGTTATGGAGCAGGTTCAGTAATAAGAGTTGGTGAGTATTATTCAGAAGAGAAGCTGCCTCTTGGGTTGAGTAATTAATAAAGTGATTCATTGGGAGGTAGTTTTTGTCTGTAAGAATCTCTAAGGAATGATCACAATGATAAGTTTTAGGACATCCCGTTTTAAAAACTGGACTCTTACAAACTTTGTTATCTAGATAGCATTAGGTATAACTAAATTGGGGAGACAAAAGTGAAAAACGATTAACCATATAAGGGTGGTTTCATGCAGGTACTGTGGATGTGTGCTGGGCCCTGTTCTGAGAGTTAGATACACAGTGGTAAATGAAGCCGATGATATATCTACCCTTATGGAACTCAAGAAAAACAGGGGGATGGACACAAAATGCCAGCTGTGGGATGTCAGTCATACATTCTGTGTTGTCTGCATCTCCCTGGGTTCCCTGCCCAGCACACTTGTGTTCAGACACAATGAATGCACTGACACATGGAAACAGCACATACTGCAATGTGTTCATTTTAAGTGGCTCAACCTCATCAGCAGGGCTTCTCTGTGCTTTAAATTACAGTAAAAACAAATGAAAAGTGAAATGAAAAGGTAGACATATAGAATATCAGTCTACTTTTTTTACTCGTAGAATCAAAAGACATTTTCCCATGTCAAATTGCTGTAAAAGTTTTTGTTTTTGTTTTCTTTTTAAAAAAGTATAAGAAACTCAGGTGATATAAAAGTTTTTATATACTTTTAATTTCAGAAATGATCTTGCTGTGGTCAGCAGACCACACTTTGAGGAACACTGAACTGGCAGGATTGAATTTGTAGCAGGGCTCTTAGTAAACTGTGGGTGGTTGGTGTGTTAGTGAGCTGGAGAATTGAGGACTGTTGTTTGTGCCTAGTATTTGGTTCTCCCACCCTTTGAACATTGGGGAGCTACAGCAGGTGCTGCTTACAGCTTTATGCTTTAGTGCCAAAACGTCTTTGACCCCTGTGCTTTGGAACTGTCTCAGATATGGCTAAATATGAACAAGTTATCCTATTAAATTTAAATAAATGAAAGAAAAACCCCACTTTTACATTATAACTTTAAAAAATCCTTCATATGATAAATAGGGCCTTAACTTACCAGTTATGAATCGATAGTTATAATCAAATGATACTAAAGCGCTCATACCAAAAGTCAGAGTCATCCTGTTCTCCAGAAGCATGTTTTCAGTGCTTTTAGCTGCTACATCTGAAATTTATTGCTATATTTGTAAATTATGTACTTATGTGGCTAGTTCATTTATCAGTTTTATACATTTATTGACGTCCTCTAGCAGTAGTTGTAGTTATTGAACTAGTTAGTTCAATAGTAGTTGAATATTTAACTCCTATACTTGCTGCCTCCCTTAAGTGGGCATACCATAATTTTGGGTTAAAGTGATAGTTGTTTCTTTTATCATGACTATGTAAATACCATTTATATGTGAGCTAAACAGTCTCATACGATTACATTTCCTTTTTTAAACAACACCCCTGCCCCCACATCGCTTTTAGTTTTTCATTTGCTTAGTTTTCTTTGTACCTATCATCACCTTCCTCCTCAGATACCCTAAAAGGTATAACAAATGCCTAACAAAGTTTAGTCTTTATCACATTTTCCAAATGCTTAATTTAACACCACACGTCAGATAATTTATTGTTGCAAGATAACCTGTTGATTTCAATTTTTTCTCCCTGGAGTTTCCTCATAGCTATGCAGGTATGGTTGCCCCTGGACCTGGCATGTAGCTATTATTGTCCTGGAATGTCTGTTTCCTGGATACTGCAGTCTTCCTTTTTGGTTTACTATCTTACTTTCCTGAAGCACATCCTCTAGTAGTTTTAAAAGAAAGGGTATATGGGTATTAAGGTTTTAAGTCCTTGTATGGCTGAAAATCCCTTTTTCTTATCACTGCCTCATCTTCTCTTGTCTGGAACATAACTGCTTTCGATTTCTTTAGGGACTAAATCTCTGGTTTCCTGTGGGTATGGAGTGATGTGAGGCAGTTACCAGACTGTGTAAGGCAGAGAAAGGGGACCTGGGGCTTTCAACCACTAAATATGCAAACTTTCATCAGTTCTGATTTTGGCCTTGCACCTCACTTGGTATTGGTTTATTCCAAATGATGACCTTGTCAGGGTTTTGTAGGTCCAACTGTCTCACTTCTTTTTGGTATCCTTTAGTAGGCACTTAGGTTGTAATTTTTACCTCTTAGTTACTACTCCATCCACTTTTTATTTTATCTTTTTTTTTTTTTTTTTTGAGACAGTCTCACTGTTGCTTAGGCTGGAGTGCAGTGGCGCCATCTTGGCTTACTGTAGCCTCCGCCTTGTGGGTACAAGCAATTCTCTTGCCTCAGCCTCCCAAGTAGCTGGGACTGCAGGTGCGGACCACCATGCTCGGCTAATATTTGTACGTTTAGTAGAAATGGGGTTTGACTATGTTGGCCAGGCTGTTATCGAACTCCTGACCTCAGGTGATCCCCCTGCCTGGGCCTCTCAAAGTGCTGGGATTACAGGCATGAACCACTGCCCCTGGTCTGCCTGTCTGTCTGTGTCTTTTGAGACAGAGTTTTGCTCTGTCCCCCAGGCTGCAGTACAGTGGTGTGATCACAGCTCACTGCAGCCTCAACCTCCTGGGCTCAAGCAAACTTCCCACATCAGCCTCTTGAATAGCTGGGACTACAGGTGTGCACCACCATGTCCAGCTAAGTTTTTTTTTTTTGTTTTTTTTTTTTTTTGAGACGGAGTCTCGCTTTGTCGCCCAGGCTGGAGTGCAGTGGTGCAATCTCGGCTCACTGCAAGTTCTGCCTCCCGGGTTCACGCCATTCTCCTGCCTCAGCTTCCCGGTTAGATGGGACTATAGGTGTCTGCCACCACGCCTGGCTAATTTTTTTTTTTTTTTTGTATTTTTAGTAGAGATGGGGTTTCACCGTGTTAGCCAGGATAGTCTCTTATCTCCTGACCTGGTGATCCGCCCACCTCGGCCTCTCTAAGTGCTGGGATTACAGGTGTGAGCCATCGCGCCCAGCCCACGTCCAGCTAATTTTTAAAATTTTTAGTAGAGATGGTATTTGACCATCTTGCCCAGGTTACTGGACTAAAGTGGTCTGCCTACCTCGGCCTCTGACCATCCACTTTTTAGCTGTCAAAACCTGATAGAAATGATCTCTACTACCTCTTTTCCCCTTTATATCTTTATTCTTTTGTTTACTTTAAAATCATTTTTATGGGAATTAATTCTTAATAACTCATGTGATCAGTCCACCATGTTTAACCAAAAGTTGTGTCTTTGATTTTGGACTTAGGGTTTTGCTCAGGTGTTTGTTTCTTTTCATCCAGAACAATAACAATACCAACAGAACAATAACAATACCAATGAAACAATAACAATAACAACAAATAAAAAATGAAAACAAGGGTAAGCAGTGCGTAACCTCTGTGACCTTACTGTGTGACCTCTGTCAGAGATACTTAATTTGGGAGGTGCAAGCCGAGGGAGATGAGGATGAGGAATAAGGAAAGTGAGGCAGGATGCCAAGCAGTGCCATGGTACGTATTAATTACCATGCTGGCTGCTGCTTTGAACAAACCTTTGAGAGATAGAGGAGTTTGTTCAGCAGTATTTTTTTTTTAAAGCAGCTTTATTGAAGTATGTTTTCTGTATTATGAAATTAACCCAATTCAAGCTTACATTTCAGTGATATTTAGTAAATTTACTGAGTGGCACAACCATCACCACAAATCAATATTGGAACACTTTGATCATGCCAGTTAGATTCCTCGTAGTGATTTACAGTTAATCCCTGTTCCAACCCAGAGCCCCAGGCAACCAATAATCTGCCAGTATTAATTTGCCTTTTTTGAACATTTCATTTAAATGGAATCCTACAACGTATGGTCGCCTGTGTTTAATGTTTTTGAGGTTCGACCATGTAGCAGTGTGGTTCTTTGTTCCTTTTTATTGCTGAATTTTAGGCTATGGTTGTACCACATTTGTTACCTGTTCACCAATTGATAGGCATGATGTTGATGGAACTGCACCTTAAGTCATCCACAGAAGGGAGAAAGGAGGGGGAATTTATCTGTTTGGGTCTTCTTGTTTCCCTTTAGTGTAACCAAACACTTGGTTCTGATGACCCTGAGTGACTGTCTGGATGAGGGAAAAGCAGTTGAAGTTTTGTGTCCCTGAATCCTTTATCTTCCCCAGTCTTATTATTAGTCATTACTGTGAGTTTATTTATTTATATTTTGAGATGGAGCCTCACTCTGTCGCCCAGGCTGGAGTGCAGTGGCACAATCTTGGCTCACTGCAGCCTCCACCTCCTGGGTTCAAGTGATTCTCCTGCTTCAGACTCCCAAGTAGCTGAGATTACAAGTGTGAGCTACCACGCCCAGCTAATTTTTGCATTTTTAGTAGAGATGGGGTTTCGCCCTGTTGGCAAGGCTAGTCTCGAACTCCTCACCTCAGGTGATCTGCCCGCCTCGGCCTCCCAAAGTGCTGGGATTACAGGCGTGAGCCACTGTGCCTGGCTTTAAGTCATTTTTAAAAACAAGAATACAGTTTCTTTCTTATCGCTATGAAGACAAACTATTCACTATCAGCGAGGTCACTGGTAGTAGGAACTAGGCCAAACTAGTTTTTCCTTCTATTTTTGGGAGGAATTCCCTTGTATAATAGCCAGCTATTTACCATGTGATGCTAGACTGCAGTTTTCCTTTATCTCAAGCAGAAGCTATTGTCTTGCCTGGATTTTGAAAAAACAAAGCAAAATATGTTATCTTTGGTCAGAAGGATGTATCCCAAGTTAAATAAATGATTTGCTATGTGTTTTGGGCGAATAAGTTTGCTCATTTGTTTCAAGTGTATTTTTCAGAGTATTTTTCTTATATTTTATTCTTAAGTTTTTTTGTGATACCTTTTGTTAGGGCCTTACTGCATTCAGATTACATAAAATTAAGTTAAGTAATAGTTTATTTTTTGAAAATTCTTATACTGCAGAGCTTTCGTTCTTACTTGCTGTGACAGTGACAGAATACTGTTGACTACCAGAGCCCTTCTCCCCCTGAGTTTTTCTGAGACTCTTTATGTGTAATTGGTGTGTAGTTTTATGACTTCAATTTTGAGAGGTATGTCAAAGACTGAATATTATCTGAGTTAGGGCTGTGCATCAAGGTACTTAATAATTTGTTGGAGATCCCGGTTGAATATTGCCTGAGGTTGAGTGTGTACATTTAAGTGACACAATTCACTGGGTGTATTCATTCACCTGCTAGGGCATGACTCAGATTCTAGGGCCATTCCAGTTTGAACTTGGCATATTAGAGCATCTTAGTTCTCTATATGTACACATTTTCTCATTTATTCTTGTTGCCTTCCTTGATTCCCAGAAAAATCTGACAGGTGTTCAGCTCTTTACTCTTCAGTGATTTCAAGGCTTGGTTTCTGTTTCTTGTTTCACTGTCTACAGATATTTTGAGCCTACTCTGCTAGTCAAGATTTCCTTTATTTATTTATCTAGTACTTAATGTGTTTATAATATGTGCCAGGCACCATGCGAGGCTTGCTCACTGGTGACAATGGACAAGAAAGGCAGTCAGCTTATGCCCTTGTGTAGCGTATAGCCTAATGTGTAAGGCAGAAAATGAACACACAGTTAAAGAGGATGATATTGCAGATGGGGAATAGCAGGGGCCTATGGGAGTGTGTGACATGACAGCTAAGTTAGAGCTGATAAAACAGATACGGTGGTATGCACAGTGAAGCTTTATGATTTCAATTCAGATGCTCTAGATGAGGCATAGATATATGTGGAGCAGTGAACAGTCTGCTAGGAGTTAAAACCCACTGAGCTGATGATTCATCATCTTGGTTAATACTACTTTGAATAAAGATAGGAGGGGTGTGTTCCATTGATTATGGTAATTGACTGTCTTCATTCAGTTTGCCTTGAGCCAGCTGTCTCTCAGGAAGCCTTGCCTCCTACATCTGCACTGTTTGGTGCTCCTTGCATTTGAATCTCCTGTATCAGTTAGAAGTTAGCATCCTGAACATTCTCATATGGGTGAAGGAGGGGCCTTCGTCAGGCTTCAGATTGTCTTATGAGCAATATCTGGAATAATATTTGGTAAACAGCTGGCCTGAAGTAGGCCACATTCTGCCCTACATTACACATGGGGAGACTGCTTTGTTCAGCTGCTGGTCCCCACGACGTTAGGGCTGAAAGGGACCTCTGTAAAATGGGAACAATGGTGTACAGGTTTGTGATATTCACATAGTTTTTAATAAGTTTCTGTAGTTCCGGTTATATAACAAAATAATTAAAAGATAAAGTTTTTTTGCTTTTTTTTTTAAGACAGAGCTGCAACCTCTGCCTCCAGGGTTCAAGCAATTCTCCTGCCTCAGCCTGTCATGTAGCTGGGATTACAGGCATGCAGCACCATGCCTGGCTAATTTTTGTATTTTTAGTAGAGATGGGTTTTCACCGTGTTGATGAGGCTGGTCTCCAAATCCTGACCTCAAGTGATCTACCTGCCTTGGCCTCCCAAAGTGCTGGGATTACAGGCGTGAGCCATTGGGCCTGGCCTTGCTCTTTGATAATATGGACAAAAGAGAATTTTATTTTTCTAATCCGATTAGGTAAAATGATGTTGTGGTTTTTTTTTGATGTTGAGTGAGATATTTCTAACCATTCTCTAATCATACTGGAAAATGGGACTTTGTAGTCCCATTAGTATGCTGGCTTTCAAAGTGTGAAATTCTTTTTGCATTATTTTGTATAAGCAAGGGCTTTGTCAGTCATCAACTCCAAGATTGTATTAGACGTTTCATTAGTTTTCTAGTTAATTAGCTGAAAATATATTCTTATTGTTATATGAAAAAAGCAACTTAAATGTTGAATTTTAAATAGGATGCTTATTTATTTTTTTCTTGTCTTTATACTGTTTATTTTCTTGCTGGCTCTATCAGCTAAGGACTTGATCTCATTGGTAGTCTGTCTTGCCCTTTTTTTTTTTTTTTTTGCTTTTTAATGATTCCTTTTGCTGACTTATTACCTATAACTTCTACTTAGGTTGTTTTATAGGTTGCTTTAGGTTTGTAGCACATGTTTTTAACTTACCACAGTCTACCTTCAAATGATATTATACCTTACTATGGTATACCTCCATTTCTACCCACTTGGCCTTATAGTTTTTTAGTATACATTTCACTTTTATTTATTATTTATTTATTTTTATTTTTTTGAGATGGAGTGTCGCTCTGTCACTCAGGCTGGAGTACAGTGGTGCGATCTCGGCTCACTGCAACCTCTGCCTCCCGGGTTCAAGTGATTCTCCTGCCTCAGCCTCCCGAGTAGCTGGGACTACAGGCGCAGGCCACCATGCCCGGCGAATTTTTTGTATTTTTAGTAGAGACGGGGTTTCACCGTGTTAGCCAGGATGGTCTTGATCTCCTGACCTCGTGATCTGCCTGCCTTGGCCTCCCAAAGTGCTGGGATTATAGGCGTGAGCCACTGTGCCTGGCCCTATTTTTTATTTTATTTTTTTTTGAGACAGTATCTCCCTCTGTCACCCAGGCTGGAGTGCAGTAGCATGATCTTGGCTCACTGCAACCTCCATCTCCCAGGTTCAAGTGATTCTTGTGCCTCAACCTCCTGAGTAGCTGGGATTACAGGTGTGTACCACCATGCCTGGCTAATTTATTTTTAGTAGAGATGGATTTTCACCATGTTGGCCAGGCTGGTCTCAAACTCCTGATCTCAGGTGATACACCCATCTCGGCCTCTCCACGTGCAGGGATTACAGGTGTGAGCCACTGCGCCAGGCCGAGAAATTTGTTTGTTGAGGAATATCAAAGATCCTGGCCTTGGAACATTGATAGTTCACTTTGAACTTCAAGGGTTGATTAATTAAAAGTTTCTGTTAAACCAAAATCTTTTTTTTTTTTTTTTTGAGACAGAGTCTCACTCTGTCACCCAAGTTGGAGTGCAGTGGGCACCATCTTGGCTCACTGCAACCTCCACCTCCCAGATTCAGGCAGTTCTCGTGCCTCAGCCTCCTGAGTAGCTGGAATTACAGGTACCTGCCACCACACCTTGGCTAATTTTTGTATTTTTAGTAGAGACGGGGTTTCATCATGTTGGCCAGACTGATCTCAAACTCCTGACCTCAGGTGATCCACCCACCTCCTCGGCCTCCCAAAGTGCTGGGATTACAGGTGTGAACCACTGCGCCTGGCCTTAAACCAAAATCTTGATTGTGCTTAAAATATTTAAGTAAAAAGGTACTTTGCTATGCCAGTGTTCCAGTTTGACAGTGATCAATTAAAAAATTTTTAATCCCTCTGCTGAGTGCAGTGGCTCATTCCTGTAGTCCCAGCACTTTGGGAGGCTTAGGTGGGCGGATCTTTTGAGGTCAGGAGTTCAAGACCAGGCTGGCCAAATGGTGAAACTCATCTCTACTAAAAGTACAAAAAAAATGAGCTGGGCACGGTGGCGCATGCCTGTAATCCCAGCTACTTGGGAGGCTGAGGCATGAGAATTGCTTGAACTCAGGAGGCAGAGGTTGCAGTGAGCTGAGATCACGCCACTGCACTCCAGCCTGGGGTGACAGAGTGAGACCTTGTCTAAAAAAAAAAAAAAAAATGCTGGGTGCGATGGCTCAGGCCTGTAATCCCAGCACTTTGGGAGGCTGGGGCAGGTGGATTGCTTGAGGTCAGGAATTCAAGACTAGCCTCACCAGCATGGCGAAACCCCGTCTCTACTAAAAATACAAAAATTAGATGGGCATGGTGGGTGTGCCTGTAATCCCAGCTACTTGGGAGGCTGAGGCAGGAGAATTGCTGGAACCCGGGAGACGGAGGTAGCAGTGAGCTGAGGTCGCGCCACTGCACTCCAGCCTGGGTGACAGAGCGAGACTCCATCTCAAAAAAAAAATTTTCTAATTTCCCATCATCTGATCCTACCAAAAATAACAAATACCTAGGGGGTTTTTCATTTCATTTACAATCTGGAACCTCATATGGCCTTATGACAAGAGCCAATATTTTAATATCTTTGTCTTAGAACCTCACTCATACAATAGAGACAAACCTCAAATCCAATCCAGAGAGCATTGCTTCAAGGAACAGTGGTGACTTAAGATAGGTTGGAAGTCTAATGGTGCTGCGGAATGCTAAACAATCAAGCCTTTTCAGGTTTAGTTTAATAGTTGTTATTCTTATACTTTCAAAACCATTTTCATGTAATTTTTTTCAACTATTTATTAAATGTTAGTAAAAGAGGAACTACCTGAACACAGATTTTGTCCAAGCAACCTGTTTAGAATAAATTATAGGGAAGGAAGTTTTCGCTAAAATGCATTTCCTGTACTTGTGAAGAAACTTGTTGAGAAATTAACTTTGAGAAAGTTATGCCATCTTTATGCAACATATTTATATAGTTAAGAAACATAATTTTCTTACATTTCAAAAGAGGCTGTTTGACAAAAACGGCTAGAAGACCCCTCCCTACACAGTGAGAAATAACATTCTACAATTATGTTATATAACTAATCATAATAATTTTACTTTCTCCAAATAACTATAAGCACCTTATCTTCCCCGTTATCAAAAAACCGTGAGAAAATGAGCCTTCCTAAGAAGTTTGACACTGATACCAGCCAACTCTAAATCAAAATGGAAATTAACATTCCTTTCTAAATCATGTGCAGAATTCATTTGAACATTCTGATAATTTCCCTATAAACTCTGATACGTAAATGTTGGGGCTAGGAGGAGGCTTGAAGATTATCTTGTTCAAACTCTCTGGTAAAAGAATGTATCTAAGATTTGTTCCATAGGCTGCAGTCCACTTCGGGAATCATGGAACTCATCAGTCACATAAATGGAACTAAGATACCTTCTCATAGTTAAAAAAACCAGCTTAAGAAATTCTTGCCACCCAACTTTTCTTCTATGAATCTCTCAATAATTTTTCACTATTCAGAGAATGTGGTAAAAATAAGAGGCTTCAAGACCCAAAAGAACAAATGTATGGGAACTCCATACCTGCATTAGTCTGTTAGGGCTGCCATAACAAAAGGTCACAGGCTGGGGGCTTCAGTAATATAAGTCATTTTCTCATAGTTCTAGAGGACAGAAGTCCAAGATTGAGGTGTTGGCAGAGTTGGTTTTTCCTGAGGCTCCTTTTTCTAATTTGCAAATGGCCACCTTCTTAGCCTTGCCTTTTGTGCACCCCTCCCTGGTGTCTGTGTCCAGATTTCTTCTTACAAGGACAGCAGTCAGATTGGATTAAGGTTCACTCTAACAGCCTTATTTTAATTCAGTCACTTCTTCAAAAGGCCTTGTTTCTAAGTCTCAATCACTTTCTGAGGTACTGGAGATGAGAGTTTCAACATGTCAGTAATTTTTGGGGGATCACGGTTTCAGCCCATAACAATACTGTAAAGTTTTTCTTGTACTGAAGACACAGAAAATAACTTTACTCTAAAGTGCTAATGATTTATTAACTAACACAGGTAGAATATCCCTTATCTGAAATGCTTGGGACCAGAAGTAGTTCAGATTTTTTTGGATTTTGGAATGTTCATATTATATTTCATGGTATAATATCTCTAATCCAAAAGTCTGAAATCCAAAATGCTCCAGTGAACATTTAGTTTGAGAGTCATGTTGATGCTCAAATGGTTTAAAATTTTGGATTAGGGATACTCAACCTGAAAATTTTGAACCTTGTTTTTTTAAACTAAAAAATACATAGGGTCTTCTAATCCAGGGGTCCCCGACTTCTGAGTTTCAGACAAGTACTGGTCCTTGACCTAATAGGAGCCAGTCCCCACAGCAGGAGGTAAGCAGTGGGAAAGCAATTGAAGCTTTATCTGTATTTATAGCCGCTCCCCATTGGTTGCATTACTGCCTGAGCTCCACCTCCTGTCAGATCAGTGGTGGCATTAGATTCTCAAAGGAGCATGAACCCCATTGTGAACTGTGCATATGAAGGATCTAGGTTGTACACTCTTTCTGAGGATCTAATGCCTGATGATCTGTCACTGTCTCCCACCACTGCCACCCCCTGCCTACCTTCATGGAAAAAGTTTCTTCATGAAACTGGTCCCTGTGCCAAAAAGATTGGGACTGCTGTTCTAATCAGATAAATAGCATATTCATTAGTATATTCATTCAACACAAAAATACTACAGATGGCCGTGGCTCACGCCTGTAATCCCAACACTTTGGGAGGCCGAGGTGGGCGGATCACGAGGTCAGGAGATTGAGACCATCCTGGCTAACACGGTGAAACGCCGTCTCTACTAAAAATACAAAAAATTAGCCGGGCGTGGTGGCAGGTGCCTGTAGTCCCAGCTACTTGGGAGGCTGAGGCAGAAGAATGGCGTGAACCTGGGAGGCAGAGCTTGCGGTGAGCCAAGATTGTGTCATTGCACTCCAGCCTGGGCGACAGAGCGAGACTCTGTCTCAAAACAAAAACAGAAACAAACAAAAAAAACTACAGATGCTATTTTAGATGATGGAGATAAAGGATGGCAAAAAAAAAAAAAGATACAGTTCGTGTTTTCATGGGGTTTAAAGAAGGCAGTAAACCCATCAGATGGTGGTACTATATCAGTTAGCCTTTGCTGGGTAGCAAACCATGCCTGAAACTTGCTGGCTTCGTGTTGTATAAGCATCATCATCTTTGTTCATACTTTTGTAGGTCAGTAATTTGGACTGGGGCATACTCAGTGTGGTAGTGTGGTGGCTCTTCTATCCATCTCTTCTAGGATCTCTCCGGAAGCTGAAGTCAGCTGGCAGTTAACTGGGGGCTGCATGGTGTGACTTGGGTTGGCCGACTTTTTAAGCACCCTGGCCTTTTGTTTCCCATATCTCAGTTTTCTTTTTGTCTCCTTTCTTCCTTTTGTTGTTCACTAAGGAATATTTAAAAAGTTTCGAGTATTATAAAACATTCAACTTTTGGGGAATGAGATGGAGATATAATAAATGGAGATAAATATGTACATTTAATATCTTCATTTTACAAAAGAATCTAATCACCATTAATTACAGTGTTACAGTATGCCCTGTTACAGCTGAGAGTTAGGGTTTTGCATCCACTAATTTGGGTAGGGTGACAATAGCAAAATGATAAATAAGTCATGAATTTAGCCTGGGCTTTTGGTGCTCAAATACCTTAATTCATGGATGGCAACACCAACACTCTACCTGCTTTTCTTAGCTCAACAGGAAATGAGAGTAGGGCTTGGGCAGGAGGAAGTCATGCATACCCAGCTGTCAGCGTGCGGCCTTCTCATTGGTTGTTTAGGAGAGCAAACGAAGCTTATCTCCTTCCCCAAATTGTTGATAATGAAGGCGAAAAGAGATATAGCTACAGGTAAACTAGATTGAATCTGCTGTTTATGTGTTGGAAGATGACGTTTGAAGATGAGTTTTAGTTCTTAGCACCAATACAACAAATGATGGGATTTGAGGTTTAAGTGCCTAAGTTTAAGGCTCTCATATAATAACTCTTAATTTCTTTTTGTGTCGGGAAAAGAACAAACTCTTGCCTTGAATTAACCAGTTATTTTAAAAAATCATAGACTTCTGTCATTAGAGGAAACGGCCTGAACTCCATTACCAGGTGACTTTTTAGCTTTAGTGGGTGGCACATGGGACTGTCTGTGGTGTGCCATCTGCAGTGCGCAAGCCATTTGTTTCTGGAAACAGTCTCACAAGCAATGATTCTGGTGAGTTTAGAAATGAATCAGGATGTGCTAAGCTCAATGAGGACTCATTAGCCTTGGATAATGTGATTCTATAAATGAACAGAATGGAGACGGTGAAGACTCAGGAGTATAGAGAAAATAGGATGACACTGGAAGCTAGGCTGATTGGTGGGAGTTTTGGAATCAATGTGCTTCAACTATTAGTTGATTAAGCATATAGTTGAATTAGTAAAGAGTGGGAGACTTGCCCCTTGACTGTGTGTTATTAAAAAAAAAAAAGCTATCTTGGCCAGGCATGGTGGCTTATGCCTGTAATCCCAGCACTTTGGGAGGCCAAGGTGGGCAGATCACCTGAGGTCAGGAGTTCGAGACCAGCCTGACCAACATGGAGAAACCCCATCTCTACTAAAAATACAAAATTAGCCGGGCATGATGGCACATGCCTGTAATCCCAGCTACTAGGGAGGCTGAGGCAGGAGAATCACTTGAACCTGGGAGGCAGAGGTTGCGGTGAGCCAAGATCGCGCCATTGCACTCCAGCCTGGGCAACATGAGCTAGACTCCGTCTCAAAAAAAAAAAAAAAAGCTATCTTGAGTACTGACATGGTCCACCATCTCCTTTATGTACATTTCCTCACCTTAATTTTTATTTTGCATGTGCATGGAGAGGTTAAGTAACTTGCCTAAAGACACATAGCTAGGAAGCAATTGGAGAAACCAAGTGTTAAGGCATTTCAGTCCTGACTTCTAAGTTTAGCTCTTAACCTTTTTGCCAGATTTGTTTCCCAGGGTTTCGACAGGTTTGGTTGGTAGGTAAGATGTGGTTTGGCAGAGAGAACCTGTGAGGGTTTAGGGCCAGGGCTGACAGTGGGAAGGTGGGGGTGGGGGGGTGGGGGGGAGTGGAAGGGTGGGGGATGGGGGGTGGGGTGGTGGTGGGGTGGATGGGTTAAGGGTGGGATTGAGAGGCAAAGGAGGTGCTGAGAGGAGCAGAAGTTGCCAGTCCTGAAGCTTTCCTTTTTCTCTACTTTCCTGTGTCTTCCTCAGAGCCTCTCATACTCTAATGTGCACTCAGTCATCTTGGGAGCTTGTGAAAATGCAGATTCTGATTTCAGTGCATCTGGGAATCTGCATTTCTAATATGCTTCCCCAGTGATGCTACTGTAATTCCATACTTTCAATAGTAAGGAGTAGTAGGGCAAAGAAGTTAGCATGGGAAATGTTGGTAGTTCACTGGAACACAGCTGCTAGGGTGGGTTCTTTGGACTAGGGTTATGTCTTATCCATGTGGTGTAAAGTGTATTGGGTATCTGTACATTCAAATCAATGATTTTGTGAACAGATTACAACTTTCAGTTGGGACTGTAGTCTTTCTGAGGCTCACAGGATGTTGATGTAGGAAGAGGTGTTAGAGAATGTGTAGCTCAACCCCTTAGCTTACAGAGAGTGAGGGACTTTGTGGCCTAGTCAGAGCTAGGGTTGCAGATCTGGCCTCTTTTATGCTCTTCATCTGTCTGGGTTGGGTTGGAAGGCAGTGCAGTGAAGTGCTACTGTCTTCCCCCCTACTATTTGATGATTTGGTGACATGACAAGGTCATAAATGGATTATGATTCTCAAATTCCATTTCAGTTTGTAGTACATTTCCTGAACAAAAGTAAGTGTTTGAGACAGTGAATGAATAAAAGGGCTGGTTTCTGGGTGAGGTGGCTCACAGAGTTGGTCAGAGGCCGGGACTGCCCCTAAGCCATGGCAGTAAGTTTCTAGTGAAAATAGATGACAACCATTTTGGTGTTTTGGAGAAGGCAGCAGACCCAGACAGTGGCAGGCTTTTAGGCAACAGCTGTGTTTTGAGGCCCCAGGAAAGAGGGGGAAAGTGGGCAGGTGTAAGTACAATCAGGGAGAAACTGGGGAAAGACTTTTAGGCAAGCTTTTTGGTTCTTGATTATGTGGTCTCTCTTGCACCTAGGAAAGCAGACAGTAAAATGCGTCGTGTTGGAATAGAAAATTCAAGCGCCTGATTGTGAGAATAAGAGTTCAAAAAGGGGGCCAGGCGTGGTGGCTCACGCCTGTAATCCCAGTGCACTTGGGGAGGCTGAGGTGGGTGGATCACAAGGTCAGGAGTTCAAGACCAGTCTGGCCAATATGGTGAAACCCCGTCTCTACTAAAAATACAAAAATTAGCCGGGCGTGGTGGCGGGCGCCTGTAGTCCCAGCTACTTGGGAGGCTGAGGCAGGAGAATTGCTTGTACCTGGGAGGCGGAGGTTGCAGTGAGCTGAGATCATGCCACTGCACTCCAGCCTGGGCGACAAGAGTGAGACTAGGTCTCAAAAAGAGTTCAAAAAGGGGAGAACAGTGGATGGAAGGTAGAAAGAGTTTGAAGCTTTAAAATGCTGTTGAGAAAGAAACAAGGAAAAAAAATGTCTGGACAGAGATTTGTACAGCACAGTTGTACTTAAGTGTTTGTGTTTTTTGGGGCAGTGGTGGGTAAGGTCAGTGGTGTTTTTTTTTTTTTTTGAGACCCCTGTCGCCCAGGCTAGAGTGCAGTGGCATGACCTCGGCTTGCTGCAACTTCCACCTCCCAGGTTCAAGCCATTCTCCTCCCTCAGCTTCCTGAGTCGCCAGGATTACAGGCGCCCGCCGCCACACCTGGCTAATTTTTTTGTATTTTTAGTAGAGACAGGGTTTCACCATGTTGGCCAGGCTGGATTTGAACTCCCTAAGGTCAGTGGTTTTTACATTGAAGTCCTGGACTATAGAATGATAGTTCTGGAAGGAGCTTCAGAGAGCCTCTATGCATCTCCCTCGTTTTTCCTGGAGAAACCTCCAAGGACCCAGTGAGGTGGAGGGACTGACTGGCTAAAAGATCTGTCAGCATATAGTAGACTGCCAGATGGACCTTCATATTTTTGCCTCAGATGATTAGAGGACACTCTGGGTTTCTCTCATCTTACTCGTTAAAACAAAATACAACACTTTTACTGAGTGCCCTTTATGAGCGGGCACTGATCTTTTTATCATTTTTCTTTGATTTTTAGATTGTGCTTTCTGAAAATTCAGATATTCAAGTTAAGTAATCTTTTGTTACTGTTTTCTTGATGGGGAATAATTACTAGATCTAGCTCTTGTAGGTCTTAATTTGGAAAAACAAGTTGAATTATTGCTGAATTTTTGGTTTAGGCATAGTTGATCACATATTTTGCATTTTGTTGCATCAGGTCAGTCTTTAGAGAATAACATTTTTAATACTTCATTTTTCCTATGAGTCACATTAATAAAAACCACATTTAAAATTTTGTCCTTTCAAAGCACTGTACTGTGGCTGAATTGCATTTAGCGCTACTCATAGGATTTTTACTAGCATTAATTCAGATCTTCCAGTTATTTGAAAGTAGAGAAAAAACATTCCCATTTTGCAAATAAGCTTTTACAATTGAGTTTCCACTATAGAACATGTCAGTAGACTATGAGGTTTAAAAAAGAGAATAAAAACTGATACTAGAAATTGTCAATACATCATACAATACATTGATACAGAGATAATCCCTTAAGGCAGACTTGAGAATTCAAAATCCACTTCTGAATGGCTTTGGAGAGGTGCATTTTTTTTTTCTCTAGGGCAGTGTGAAAAACCATTTCCAAAGAGGAGATTGCCCGTTTTGTAAAGGAGGGATAGCTGATTGGGCAGGACAAGAAAGAGCCTGTCTGAAATATCTTTGAGTAGCGTGTTAAGGGGTTGGGTAGTATATTGCTTTTTTTTTTTTTTTTTTGAGATGGAGTGTTGCTCTGTTGCCCAGGCTGGAGTGCGGTGGCGCGATCTCGGCTCACTGCAGCCTCCGCCTCCCGGGTTCAAGCGATTCTCCTGCCTCGGCTTCCTGAGTAGCTGAGTTTACAGGCTCACGCCACCATGCCTGGCTAATTTTTGTATTTTTAGTAGAGACAGGGTTTCACCATTATTGGTTAGGCTGGTCTTGAACTCCTGACCTCGTGATCCGCCCACCTCGGCCACCCAAAGTGCTGGGATTACAGGCATGAGTCACTGGTGCCCAGCCCTTGCTTTTTGTTTTTACTAAAGCCTTTCGACCCACCTGCTCAGAAGGAGGTGGTAATTGGTTGAGAATTCAAGAATTGTTAAAAAGCAAGGGTGTGTTTTCTTCAGCTTTCCCTAGCAAATATAATATTTAGAGCAGAGCCAGCCCCTGCAAATCCCCTAAACCCAATAAAAGCCAGCAAGACAATAAGCCCATCTTCAGCTGATAGCAACTTCTTTGGCTAGTTGTATTCCCTAACTCCTGCTGCAGCTGATGAACAGAGTGCCTGCTGAGACCTTCCTGTGGGCCTTGAACCTCACCTTGGTTTACAATAGAGGAAGATAGTAGGAGAGAGAAATCTGAAGGAAAAGTATGGTAGAGGCTCTCAGCTCTGGTACATCTTGGTATATCTTGGGGAGCTTTAAAGTCTCACTATAAAGCAGAGAGTCCTAACCATGTCTGTAATTTGCAGTCACTTGAGGAGGCAAGAAAAAGATTGATGCCTTTGCTGCAACCCCAGGATTGGGTATTGGGGTTTTCGTAACCTCATGGATTATTCTGATGTGCCTTTGAGCTTTTAAACCATTGAATTTGGACATTATCTGTCTACTGGAATTGGCCAATTTTGGCCCTGCAACTCTGATGAAGGGTGAATTTGAAAGTTTTTGTGAATTTTTCTCTCGTTTTGTTTCTTTTACCTTCATTTATGATAGCCCAATTTTGGGAAGCAGATTCAGTTCACTGTAGAAATTTGCTTCTTAGCTAGTTTTATATTTGAGAGAAAGAGGTAAATAAAGGTCTGCATTTTTATTTTCTTTCCCTCGTTCTCCCATCCCTGCGATGGAAAGATCATGAGTTACAGTTGATTTTCTGATTAGCTTAAAGTTTTCAACTAGGATTATGTTGGAAGTCCTTCCTTTGAGAGTGTATTGTTTTCACAGTTTGTAAAGCCCTTATCTCATAAATACAACTTTATATGTAACTTTACTAGAGGTCACTTTCTAAAGGATACCTGTGTTGTTTTTGGAGGAAGAGGCTTCAGAAGGCTAAGGACTAAAATTTTGGTTTCAGAATTTATTTCCTATCCATGTTCTCTACGTTGTACATAATCACTCATAGTTGAGTTGAACTTGCATACATCAAACATTGGCACTGTAGTAGCAGTATACAGCATCTGTATTAGTCCATTCTCACACTGCTATAGAGAACTCCCTGAGACTGGGCAGTTTAGAAAGGAAAGAGGTTGAATTGACTCACAGTTCCACATGGCTGGGGAGGCCTCAGGAAACTTAAAATCATGGCGGAAGGCAAAGGGGAAGCCAGACATCTCCTTCACAAGGCGTCAGGAGGGAAAATGAATGCAGGAGGAACTGCCAAACACTTACAAAACCGCCAGATCTTGTGAGAACTCACTCACTATCACGAGAACAGCATGTGGGAAACACCCTCATGATTCAGTTACCTCTACCTGGTCTCTTCCTTGAAATTTATGGGGATTACAATTCAAGATGAGGTTTTGGATGGGGACACAGCCAAACCATATCAGCATCTTATTGAGGATGTTCCCCTCCTTTTTGCATATAATGCAGACATCTCACTGTATAAACTAATACGCTAGTAACATATTGTAAATATTTGTACTAAGTGTAGGAGAGAGTTGCTGAAGATGTTTAGATGCATATCTTACATGGTAAGGGTAAGAAAAATAGGCTTTGGATAAGCAGAGACGGTAGATAAAGTAGGTTCTAATTTGCTTTTTGCCCAACCTCTGGAGAACTGTGAGAGTCACTGTTTGTCTTCTGTTGGGTTTGGCTTGAGAAAGCCTCTCTCCTTGTGTAGCTTGTGTGCCTTGAGTGGCTGAGCTCCTGGGCCAGAATCCAGGTGAGTTCTCAGTAAGGGTAAGTCTAGAGTTTTCACATTAAGAAGCTTAGAAATGATCTTTTGAAGGTTTGAAGTATTAACTGCTTGTTTTTAAGTACTTTTTGTTGCTAGCCTTGCTTTGTTTTCTACACTTTGAGAGAGATTGAGAAGAAACCATAAACTGGTTTGATGGAGTTGAGTAAGCTCTTGACCCTAGAATTGGAGGAGGAGATTTTAGGTTAACTAGTGAAACTTCTTGTTTCGGTTCGGGAAACCCTCTCACAGCATTTCATGTCAGTCCTTTGCCCTTTTCTCTTGCAGACTCCTAGGGACAGGGGCTCCTGGCCACCATTGTTTACTATATCACTCACAATTAGGAAGGTCGGCTGACATTTTCTTCCCTGTAACTTCTGCTCTAGTAAATGATGACTAGCCAGATAGTGAAAACCTCAATCATGTTTCCCTAAGGCTTCTTAGCTGTAGACTGAGCATCTTTAGTTCTATGTTTGACATGTCTTTTTTTCTGTCTTACATGATACTTATGGATGTGCTTTAGTTTGATGATGACTTATTTAAAAACGGTGGTGCTTGGGGATGGACCCAGCATTCCAGCCAACCAATCAGTGTGCAATGTCCTGTGCACTTGCTTGCCAGGTTCTGGACACTGGAACAACCTAAGATGACAGGCAAACAGGCAAAGCTGTGAGGTTAGTGAGTGGCAGTTTCTCAAGGGGCCAGGAGGAATTTCCCTCAGTAGTAGTACACTGGCAGGATTAGTTATCTTGAGCCAGATCGTGTCATCTATTTGGGCCTCAGGTTCCTTTTATACAAAAGGAGGGATGGGTCAGTATGGGCTGTCATTCCTCTTTAAAATGTTGAGTGCTTTCAAAAGGCAGCCGTTTCTGAAACCTCTAATACAGGGATTTAACAGAAGGTGATTGGGATTTATTGGGCTCCTGGTTCCACTCAAAGGCTAATGCCAGTGTTTTAGGTCTTCATTTGTCACTTGGTTTGGTATTTCTGCCACACTTTGCACATTCTGATTTCTCTCTTAGGAGGGAATGAAAACAGGATCAGCTTTGCCTTTAGAACTTAAGGAATATGTAGTTCTCTTCCACCTGTGGGTGATTCGCCTTGAGAGATTACAAAACAAAACATTCTAGTACTACTCCTACATAGCTCTATGGATGAGGCCCAGAAATCTGTATTTTTTTAAAGCTGGCAAGTGACTGCATAGCCAGGTTTGGGAAGTATAGTTATGTGCACATAAGGATGTTTTAATCCATGATGTACCTAAATGATGGTGGTCCTATAAGATTATAATATTGTTTTTTACTCTATGTTTTCTGTGTTTAGATATGTGTAGATACACAAATTATAAATAGTACTCAGTATATTGACATACTGTGCAGGTTTGTAGCCTAGGAGCAATAGCTAGACCATGTAGCCTTGGTGTAGAGTAGGCCATACCATTGAGGATTGTGGAAATGCACTCTGTGATGTGATGTTTCTCACATGGATGACATTGCCTTTCACAGAACGTGTCCTCATCATCAAGCAACACGTGACTGTACTAATTTTAAAAGTATTTGCTTCTTACAAATAGTGAAGTGTTTGCAGATAGCATGGTTTATACCTAGAATTTGCTTCAGAATAGCTCAGTACAAGGAAGAGGTGTGGGTAGGAATAAAGATGAAATAGATGTAGCCATGCTTTCATAATTAGTCAAGCTATAGCGATAGGTGCACAGGGTTCATTCTTCTAATGTCTACTTTTGTTGTATGCTTGAACTTTTCCAGACTAAAAGATAAGCAAAAAAAAAAAAACAAAAACAAAAAAAAACCAAAAAACAAAACATATGTTTTGTTTTCTGAAATCATTTACTCTTGTCTGTTTTGTTTATTCTATAATCACAAAAGGTAAATGGTAAGGTATGTACCATACTCATCTCATTTAAGACTGACGTGAATTACATCCCTTGCATAATCAAGCCTTTTCCCTTGGCCTCTGCCTTGGCTCTGTGTGGTACACTTGAACTGTGGGGTGAGTGGAATGTCATGATGGCCATCACCATTTTGGCTTCAAGTCTGTAAGATGACATGAAGCTAGACATTCTCTCACACAGTGCCCTGTGCCACAGTCAGCATCTCATCAACACTTTTGAGGTGTGACAGGAATGCTCTGGTTGGTGCATGTGTGGCTGGTGACTTGAGGAGGAGCCAGGAGGTCCATGGGCACATCATGGTCTCACATGGCATTCTGTCCTCTTCAGGGCAGGCTCTGTAGTTGATGTGGTGGGTTCCGTCTCTTCCACATAAACCTACCTTGTCTTCCCCTTACAACCTATTTTTTTGTGGCCACTTCACGTTTATTTTGGCAGAAATCTGGATAAAAGCTGAGTGTTCTTATGAGTCTCCTGCATATCTAGTGCCCCCTGTCGGGGATCCTTTATTTGGAGTGTCTTTTAGCTTCACCGCTTCCTCAGGTTGGGTATTGCTGCTAGAATGAATGTGGACTTTGGCTTGGGATAACTCATTTAGCCATTTCATCTCTTACTCTTTACTGTGAAGATAAACCAATCAAATTGATGTCTGTGTTAGTTGCAAATTTAAGAGTTTTGAAGCTGCTTGCAGCTATTCACTTTGAGAGTTCAGAATTAAAAAGGGTCTTTGCACTTATTTCTAGTGATTCAAGGACTTTTGCAGAATTTTGATGACTGCTTCTGAATTAAGGTGGATTTAAAAACTGATGTAAGCATCACTGTCCTCACAGGCTAAGTGGTCTGTCATGGGTGGTTAGACAGGTAAATGTGGACACTGTGCCACAGAGAACTGCCAGCAATTAATTTATGAGCCTTCTTTCTTCCTTAGTATTTTAGTTTTGATTTTATTGTTGAC
This sequence comes from Homo sapiens, assembly GCF_000001405.40. Taxonomy (NCBI): domain Eukaryota; kingdom Metazoa; phylum Chordata; class Mammalia; order Primates; family Hominidae; genus Homo; species Homo sapiens. The sequence continues at coordinate 101,726,472 of NC_000002.12, forward strand.
TAAAGGTCCATTATTACTAGTTAAGTATCAGCTAATATTCATGAATTATCTGAGTTAGTTGCAGGCCTCTGATGGTTAGTAAGTGGCCCTCAGTTTACTTTTCTCTCCTGAAGTTGGCCTAGTTTAGCCGATGCTTTGTATTTCATTATCAAGACCTCAAATTTTACTTAGAACTAACTTTATTTTGGACTTAAAGAGCCTTAATGGACAGGAGTATAGAATATATTCCTTAAACTACATGGGAAAGAGCAAAATGTTTTGTGGTTTGTTTGGCTGGATTGTTTGACATGAGGTAGAAGAGGAATTCATTTTGACCCTCTCAGTCCTTTTTCTGTTGCTCATAATAGAATACCTGAAACTGGGTAATTTATGAAGAAAAGGGATTTGTATCTTACACTTGTGGAAACTGAGAAGTTCAAGAATAAGGGACCAAATCTGGTGGGGGACTTTCTTGTTGATGGAGGCTCTCTGCAGAGTCCTGGTGCAGGGTATCACCTGGCGAGGGGGGTGAGCATGCTAACTCATGTCTCTTTTCCTCTTGACCACCAGTCCCACTCCCATGATAACCTATTAGTCCATGAATGGATGAACCCATTTATGAAGACAGAGTCCTCATGGCCCAGTCATCTCTTAAAGGCCCCACCTCAATATTGCCACATTGGGGATTAAATTTCAATATGAATTTTGAAGGAGACAAATATTGAAGCCATTACACCCTCTCATAGCTTTCTGATGAGTTTTCTAACATGTTTGGATGGTGTAGATGGTCTGTAGAAATGCAAACAGTGAAAACACTTAGCATTTACTCATGTAGTACCATCTTCAAAAAGAAAAGGATTTGCTTCTGCAAAACTCAGTGGACTGTATTTTAAAGCCGCTATGAGAGTTTACAAAAAATGTTATTTCCACAAATACTATTAATATAATCTCAAAATACCCAGAAGTATAAAGAACCTTGTATAGTCAGTGAGGTTGTCTTTTGATTGTAATTGCAGAACTCCCTAAAGATAAAGCCAATAATATCTGAAATAAAATGGTTTTTGTCCAACATAGATTACCAAGTAAATGGCCTGTGAGTCTGTGTTTTAGACTCTTAAAATTTTGGGGGGAAGTATATACAGGTTAATATAAAATGAAAGAGAAATAGGCAATTGCCTCTTTATTTGGCATTTAGCTCTCATGTTAAAAACTGTGAAACAGAAAGAAGGTGGTAATGGTCGGGCACAGTGGCTCATGCCTGTAATCCCAGCACACTGGGAGGCTGAGGCAGGCGGATCACCTGAGGTCAGGTGTTCAAGACCAGCCTGGCCAACATGGTGAAACCCTGTCTCTACTAAAAATACAAAAATCAGCCGGGCATGGTGGCATGAGCTTATAGTTCCAGCTACTCGGGAGGTTGAGGCAGGAGGATCACTTGAACCCAGGAGGCGGAGGTTGCAGTGAGCCGAGATCACGCCACCGCACTCCAGCCTGGGTGACAGAGCGAGACTCCGTCTTGAAAGAAGGTGGCAAGACCAAATAAGGAGCACACTAAGGGCTCCAGGGAGAAAACGTGTAGCATCAGAAAGTTAGAAGGTTGTCATGGCTTGCTCTCATTAAATAACTGAGGAAACACCCAGGTTACCTCTTTAAGTACAGGCTAAGTAAGTAATCTCCCTATTTCCCAGTCTAGAATGCTCTTGAAGCGTGGATCCCAAAGTACAGATTGTCATAGCATATTTCTCTGCAGCATGCTAGCAAGATTTTTATCAGTGGTTCCTCTCCCCTGGGGGGCTTGTTAGACATAGATTACTGGGCCCCATCCCACAGTTTTTGGTCCAGTAGTTCTGAGGTAAGACTGAGAATCTGCATTTCTAACAAATTATGAAGCACTGCTGAGGCTACTTACTGGTCTGGAGACCACACTTTGAGATAAAATTATTTGAGATAATTTTAATCACCTGGGAAGCTTTCCTCTCAACATTTTATTATGAAAAATTTCAAACCTATAGTAAAGTTGAGAGGTGTAAAATGAATACCCACCTCCTAGATTTTATAGTAACACTTTTTTTTTCTTTTGAGATGGAGTCTCGCTCTGTCACCCAGGCTGGGGTGCAGTGGTGCAGTGGTGTGACCACAGCTCAGTGCAACTCTGCCTCACAGGTTCGAGCAGTTCTTCTGCCTCAGCCTCCCGAGTAGCTGGGACTACAGGCGTGCACCACCATGCCTGGTTAATTTTTGTATTTTTAGTGCAGACGGGGTTTCACCAGGTTGTCCAGGCTAGTCTCAAACTCCTGACCTCAAGTGATCCACCCACCGCTGCTTCCCAAAGTGCTGGGATTACAGGCGTGAGCCACCGTGCCCGACAGATCCCCTAGTTGATTTTAATGTGCAACATGTTTGGAGACTAGCTCTAGCTGCTCCTATATCTTGTAGTATGTGAGAGAAACTGATTTATATTCAGAAACCTGGCAAAATTAAGAATAAAATCAATCTGTTGACATGAAGAAAAATTGGTGAGTGTTGCACAAATGTTCAGTTTCAGGAAATTGTGAAGATGTAATGAATGAAACAGATGAAAGCAGAAGCAACTTAAGAGTTATGGCTCAGAAAATGATTAGAGAGAGGAGAGAGAGAGAGAGAGAGAGAGAGTGTGTGTGTGTGTGTGTGTGTGTGTGTGTCCTGTTCCCACTCTCCCTCCCTATCCTTTTTTCCTGTAAGGCCTTCCCTGGAAATCTGCTCGATGTTGTAGAAGACATTATACTCAGAAAATATAGTTTTTATTTAATATTATGCTTACAGTCTCTTTTATTTTTGCCAGCTTTTCACAAAGTGACAGAGTGGACAGTGCTCCGTAGTACAATCTATTTGTGTGCAGTACAGCCAGTTTATTTGGTCAAGACTAGCATCTTTTAATTGAATAGAAAATAGAGTGCATCACATATGCTAAGAGTGTTTTGTGAAACCTTTATTTTGGTTAAAAATACATGTTATAGGTGTCTTGGGTGGTGGTTTTAACTGTATTTTTTATTATAGGCTGCAGTCAAGATAGTTTGAAAGCTACTGTACTGGGAGATGCTAGGTTCCTTTTAGCAAAAGTGAAGAATGGTTTTAAAAAATACACTTTGAAACAACTGAATAAACATTTATTTTGAAATGAGATCCAGCTACATTGCCGACTGTTACCTGCAGTGTGATCCTCTTTTTGTTTTGTTCTGGTTTGGCTCAGGGCCTCACTATGTCTACACCCCTCCAGGTAGCTCCTCTTGCCCACATGTGTCTAACTGAGGACCCACACCACCCGCTCCTTGATTTGGCATTCCTTGTCTCCAAGCCAAAGGTCCTTCTCTGGTGAAATCTTGTTACAGCTCCTGTCTTCTCCATCTGACATACTCTGTTGGTTCTCTGGGTGTTTTCCTCTCTTGAGGGTTATCTTGACTAGCTTTGAGGGCAGGTTTGTGTTTCCTGCAACCCTCAGCACAACATCAGATGGTGTGTAAAGATGCCAGGAACCTGTCTTTGTGTCTCCTCCCGCAGCTCCGTGGGGCCTTCATGAGTGCTCCAGCATGAGACGGAACATCTTCCGTGGCAGCTAGAGTTAGTCCAGGGGCCCTCTCCTTAAGATGCGTCAGTGGACCTAGGACGGGGGAAAGTAAAGGCTTATTATAAGGTTTCGATTCTGCTTCGTTCATGTACTTTGTATGTGAAACCTTTTTTCATATTCTTAGTCTTCCTTCTTTGAAATGGCTATATGGCTTTCTGTCAGGATTCTGGAATAGTTGGTAGATGGTCTTTGGGATTATATTCATGATTTAAAACTCCTTTCCTGCTTTGTGATATGATCATGAGTCTGGGGTGGAGAAGTTTGTAAATGGGGGCCAGCTCCCCACGACTGGAAACTGAAGGGCACACCTTCTGTCTTGCCCCGCTCTCCTTTTTGGGGTTGTGGTAGGGACAGTTTTTCAGATCATATGTTGGTTATAGCAAAAGAAGGCAGAGGTTAAACTCATGGCTAGCTAGTGGCAGAGACACCCGTGTTTAAGAAGGTTGGGTGGGGGAAGGAGCTGGTGCCCTATTGTCCCGTGGGTCTCTATTACAGACACCAGGTCACTAACTCCAGAGCTCTGGTGGGATGAATGCCCAGCAGCACTGGACAGGTGTTCAGTACGGGGGTATTTCTGTCACCTCCAGAGCACATTCACATGGCTTCAGTAGGGTTAAGCATACGTTTTTGAATTTTTCCCCTTAAGACTATTACAAATCCTTAAAACTTAATTCCTGTGAATCACTTTGACTTAGAAATATGTTGAATAGTGGCCGGGTGTGGTGGCTCATGCCTGTAATCCCAGCACTTTGGGAGGCCGAGGCAGGCGGATCATGAGATCAGGAGATCAAGACCATCCTGGCTAACACAGTGAAACCCCATCTCTACAAAAAACGCAGAAAATTAGCCGGGCACGATGGCGGGCACCTGTAGTCCCAACTACTCGGGAGCCTGCGCAGGAGAATAGTGTGAACCCGGGAGGCGGAGCTTGCAGTGAGCTGAGATTGCGCCACTGCACTCTAGCCTGGGCGACAGAGGGAGACTGTCTCAAAAAAAAAACCAAACAGTTGAATAGTATATATTTATATTGATTTGAATGTGACAGTAATTTAATTTTTATTTTTATTATTACTATTTTTTGAGACACAGTTTCATTCTGCTGCCCAGGCTGGAGTGCAGTGGCGCGATCTCGGCTCACTGCAACCTCCGCCCCCCAGATTCAAGTGATTCTATTGCCTCAACCTTCCGAGTAGCTGGGATTACGGGTGTGTGCCACCATGCCTGGCTCATTTTTGTATTTTTAGTAGAGATGGGGTTTCACCATGTTGGCCAGGCTGGCCTCGAACTCCTGACCTAGGTGATCCGCCTGCCTTGGCCATCCAAAGTGCTGGGATTACAGGTGTGAGCCACTGCCCCTGGCCGACAGTAATTTTTTAAAAATTATTAAGCAAAGAGCAGAGAATGATCTTAAAAAATGAAATGGGCTGGGGGTGGTGGCTCACGCCTGTAATCCAAGCACTTTGGGAGGCCAAGGTGGGCAGATTGCCAGAGCTTAGAAGTTTGAGACCAACCTGGGCAACATGATGAAACCCCATCTCTAAAAATAAATACAAAAATTACCCAGGCGTCATGGTGTACACCAGCTACTGGAGGGACTGAGGTGGGAGGATAGCTTGAGCTCAGGAGGTCAAGGCTACAGTGAGTCGTGTTGGTGCCACTGCATTCCAGACTGGGTGACAAAGGGAGACCCTGTCTGAAAAGGAAAAAAAAAAAAAGATGGAGGGGAGGGGTAGGGGAAAATAAAGGGAATTTTGAAAATAAACCAGAATAATGCACCCTGTTCCTGTTTTTCATTCACTCAGGATTCCTTTTAAATGAAAAAGTTTTGGTTCCTGGATACCTTTTGGTTAGTGGATACGTTTCTTTTCTCTTTTCAGAAATAACTAGGAAAATTGTTAAAAGTCCCATAATTTTGTGTGGATTTACCAATATTGTGAACCCTTCCCTTAATTTTGAATTATTCTTCAGAATTGGGGAGGTGAAGCTGG